>NC_000015.10:42973843-43276874 GCF_000001405.40 Homo sapiens | reverse complement strand
AGATAGCAAAGGAGTAAGTGACGCTTCTGCCCACCTCCCCCTTGCTGGTCTCAGGAAAGGGGTGCCCCATGGCGTCACAGGACCCTCCTCAGTCTCCTGTGCAGTGCCTCTCTGCCCCCACTTTCTCACCCTCCTCAGGAAAGGCTGAGCTCAGTGGTGGTGGTGAGTGGGAGCCTCTTACCCACCCAGAGGGGAACCAGATCACCCCTGCCGCCAGCAGGAAGTCCTCGAGGCTCTCACAGGCTGTTTCTGACTTTCAGCCTTGGGACTCTGGTGGCCGGACACACCCTCCAAATTCAACTGGACCTCTACCCGACCAAAGCTGGACCCCGCCAGCTCCAGGTTCTCATCAGCAGCAACGAGGTCAAGGAGATCAAAGGCTACAAGGACATCTTCGTCACTGTGGCTGGGGCTCCCTGAGACCCGCCCTCCAGCTGCCCTCCCTGGCACCCCTGCCCCACCTGGCTCCTTTCTACTCCTGGCTATGTCGTCTTGGCTCCACCTCTGTCCTCTCTCTAGCCTGCCTGGGAATGAATGAAGCTCTGTTAGAAACACCGTGTGCTTTGGGAAGAGACAATAAAGATGTCTTTATTTATCACCAGCATTCTCAAGCCACTTATTGCTCCTGGCTGATCCTCTTGGCCTGGCTGCCAGCTCTGTGGCTGAACCCTCCCTTCCCCTCCTGTCCTCTCTCTCCTCCCTTAAGAGCCTCAACCACAAAATAAGCCCACCACCATCCCCTCTAAAGCAGCCTCTCTGGAATTAAGGATCCCAGGTCTCTCCATTTACATTGTCTTAGTGAGCCTGCAGGCAGAGGATGGAGGGAGGCCTGGGGAGGGCGGTTTGGATGTGCCGGGAGGACAGCGACCCTGTGGCAACTGGCCAGAAGCTGCCCAGCAGGACTGTTCTGCCCCCAGCCTAGAGTATCCTGGGAGGCACAGGCAGCCACCTTTCCGCATGCGTTCATTGACAGACAGGATGACTGGGAAGCGCTGCATAGCTGGCTGCTGTCTAGCAACAGCCTCACCTGCTATCCCTGTCCCCGCCTTTGCCTCTCGCTCCCTCACCCTCATCTTGCATTCTTCCCCATCATCCCAACTCTCAGCCTCTCTTCCTTTGTGTGGTATTTGTTTGTTTGTTTGTTTGTTCTTTTAGACAGAGTTTCTCTCCTGTTGCCCAGGCTGGAGTGCAATGGCGTGATCTTGGCTTACTGCAACCTCCACCTCCTGGGTTCAAGCGATTCTCCTGCCTTAGCCTCCCGAGTAGCTGGGATTACAGGCACGCCACCATGCTCGGCTAATTTTTTTGTATTTTTAGTAGAGTCGGGTTTTCCCCATGTTGGCCAGGCTGGTCTCGAACTCCTGACCTCAGGTGATCCGCCTGCTTCGGCCTCCCAAAGTGCTGGGAATATAGGCATAGCCACCACGCCCGGCCTCCTTTGTGTCTTTTGTTTTTGTTATTTTAAGGACAGAGGGAGCCACTCTTTTGTATTTCTTTCTCCTGTGGTTACCAAAATTACTCCTGCTCATTCTAGATGATTTGGAAAGTGGAAAAAAAAAAAAAAAACTAACGAAAGGAAAATCACCAATAGCTCCCCCATCCCAGAGAAAATCCTTGCTAACATTTCTCAAGAGATCATTCTGGCTTTCAGCCTTGGGACTCTGGTGGCTGGACACACCATCCAATTTCCTTTATTTCCCCTTTTATTATGTTGTTGAAAAGTCAGCATTACAAATGGATACATCTCCATCATAGATAATTTAGAAAATTCAGAAACATGGGAAAGGAGAGCATCTTCCTGTCAGTCTGCAGGCACATCCACTCCTCACCTGCTCCGCGGCTCTATAGTTTTGACTTCTTTCAGTCTTCCCTTCCCTTCCCCTCCTCCTCTCCCTCTTTCTCTCCCTCTTCTTCCTCCTCTTCTCCCTTTTCCTCCCTTTTCCTGCTCTCCTTCCTCCTCTTCCCCCTCCCTCTCTTCTCTGTATTTTTTTGTTTGCCCCTAGTCCTCCTTCTCCTTCCCTTCTATTTTCTCTCTCTCTCTCTCCTTTTTTTTTTTTTTTTTTTTTTTTTTTGAGATGGAGTCTGTCACTGTTGCCCGGGCTGGAGTGCAGTGGTGCGATCTCGGCTCACTGCAACCTCCACCTCCCGAGTTCAAGCGATTCTCCTGCCTCAGCTTCCCAAGTAGCTGGAATTACAGTTGCCTGCCACCATGCCCAACTAATTTTATTTTATTTTTTGTATTTTTAGTAGAAACGGGGTTCCACTATGTTGTCCAGGTTGATCTCAAACTCCTGACCTCGTGATCCGCCCTCCTTGGCCTCTCAAAGTGCTGAGATTACCGGCGTGAGCCACTGCACCCGGCCTATTTTCTCTCTTGGGGTGGCCCCCAGCCCTGCCTGCACGCAGCTGCTTGGGTCAGGAAGGGTAGGAGCCTGCATGTCCTCACTCCGCCTCATGTGTCAGCTGCACCCATCCCCATGAGGTACCATTGGGCATTTCCGTGGTGCCCTGTCACTGCCCTGTCATGCTGTGTTCCAGGTGGCTCCCTGCCATCAGGAGAGGGCCACCCGAGCTGCCCTTGCAGGAATGTGAAACCTCGCCTCTCTGCCAAGCACTGAGTCCTCATGTTTAGTCACGGCCCTCCTTTCCTATCCCTGGCTGTGTCACTGGAGAAGAACAGCAGGCAGGCTTCCTACTGGCCTGGGAAAGACCTCTCAGGGGTATGTGGATGTTGGTCATTTCTGCCTTTCCAGCCTACCTTTCAAATTATTTTCCCTGTCCCCAACTAAAAATTGACTTTAAAAATTATTATACTCTGGGCCGAGCATGGTGGCTCACGCCTGTAATCCCAGCACACTGGGAGGCTGAGGCAAGCTGATCACCTGAGGTCAGGAGTTCGAGACCAGCCCAGCCAACATGGTGAAACCCCATCTCTACTAAAAATACAAAAAGTAGCTGGGTGTGGTGGCGGCACCTGTAATCCCAGCTACACGGGAGGCTGAGGCAGGAGAATCTCTTGAACCCAGGAGGCAGGGTTTGCAGTGAGCTGAGATCCCACCAGTGTACTCCAGCCTGGGGAACAAAAGTGAAACTCCATCTCAAAAAGAAAAAAAAAAATTATACTCTGTATCCTCCCCCAACCCCCTCCCCTCCTCCTCCTTCTCCTCCTTCTTCGTTTCACTTAGGCAAGCCTGTCTGGCTTTCTTTTTCCACCTCAGTTGAATAAACTAGATCATCTCAAAGCTCCCTTCCAGCTGGACATCCCCCAGGGCCTGGAACGCTGGAATTCCTTCATGCCCACTGCTATGGTGCCCCCTGAGACCAGCTCCTAAGCAAGCCTCCCCTGGCCTCACAACAACAGAGTAAGGCTGGCCACCCAGGCCAGGCAGTGGCTCCTGCAGACAAACTGTGACAAAAGAAATGTTCCACTGTGGAGCAAGGAAGCAGCACCAGCCAGGCAGCACCCTTGGCTCCTGATTCCTGGTCTTCCCATCCCCCCATGGTGTGCACAGAATCTGTCATCTTCAGGTCCTTGTGGCTGATGGTTTTGGGGTTCACGACATCCAGCATTATTGTGTGATACAAAGCAAAGAGCTCTGGACTCCCTCATGGTGTGACCCTGGTTCCCCCAGGGGTAAAATGATAACATAATAATAGGAGTGTCAGCCTGACTTTCCCTCATAGGGTTGCTGTGAGGATCAAATGAGGCAGTGTATTCTAAAGTGCTTTGCAGCCGGGCACAGTGGCTCACTCTTGTAATCCCAGCGCTTTGGGAGGCCAAGGCAGGAGGATCATCTGAGGTCAGGAGTTAGAGACCAGCCCAGCCAACATGGTGAAACCCCATCTCTACGGAAAATACAAAAAATTAGCCAGGCATGGTGGTGTGCACCTGTAGTCCCAGCTACTCAGGAAGCTGAAGCAGGACAATCGCTTGAACCCGGGAGGTGGAGTTTGCAGTGAGCCAAGATTGTGCCACTGCACTCTAGCCTGGGCGACAGTGAGACTCCATCTCAAAATAATAAATAAATAAATAAATAAAGTATTTGTATATATAAAGTATACATAAATAAGTATGTATATTTATTTTACATAAAAAATATAAAGTATTTGTAAGCTGGAGTCATCACATTATTTAACTTCAAACTATACTACAGGGCAACAATAACCAAAACAGCATGGTACTGGTAGAAAAACAGGCCTATAAACCAATGAAACAGAATAGAAAGCCCAGAAACAAGGCCCCATACCTACAACCATCTGATCTTTGACAACACTGACAAAAACAACCAATGGGGAAAGGACTCCCTATTCAGTATATGGTGCTGGGATAACTGGCTAGCCATATCCAGAAGATTGATACTGGACCCCTTCTTTACACTGTATACAGAAATCAACTCAAGATGGATTAAAGACTTAAATGTAAAACCCAAAACTATAAAAACCCTGGAAGACAATCTAGGCAATATCATCCTAGACATAGTATCAGGCAAAGATTTCATGATGAAGATGCTGAAAGCAATCACAACAAAAGCAAAAATTGACAAATGGGATCTAATTAAACTTAAATGCTTCTGTACAGCAAAAGAAACTATCAACAGAGTAAACAGACAACCTACAGAATGGGAGGAAATATTTGCAAACTATGCATCTGACGAAGATCTAATATCCAGTCTCTATAAGGAACTTAAACAAATTTACAAGAGAAAAACAACCCCATTAAAAAGTGGGCAAAAGACATGAACAGACACTTTTCAAAAGAAGACATACATGTGGCCAACAAGCAAATGAATAAAAGTTCAATATCACTGATCATTAGAAAAATGCAAATCAAAACCACAATGAGATACCATCTTATCTTACACTAGTTAGAATGGCTATTATTAAAAAGTAAAAAACAAACAAACAAACAAAAAACAGATGCTGGCAAGGCTGCAGAGAAAAGGGAACACATATACACTGTTAGTGGGAGTGTAAATTAGTTCAGCCATTGTGGAAAGCAGTATGGTGATTCCTCAAAGAGCTCAAAACAGAACTACCATTTGACCCAGCAATCCCATTACTGGGTATATACCCAGAGGAATATAAATCATTCTATCATAAAGACAAATGCATGCGAATATTCATTGCAGCACTATTCACAATAGCAAAGACATAGAATCAACCTAAATGCCCATCAATGACACATTGGATAAAGAAAATATGGTACATATATACCATGGAATACTATGCATCCATAAAAAAGAATGAGATCATGTCTTTTGCAGGAATGTGGATGGAGCTGGAGCCCATTATCTTTAGCAAACTCACACAGGAACAGAAAACCAAACATCTCATGTTCTCACTTAGAAGTGGTGAGAGCTTATGAACACAAAGAAGGAAACAACAGACACTGGGGTCTACTTGAGGGATGAGGGTCGGAGGAGGGAGAGGAGCAGAAAAAAGAACTATTGGGTGCTAGGCTTAGTATTCAGTGGTGAAATAATCAGTACAACAAACCCCCTTGACATGAGTTTACTTATGTAACAAATCTGCACATGTACCTCCGAACCTGAAATAAAAGTTTAAAAAAAATTTTTTTAATTGAAGTGCTTTGTAAATTGTGAAGTGCACTCACAGAGGCCCTCTACCAGTTTAATCCCTTCTCCAGGGTGACTGTCTCTGTTTCTAGGGGTGAGAAAAGAAGGGGAAAGAGGAATCCATTGGCGTCTGCCAGCTGTGGCTTCCCTGTGCAATCGTCTGTGGGGCACCTCCTCACCCTCCCTCAGACCCAGGCATCCAGCCCGTCACAGCCTCTGATTTTATAGGCAAAGAAACTGTCACCTGCCCAGGGGCACAATGGAAATTCATGGCAGGGCCGGAATCAGCACCCAAGTCTCTCTGGGTCTTAGAAAGGTCTGACCCCATCTGTAAAATTAAAGAAAAAAAGGAAGTTCTGGAGGTTCTCCACCCCCACCTAGTGAGCACTGGCCTGCCCCATGCGGATGGCAGATGTGTCCTCACTTCTCTGTTCAGGTGTCCCTCCCCTGTGGGCACAGCCCTGCTTCCTTCCGGACAGGAAGGTGCTCATCAACCCTGCTTAGCCTCCCTCTCTCTCCCTGTCCCCTCCCCTGTGCTGAGGGACAAGCTGCTCTATCAGAGCTGCCTCCCTCTCCCCAGCACCCTCACCCACATACCCTCTGACTAATGGCTCACAGAAATCGAATGAGGGGCTGAACCTATAAACCAGCTCCCTAGGCCCAGAGCCCAGGTCTTATTCAGCCCTACGGTCCAGGCAGAGGAGCTGGCCAGGGTTTTCCTGACCCTATGAATGGGCTTCGTGCCCCTGCGGTGCTTCCGCCTCCTCTCTTGTCCAGTGGCTACCTTAAACAAGACTTCTCTAAGTGCTCCTGAACATGTGAGGTCTTTTGGGGGAGGCCCAGGCCCTCCACAATGGGTGTGAGTTCCCTGCCCTCTCCTCAAGGTTGGGGCATGGGCAAAGCTGCCAAGAGTTCAGCCACTCAGGCTGGCACAACTCAAGGGACTTTACTCAGAGTGACTGCCTGATTGCTCCAAAATCCTCTCAACTGTTCCCAGATGCTTCAGGCTGGCCTGGGCACCACAAAACAGACTGGTGTCCCGCTGGCCATTGGGCACTTTCTCCTTTGGCCACCACAGTTACCCTAGCTGCACTTACCTTCCTGTTCCCCCTCTCCTGCCTATGCCCCTTACACTCTCCTGCCTATGCCCCTTACAGTCTCCTGCCTATGCTCCTTCCTCCTTCCCAGCTAACCCATCTCAGCATGTGGCAGTGGGTTCAGGTATTCATCCATTTGTTTATGTAGGGACCATCTTTTAATTCATTCACTCTATCGGGCAAGAAATACGAACTGGAAAACCAACTATGTTCCAGATATTGCAGCAAGCAAGCACTTATGAAGCACCCAGGCTCTGGAGTCTGACGGCTGCATTCAAAATCTAGCTCTACCAGTTCTTTGTGAATGATCTATTTAATGTCTTTAAGCCTCGATTTCCTCATCTGTAATGTAGGAACAATAACAGTAACTAACTATAGGGATGTTGTAAGACCAAGTGGGGTCATGCATATAAATACCTCAAAATAGTATATGTTATTAAAAGCTACTGCTGGTTGTATTAGTCGTTCTGCTACTATTAGGCACTGTCATTCTTAAGCACTGGGAACGCTGTTAATAAGACACAGTCCATGCCCTCCAGGGTGATTGGGGGAAAGACAGATAAGTATTTATAATGTTGAGGCATGAGTTGGCTAATAGGAAATACAGAAGAAGCAGCCCCTATTAGAATCCGGGTGCAGCAGAGGAAGGGTGTCAGGAAGACTTCCTGGAGGGGTGATGCTCGAGCCTGGGTACCAGAGAAAGTAGAGTGAGAGGAGGACATTTCAGAAAGAGAGAGGCTGATGCATGCAAGAGAGAGGGAGAGAGGGAGGTGCGGGAGAGAGGAGGTCAGCCTTCCTGGCCTCCAGGTGGGGAGGGGAAGACCCTCAAGGCTTTGAGGGTGATGCTGAGAAGTCTGGACTTTACCCACTGTGGGATCTTAAGCAGGGGAGCAACCTGATGGAATTGGCACTTCAGAAAAATCACTGGTGACTCATTTGGAGAAAGGGTGAATGGGAAACTGGTTAGGAGTTGTCCAGGTAAGCGGGGGCTTCAGTGAAGGCAGAGCAAGGGGGGCACCGTTTCAGGACAGCATCAGGAATTGGGCTGGACTGATGGGCTAAAGGGAGATCAGGAAGCTGGAGAAGTACAAGGTGGCACGCAGGTGTCCCCTGAAGTGATGGATGGACAGTGTCCTCACTCATCAAGACCAGACGTGCAAGAGGAAGGGCAGGTATTTTGAGAGGAAGGAGCAAGGGGAAGAGTTCCATTTGGACTCCTTGGCTGTGAAGTGTCCAAGGTTTCCCCCAGAGGAGCTGTCCAGCAGAGGGTGCCGCAGTACACAGTTCTGGGGGTCCCCAGTGTCACGCGGGAGCCAGTGGAGTGAGAAGAGAGGAGATGGGGACAAATCCCTGGGAGGCACCAGTTCAAGAAGGGAAAGTCTGTGATGGGGACTGAGAGGAAGAGGACAGTGGGGATAAGGAGGCAGCTAGACAACCAAGAGAGAGAAGTCACCTAAGCCCAGGAGGAGTGGACAGTACCCGCAGGGCTGCAGGAGGCCTTGCAGGGTAAGAGCAGGAAAGGCGCCCAGAGCCCAGCCCTCAGAGCTGGGAGGTGAGCGTGGCGTCGAGGCAGCCGTGGGACAGAAGGCAGTCTGCAGCAGGTGAGGGGTGGTGGGAGGCAAAGCAGTGGGCAAGGAGCTTGGCTGAGAAGTGGAGTTGAGAGAAAGGGCAGGGGCTGCTAGGGAAGCTGGGGATGAGAGTTGAAGGTGGATGTGCTGTGTTAAAATAGTGAACTGCATTTGTGCACATATACCCTATAAGAGGTGAGTGGGGTGTGGGCCATGGGCTGCCATGGTCAGTGAAGTATACCAAGATGGCTGGGTGAAAACTTGCTCTAAAAACCATTGACTGGGTAGCTTTTGCAGAGATGATACCCCAAAACCAAAAGGCCATTGCTAATTATCTGAAATCCTGGAATGAGACCCTCACCTCCAGGCTGGCTACTTTACCTGAGAATCCACCAGCTATTGACTGGACTTACTACAAGGCCAATGTGGCCAAGGCAGGCTTGGTGGATGACTTTGAGAAGAAGTTTAATGTCCTGAAGCTTCCTGTACCAGAGGATAAATATACTGCCCAGGTGGATGCTGAAGAAAAAGAAGATGGGAAAACTTGTGCTGAGTGGGTGTCTCTCTCAAAGGCCAGGTTGGAGAATATGAGAAACAGCTGGAGAAGATGAGGAACTTAATACCATTTGATCAGATGACCATTGACGACTTGAACGAAGCTTTCCCGGAAACCAAATTAGACAAGAAAAAGTATCGCTATTGGTCTCACCAACCAATCAAGAATTTATAAAATTAAGTCCAGGAAGAAGCCCTGGCCCTTATAGTACACATTCTGGACATTAAAAATAAAAATAATTACATAGGTTTTAAAAAAGAGCTGAGTGGGGACAGAGAGAATTGAAAATACAGGAGGGAGGACAATGCTGGTGAAAGAGGTTCCCCAGGGAGAAGGACCCAGAAAGCAGGGGATGTGGGGAGAAGTGCCCCAGAGCACAGAAAGACAGGGTAGGCATGGGGGTCCCACCCACTCCACAGGCAGAGCCCTTCCCCCTCCTGCCCTCTCTCTCCTTCCACCTGCGCTTTTCTCCCTATGAAAGGGCTTGTGCCTTTCTTACTAGGATCAAGGCCCTTGCTCACCGGCATTCCCACCCTCTCACCTATTTCCACACCTCCTCCACAAATCTTCCCAATTTTTCTTCCTCTATTTTATTTGTGATTATTTGCTTTTATTTGTGATTTGTCTTGGACCTGCCAGGTCTCATGCAAGACAATGCCACTGCCAAAGCTAAATACAGTGAAATCATACCGAAGGAGATCCAGACAGAGAGGGTTCTGTTTGCATTTAATGTTCAGGAAGTGACTTTTCAGGATAAAAGAGAGGCCTTGGTTACCTAGCAGGGTTCTCGGCTCAATGAGGTGCTTTAAGCTGTGAGCAGAGTCTTGGGACCCTGATGCTCCTTCCAGCAGCCCCCTGCATCCCTCTGGCGGGCCCATCAGCTCGCTTCTCCCTCCTGACTTCTCCACCACAGCACAGCACCTCCCTGGGAATGCCCTATTGCTCAAGAGCTATCAAAGGCCCACACGGCATAAGGCTGTGACAGTTCATCAGCCTCCACACCTCCTTTCAATTCAGCAACACTGCCAAGAAAAACCTGAGGGCAAGTGAGCAAACCAGTTGTGATCTGCTCGGTAATCAGGTGGCAGTGCAGCAGTCCAGCCCCGCCTTCGGTTCTCCTGGAGGCTTCCAATGGAAGGGGAAGTAGACACTCTGGCACCAGTTTGCTGAAGCTCCAGACCGCCCAGCTGTTCTGTGGGGAGCATCCCAGGAACCGGAGGCAGCTACCATGGCCCAAGGTAGGGAAAGCCCCTGTGGCCACTGGAGTTCAGGGATAAGAAGGACAGAGAGAGACTGTAGGAAGTCAAGGGGTGGAGGGTGGATTCAGAGAAATAAAGAAGTAAATACAGAACTGAGGCAGGAAAAGCAAGAATCCCAGAAACCTCAGTATTCATTGGTGGCTTGAGAACCAGGAGACAGCGTAGAGGCAGACAGGTAAACACAGCACACAGCTGCTTGCTAACATGCCTGCCTCCATAGCCAGGTGGGACAGGGCAGGGCCAGAGATGAGGGGGTCAGGGTTTCTGTCCTTCTCTGCTACTAGCTGACCCTTTGACATTGGACAAGTCACTTCGCCTCTAGTTTCCAACCCCCTTGCCTGAAAAAGGAGGGATTGGACCAGACAATCTTGAAATTGTCTTCCAGCTCTTAAGTTCTCTGAATCTTCATATCTTCTCTTCTTCCTCCATTTCAGAAGGTCTATTACTGATCTTAGCTAATCTTCCCATCACCAACCTTCTCTCTATATCATCCCCCTCACTCTGGAAAGAGTTGCTGTGAAGATTAAATCGTTAGTTGAAATCATTTAGAGGAATAAGCTTTCAACTTCCTCTACAACTGTAACAACCTTACCTTTATTTATTACTTTTTGTGTTTAAATTTTTGTTTTAAAATTTTCATAACTTTTAATTGCACAAGAAATATGGGAATACATAGTTGGAGTAAAATAAATAAATAATTATAGATAAAGCTATAGTCCTCTGCCCGCCATCCCCAATGGCAGCCTCATCTCCAGAGTAAACACTGTTACCTGTCTTTTGTCTGCACATTTACACTCAGACATACATTTACTCAATGTAATACATAGGATTAGCATGTGTGGTCTTTTTTGGTATATCCATGGTATCATCATATTGTATGTATATTTCTACAACTTGATTTTTTTCACTCCACAGTATGTCTGGGAGCTCTGTCCATGCCAGTCAGTACCTATAGATCTACCTCAATATTTCTCATAGTATCAGTGCAAGTAATTTCTAATCCTGTCCCCTATTGATGGGCATTTAGGTTGTTTTCAATTTTCCGGTTACACAAGCAATATTGCAAGGAACATACTTATCCATGCCTCTGTGTGCTCACGTGGGAGTGTCTCTCTAGGATAACTACTAAGATCACTTACTTTAAAAGTTCTTTCTACAGTCTTCTGTTTATTTCCTGATCATCTCACCCCATTCTCCTCTCACCTCAAGGAAAACAAATATGCCCAGTAGTCAATGAACCTCCTATTTGAATAGATGGCACCTGGGCTGAAGAGTCATTCCTGTCTTAGGCAGAGATTAACATGGCCCAGGATGTCTCTAGAGGATGGAATTTTGTCCCAGCGCTTGCTGCCAGGCAGATGCTGCCATGCCTGCTGAGTAGCCTGCGTCATGTGCCCAACCTGAACTGTAGCCAGTTAGTGCTGTCTAATAAATTGGTCTCCAAAGGGGGCAAGCTTCTTTTTCCACTGTTAGGTAAAAGCCAAGTGCTTTCTTAGCTGGCAGTGGGTGTGGACATTTTTTTGATCATGAGTGAAAGCCAACAGTGGGCAACAGCTCTTGGGGGTGATGGGAAGAGCACTGGACTGGGCTCAGGAATCCTGGTTTAACCTTAGACGAGATATTTAACCCACCTGAACCTTGATTTTCTCATCTCCAAGTGTGGATGACATGACATTTTGTCCCTGCAAGGATGCGATGAAGATTAAATGAGATAACTGTCCTAGCGTACCTGGCACAGTGCCTGGCACATAGTAGATAGGCCCTCAATAAGATGTTGATTAAATCTGAAATCTGAAATACGTACAGGGTGATTTTGCAAAAGATAGAGAATTCTATTCAACCTAGCAAATCTGAGTACCTACAATATGCTGATCATTATGCTTAATTTCTTTTATAATAATAAAAAACTAGTTTATGAAACAGATGTGTGTTAAAGTAATCAAAAGCACTCAAAGAGATTTAACATAAAGTGTAATACTTATTAGGGTATTTTGGCACAGTCAATTTGGTTCATATTTGTTTATAACAACTTTTATTGAGATATAATTCATATACCATCAAGTTCAGCTTTATAAAGTCCACAATTCAGTGGTTTTTCATATACTCACAAAATTTTGCGAGTATCGCCACTATCTAGTTTCAGAACATTTCATTACCTCAAAAAGAAATCCCATACACATTGGCAGTCACGTCCCATTCCACCTTTCTTTAGCTCCTAGCAAGCCCTAAATCTACTTTCTGTCTCTATGAATTTGCCTATTCTGGACATTTCATATAAATATAATCATATAATATGTGTCTTTTTATGTCTGACTGTTTTCACTTAGCACAATATTTTCAAGGTTCATCCATATTTAGTATGTTCAGCATTCTTTTTTTTTATAGCTGGATGATATTCCTTTGTATATCATTTTGTTTATCTATTCTTCAGTTGATGGACAATTGTGTTGTTTCTACTTTTTGGCTATTATGAATAATACTGCTACCATTTTTCAGGTATTATGTGAACATGTTTTCATTTATCTTGGGTATATACCTGGGGATCGAATTGTTAGGTCCTATGGTAACTCTTTGTTGAATGTCTTGAGGAACTTCCAGACTGTTTTCCAAAGTGCTGCACCATTTTACAACCCCATGAGCAATGTATGAGGATTCCAATTTCTCTGCATTCCCACTAACACTTGTTATTATAGTCATCCTAGGAGATACGAGATGGTATCTCATTTGTGTTTCCCTAGGACTAATGATGTTGAGCATCTTTTCGTGTATTTATTAGCCTTTTGCGTATCTCCTTTGGAGAAATGTGTATTCAGGTCAGTTGCCCATTTTAAATTTGAGTTGTCTCTTTTATTGTAGAGTTATATGAATTTTTTAAAAAGTATTCTGGATATAAGTCCTTTGCCAGATATAGGATTTACAAACATTTCCTAACATTCTATGGCTTTTCTCTTCACTTTCTTGACGATGTTCTTGAAGACAAAAAGTTATTAATTTTGATGAGGTCCAATTCATTTGGTTTTTCTCTCACTGTTTGTACTTCTGCTGTCATATCTGAGAAGCTGTTGCCTAGTCTAAGATCACAAAGACTTACCTCTATGTTTTCTTCCAGGAGTTTCATAGCTTTAGCTTTTATGTTTAGGTCTTTGATCCATTTTGAGTTAATTTTTAATAAATGGTGTGAGTTATGCATCTAACTTCATTCTTTTGCATGTGGATATCCACTTGTCCCAGCACCACTTTTTGAAAAGAGCATTCTTTCCCCCATTGAATTGTCTTGGCACCTTTGTCAAAGATCAATTGACTGTAAATGGGAGTTTTTTGCTAGACTCTCAGTTCTATTCCACTGATCTATATGTCTATCCTTATGCCACTACCACATTGCCTTGATCAAGAAGTGCCACTCCTCTAATTTTGTATTTACTTTTCAATACTGTTTGGCTAGTATGGATCCCTTGTATTTCCATATGAATTTTAGGATCCACTTATCAATTTCTACAAAATGGCTGTTGGGATTTTGTTAGGGATTGTGTTGAATCTGCAGAAAAACTTGTTATCTTAATGATATTGCCTTCCAATCCATGAACCTGGAATGTCTTTTCATTTATTTAGGTCTTCTTTAATTTCTTTCAGTGATGTTTTGTGATATAGGCTTTGCACTTTTGTTAAATTTACTAAGTCATTCTTTTTGATGCTGTTATAAATGGAATTATTTTCTTAATTTTATTTTCAGGTTACTCCTTGCAAATGTATAAAAATACAATTGGTTTTTGTATATTGATATTGTGTCCTGCAACCTTGCTGAATTCATTTATTAATTATATTTTTTGGCGGGTTCCTTGGGATTTTCTATATACAAGATTATGTCACATGTAAATAGAAACAATTTTACTTCTTTCCAATCTGTATGTCTTTGATTTTTTTTCTTTTTGCCTAATAGCCCTAGCTAGAACCTCTAGTAGAATGTTAAATAGATGTGACAACAGGAGACATTCTTGTCTTGTTCCTTATCTTAGCAAGAAAGCATCCAATCTTTTACTATTAAGTATGGTATTGGCTGTGGGCTTTGGAGGGCAGTGGTGCGATCTTGGCTCACTGCAACCTCCACCTCCCAGGTTCAAGCAATTCTCTGCCTCAGCCTCCAGAGTAGCTGGGATTACAGGGGCCCACCACCACGCCCGGCTAACTTTTGTATTTTTAGTAGAGACAGGGTTTCACCATCTTAGCCAGGCTGGTCTTGAACTCCTGACCTTGTGATCCACCCGCCTCGGCCTCCCAAAGTGCTGAAATTATAGGTGTGAGCCACCACGCCCGGCTGGAAGTCCCCTTCTATTCTTAGTTTGTTGAATATTTTTATCATGAAAGAATGTTGGATTCTGTTGAATTCGCTGATTCACTTTGAAAAAGTCTAAATACAACCAAGAAAAAGCAGCTAGGTCTCTGTACTTATTGGCTTATATCTAGAGGCAAAAGACAGACAAAAAAGTAGCTAAGAAAAACATCTGAACACCTCATCCTAATCCTTACACTAGTAGGTCTGTTGATATGAATGAACAAATGAACCGGTCATGTAAATTAACTTGTCAATTAAGCAGATGAGCGATTCAGGTAAGTGTATAGCTCAGTAGGTGATGGAAAGAAGGGTGGGCCAACTGAGGCAGGCTTCATGGAGCAGGTAGGTATTGGAGGACAGGTGGAATTTGGTTAGAGAGTGAGGGGCCCTTGAGTTGGGGCTATAACAGCAAATACAAAAACAGGGATTTGCTTGGGGATAGATTGGCTAGAGGACAGGGTCAATGCTGGGAATGATGAGAAGTGAGAATGCAAGAATAAGCTAAGGCCAAGTATGAAGAGCTGTGTCAAGTTAAGGAATGTGCCTTTTATATGGCAGACTGTAGGAGATCTCAGAACTTGTAAAGCAAAAGAATGGCATGATTAAATTGTCTTGAGGAAAGGTAATCTGATAATGCATTAAGAGATGGGAGATGGGGAGAGATACAGGAGGCAGGAGACCTCATGGAGGCCATTATGGTGACTCGGTATGAGAAGACGTTGGAATTATGTGAATGTGGAAAAGGATGGATAGACACCAGAGATGTTTTAATGGAAGGCATGAAGAGAGTTAGTGACAGGTGAATGGGCATGGGCTGAGAAGAAGATGGGTGAGCCAATTGTGATTTAAAGGCTGTGAGCCCACCAGGTGACTCGGACCATGGCAGAACCATGGTCAAACAAGGAAAAATCAAAAACAGACCCTTCTGGCAGAGACACACTTGGAGACTAGTGAGGTCAGTCTGTGTTTTAGCAGAGGCTCCAGAAGGTTGGGAATGAAACTTTCTTTGACTGTTGTCAGCATCCAAGCTCCCAGGGCACTGAGCACGTGGCCTGTGGTGGTCAGAGAGCCAGCAGATGGCTAAAAGAAGAGCAGCTAGCAGCCGGGCACGGTGGCTCACGCCTGTAATCCCAGCACTTTGGGAGGCCGAGGCAGGCAGATCACGAGGTCAGGAGATCCAGACCATTCTCGCTAACACGGTGAAACCCTGTCTTTACTAAAACTACAAAAAATTAGCCAGGCATGGTGGCGGGCGCCTGTAGCCCCAGCTACTCGGGAGGCTGAGGCAGGAGAATGGCGTGAACCCGGGAGGCGGAGCTTGCAGTGAGCCGAGATCGTGCCACTGCACAGCAGCCTGGGCAACAGTGTGAGACTCTGTCTCAAAAAAAAAAAAAAAAAAAAAAAAAAAAAAACACACACACAAAAAAAGGAAGAGCAGCTAGCCCAAGGAGTTAAACCCAGGGCAACTAAACCAGGGAGCAGCTCCCCAGACCTGGAGGCTAGTACAGGCGCAAGTGAGACTGTTAACTTGAGTCCAAGAAAGCGGATGCTGGGGTGAATCTGAAGCCATGTGAGGCTGAAGGGAGCAATCAAACTTGGCCAGGTCTACAGAAGGACTTGGACAGAGGCAGAAAACCATGCCCCTCCAGGAGGGTGTAAGGGAGAAGAAGATAGAGGGTCAGAGAGATAGGAGAGGAAGGAAAAAAGAGGAAAGCGCATGCATGGAACCTCATTAAATCCTCATCCTTATCCTCATCCTGGCAGGCTGATCTTATGGACTCTATTTTACTGATATGGAAACTGAGGCTCAAGCTAAGTTACTTTCTCAAGTTTGCAGAACTAGTAAGTGGTGGACAGGATTGGCTCCACAACCCCACTATTTTGTCTAACCCTGGCTGCCCCATTGCAGGGCTAGAAGTGGCCCTCACAGACCTCCAGAGCTCCAGAAATAATGTGCGGCACCACACGGAGGAGATCACTGTGGACCACCTGCTTGTTCGCCGGGGCCAGGCCTTCAACCTCACCCTGTACTTCAGGAACCGGAGCTTCCAGCCAGGCCTGGACAACATCATCTTCGTGGTTGAAACTGGTAAGAACCCCAGCTGGCTCACAGGGGCTGTGTGTGTCTGGGAGGGGATTTTCGGGGGTTTGGAGGTCGCCATGGAGGGCCTCAGCTCTACTTCCCTCCTAGGACCGCTGCCAGACCTGGCCTTGGGGACTCGGGCTGTGTTCAGCCTGGCACGCCATCACAGCCCCAGCCCCTGGATTGCCTGGCTGGAGACCAATGGGGCCACCTCCACAGAGGTGAGCTTGTGCGCTCCTCCCACGGCGGCCGTGGGTCGGTACCTCTTGAAAATCCACATCGACTCCTTCCAGGGGTCTGTGACGGCCTACCAGCTAGGGGAGTTCATCCTGCTTTTCAATCCCTGGTGCCCAGGTAAGGCTGGGTGCCCAGGCGGTGCCCTCCTTTCTCTTCTGTCAGTGCTGCCAGAGAGACAGGCTCAAGGGTTTCTAGACCCCGCTCCCGGGCCACCCAGAGCCTCCTCAATTCCCTGCACTCAGCATCCGCCCCAACTACCACCAATCAGGGCAGGAAATCTTGCTATTCATTTACTTATTTAGAATTTTCAAGTTATAAACCAAATCATCTTTGCTTAAACAGAAAAACTGTTACAATTAAGTTTGATCGTGAATAACATCTACCTTCATCATATAATTTTAAGTTAACTAGAGTATTTTTCGTTATAAAAGGAACGAATGCACTGCACTGAGTATTTATGGAATGAAGGAAAGGGTCAAAAAAAAAGAAAGAGAAAAGTGTAAAGTAAAAAGTAAAGCCTCCCAATCTCTAAGTTCCATTCAACAGCAGTTCTATTCTTTCAGATTCCATTCACCTTTAACATTTTCTTGTGTAGTTTTACAAAAGTGTTCTATGCTTAATCAAATATGTATGCCTCTGTGTGTGTGTGATTCTACAATACATACCGTAAGTGAGATTATGTAATACATACCATTCTCCAGCTTTTTTTTTTTTTTAATTTAACAATTCAACTTTGGGCACATTTTCCTATCGGAGCATTCTTCTTAGCAGCTACAATTATTTCACTGTTTGGATGCACCAGATATTTTTAACTAGTTCTCTATGGGCATTTTAGCTGTTTCCGGTTTTTTTTTTTCTTCTTCTTCTATAGACAAAGTAACAGTGAATATCTCACACTACCTGTCTCACAAGCCCTGACCTCTAAATCTAGTTGGGGACAGGGCTAGATACATAGGCAGACACAAGGACATGGTGTGGGCAGAAGGGGTCAGGAGTAGAGAACGGGTCTGCTGTGCTTTGAGCAGAGGCCAGACTCCCAAGTCTGGCTTCTGACTTAGGGGACCATCCGCTTCCCATCTTCCCTCTCTTTCTACCTTCTCCCCCAGCCTTATCCCAAGGGGGCCTCCTGGGTCACATCAGGACCCAGAGCCCTGGATGGGTTCTAACGCCTCTAACCACTACCCGCTTCCCTGTCCCCGAATGGCTGAGAATGCTCACCCATCAGCCAGGTGGAGAGACCCTGCCATGGGATCCAGGAGGGCCAGTCGACTGTTTTCCCTGTCTCTGTCTCGTATCTCTCTCTCTCTCTCTCTCAGGGCCTTCTGAGCAGTGGGGAGAAAAGCGTTAATGATGGGGCCTTCTCTCTTGAGCTTGTGCCACACCCAGGCCCCGGGAGACCCAACACTGGGCCTAGGGTTGGTGGGGGCTGAAGTGCCCTGTGGTGCTGCAGGACAGGAGGGTATTGGCTGGGAAGCCTCACTGTGTAGCTCAGGCCACTGCTGGCCCTGGCTGAGAGAAGGGGGCTGTGTGGTCTCAACCATGAACCTGCAGCTTCTCGCCACACTGGCCCAAACCCTCAATAAAATACATCTCAGCAACGACGCCTCCTGCACCAGCCTCCTATCAGGCTGTGTCTGAGGCTGCCTCTGAGGAGGGCACCTTTCCCTCAGGGTCAGACAGAGTTTCCAGACAGTTCTAGGACCCTGCAAAGTGGACGTCTGTGCCCATGGCCTTTTGTTTGTTTGTTCTTAACTTTAAAAAGATAATTTTTAACCTTTATTTTAGGTTCAGGGGTACACATACAGATTTGCTATGTAGGTAAATTGCACACCACAGAGGTTTGGTTTGATGTACGCATTATTTTATTACCCAGGTAATAAGCATACTACCCAACAGGTAGTTTTTCTTTTTTTTTTTTGTAATGGTTTCTTTTTTTTATTATTATACGTTAAGTTCTATGGTATGTGTGCACAACATGCAGGTTTGTTACATATGTATACATGTGCCATGTTGGTGTGCTGCACCCATTAACTTGTCATTTACATTAGGTATATCTCCTAATGCTATCCCTCCCCTCTTCCCCCCACCCCACGACAGGCCCTGGTGTGTGATGTTCCCCACCCTGTGTCCAAGTGTTCTCATTGTTCAATTCCCACCTATGAGTGAGAACATGTGGTGTTTGGTCTTACGTCCTTGCAATAGTTTGCTCAGAATGATGGTTTCCAGCTGCATCCATGTCCCTATAAAGGACATGAACTCATCATTTTTTATGGCTGCATAGTATTCCATGGTGTATATGTGCCACATTTTCTTAATCCAGTCTATCATTGATGGACATTTGGGTTGGTTCCAAGTCTTTGCTATTATGGATAGTGCCACAATAAACATACGTGTGCATGTGTCTTTATAGCAGCATGATTTATAATCCTTTGGGTATATGCCCAGTAATGGTATGGCTGGGTCAAATGGTATTTCTAGTTCTAGACCCTTGAGGAATCGCCACACTGTCTTCCACAATGGTTGAACTAGTTTACAGTCCTACCAACAGTGTAAAAGTGTTGGTATGTCTCCACATCGTCTCCACACCCCCAACATGTAGTTTTTCAATCCTTACCTTCCTCCCACCCTCCACCCTCAAGTAAGCTCCATTACTTTCAATGGCAAAATCCACAATTACTTTTGCACCAACCTAATGTTAAGATATTTTTGAACTGGCTTCAAAACCCTCTGTTCATATGGGCAGCACGTATATGTGTATATGTATAAAAATTCATGCTGTAAACATTGTTCATAATCTGTTCAGACTTCATGTATCACATACAGATTTCCACGTCCATGTACACGATTTTGCTGCCTTACGTCTCTATGGTATGGGATTCCATGGTGGAGATGTATTGAAGCTATCTAACTACTCCCCAATAACAGGGCATGTAGGTGGTTTCCAGCTTTTCAGAATCATAAACAGCACTCAGATGAACAGCTTAGTGTCTAAACCTTTGTGCACATATGAAATGCTTTGTCTAGATTAAATGCCTACAAAAGGAATAATGAGGTCAATGCCAACCCTTAAGGTCTGGTTTGCTCTTTTCCAACCAAGATTAGTATAGCAGAAAAAGCACAGAATATGGAATCAATCGGCTGTGTTCAATTTCCAGCTCTGTGCTGATGTGTGATTTGGGCAATTTACTTAATCACTCTGAGCCTGTTTCCTCAACCTTAAAATGGGGATAGGATGTAAATGTGCTTTGTAAACCAAGAAATTCCACCAAAGGGAAATTTTTATTATTCTACCTTATGTTCATGTTGAGCCTGTTGCTGGTGTTGGGAGCATGGACTCCCTAAGACCCACTGCCTCGTGCCCCTCTTGGTGTCGCCAGGGGCCCTTGCTCCAGAACCGTTTCCTCTGGGACTGTGGGGATGAGAATGGGGCAGTAAGGGAAAGGTGACTTTTCTGCTTCGTGCCCTCCCACTCTGGTTCCTAGAGGATGCTGTCTACTTGGACAGTGAACCCCAGAGGCAGGAGTATGTCATGAATGATTATGGCTTCATCTACCAAGGCAGCAAGAACTGGATCCGCCCATGTCCCTGGAACTATGGACAGGTGAGTCTCAGCCCTGCTTATGGCCCATCCCGGCCCCGAGCTTGTGGGGAGAGGGAGCAGGGCACATGTGAGCTTCACCTAGAACTGCTGACCAACGCTAACTAAATGGCACGAGGAAGATGTGTGTTGTGAGCCCAGGTTGCCCGAGGAGCAGCCATAGGGAGTGGGAGGGCCTTTCTCTTTGCTGATCATGTCTGATTTGGACAACAAGAGCTAAGGGTAAGGGCAGTTAAAGGCACCTCACCCAGGAATTCCAGTGAGCATGAGGGTGAAGATGGAAGGCATGGCAACCATCACAGCAGTGATGATGCCCGGCATTTTGGTTCATTAAACTGTTTTTCCACTGGGGTCCCATTTTCCACTCTCTCACTTCATGCTCACAACCCTTGGTGACTGACCCCTAGCATCAGTTCTGTCACACCAAGGACAACTTGTCCCCTGAATGTCTCAGCCAGAAGCAGGGCTGATGAGCAGCAATGCATCTCCCTCCCCATGGCTACTGTCTCTTTATTTCTGTGTCTTTTTGATGATACATCTTTTTAATTATGAAAGTTAATACATGCTTGTTTAAAAAGATTTGCAAAGAGACATTACAAAAATGGATACATGAAGGTCATCCCAAGCACCATCACCAGCTTGGTGTATGTTCCTCTACATTTTGTTTTCTATACGCATTCTAAAACGCTACTTTATACGTAAAAATAACGTCATATTAATTGCAATGCTCTGCACCTCCTGCCTTTCTAAAAGCCTGCCTCTCATTTCAAATTCAGCCTGCAGCAGGGACTTCAGGAAGTCCAGTGCCAGGCAAGGAAGAGGGCTCTTGATGCTGAGCCCCAGTGCCAAGAGCACTGTGGGAGGGAGAGGATCAGCCCTCAGCCTCTCAGAAAGCTGTCAGCTAGGAAACCCTGGGGATCCTCGTGGAGCCTTGTCTCAGCTTGATATGAATTCCTCTCCTGGACCTGCCCAAATAGAACTCCAACATATGTGTCCTTCCAGCCCCAGCCTGGGCCCAGGGGTGGCTCTAGCCAAGATGAGATATAGCGGCCTCAACTGGCCCCAACTCACATCCCCAATCCTCACTAAGCATGGGCAGATTGGGCATCATGGAGAGACCTGGACAGGAGTGGGCTGCCATCTGTAAGAAACAGAAGAGAGGGGTTGCTGCTTTCTCAGACCTGGGTCCCTCTGTTTCTGTCTTTCTTTTGTTGTTGTTGTCTTGCTTTTTGTTTTTGAGACATGGTCTTGCTCTGTCACCCAGGCTGGAAGGCAGTGGTGAGATCATGGCTCATTGCAGCCTTGACCTCCTGGACTCAAGTGATCCTCCCACCTCAGCCTCCTGAGTAGCTGGGACTACAGGCATGCCCCACCACACCTGGCTAATTTTTTTATTTTTTGCAGAGACGAGGTCTCACTATATTGCCCAGGCTGGTCTCAAACTCCTGGGCTCAAATGATCCTCCCGTCTCGGCCTCCCAAAGTGTTGGGATTACAGGTGTGTGCCATCGCGCCTGGCCCATTTCTGTCTTTCTTCTTCATTAAATATATATTGATCGCCTGCTCAGTGCCAGGCAGGGTGCTAAGTGCTAGAGATATGAAAATGAATACAACATTGTCCCTGATCTTACAGTGTAATGCGGACTCAGACACATAAACAGGTCACTTATCATGAATATGTAAAGATTGAGAGACAGGGGCAGAGTGTTCTGAGAGCCAAGGGGAAGAGCTCTTGGTTGGGCATGGGAGTATCATAGAAGCTTCCTGGGAGAGGAGATGTTTGAATTGAGTTAGCCAAGTGAAGGATAGTGGGAAAAACATCCCAGACAGAGGGAAGGTGTGAGCAAAGACACGAGGGTGGGAAACGGTTTGGCCCGCTGCAGACATTTGGTGTTGCTGGAGAAAAAATGGTAGGGATGGGGGCGGAGGGCAATTATTGATACTTGAGGCTGGAGAGGTAGGTTGGGGCCAGATCTGGGAGGAACTTATGTGCCTTCTGAAGGAGGTCAGAGCTTTGATTCTCTAGGCTGTAGGAGGCCTTTGAAAATTTGAAAACAGAAAAGTGAGCTGATCAGACTGTCCTCTGGGGAAGATTGATCAGAGAAGCCTCCTAATTCTGCATGTTGCCCAGTGTTACACAGGAATAAATGTATTCATTTACACTCATTCTACAAAGAGGTACAGAGTTCCTGCAATGTGCTGGGCACCATGCCAGGCCTAAGGTCCAGAGTTGTGAAGAGAGCTGGACTGAAACAGCCCCGAGACTCAGGCAGGAAAAGACAGACTTGACTACATCACGTAACTGAGTCTCACGCGGAGAGGGCACATACCCAGGGCTGTGGCGCTAAAGCAGGCTCAGGCTCGGGGAAGGCCTCAGAGGGAGTGGCATTCACACCAAGTCTGAAGGACCAGGAGGAGCCAGCCTGCCTTGGGTGGGAAATTTTCATAATTCACATGCAATTAGTCAGCCTAGAGCCCCAGTGAATCACAGGTGCCATGGCAGGTTGGCACCCTCACTTCAGCAGTAGCTGCCAATGCTAAGCTGGGTCAGCAGGTGAGTGTGGAAGCAGGGGCAATGTGGTTTTGGCAGGAACACCCCCTGGTGCTCTAGGAGTGTGGGAACTGAGAGGAGAGGAGGAGCCTTTTCAATCAGTCAGACTCACTGGGGAAAAAACCCAAACAACCCAGGAGTAGCAATAGTCATCTCGGAGTGAAGGGGAGGGATTTGGTGTGCAGGGCATATGCACCAGGTGAATTGTGACCCTAGAGTTTTGAAACCCCACACCTGAATGGGAGGGAATTCATGGCTGTTCTGTTTGACACAGTTACCTTCCAAGTGAGTTTATATTCCACTAGGGTTGGGGGGAAGTCATTACTTTTTACATACTCCCACGTGACAAGCATGGGTGCCTTCCCTCTCTGCCTCTCCCCCCGAAGTTTGAAGACAAAATCATAGACATCTGCCTGAAGCTGCTAGACAAGAGCCTGCACTTCCAGACTGACCCAGCCACAGACTGTGCTCTGCGGGGAAGCCCCGTCTACGTCAGCAGAGTGGTGTGTGCCATGGTGAGGTCCCTGGCGTGCCCGGGGAGGGAGGAAGCTGTGCAGCGGGAGCCCTGCCCACTCACAGTTGCCCCCTGCAGTGGGTGAAAGAGGGACCCTCTGGCAAAGCCATCTTGGATGAGACTGACGCCAGAATGTGGGTGACAAGTTTTCTCAGCCGAGCTCTGAAATAGCTGGGTGTGGGTCATCACCTCTATTAATTCCAAATTGCATGTTTTGAGAAAGGGTGAGTGTAGCTCCAGTTTGGGAAATGGTCTTGTTGTTTCTAAATTTCCTCTTTTCTGAAGTGTTTTTTAAAGCTCTCAGAGGTAAGCTCCAGCTTTGCAGGGGATGGGAGGACATGGGTAAGGGGTAGATAGGAACATAATAATAAACTAATTCACAGTGGAGCAGAAGTCAGAAGAGTCAACCCCCATCCTTAGCCCTCCCCAGCAGGTCTGGAAGTCCACAGTA
The DNA here is from genome assembly GCF_000001405.40 of Homo sapiens. NCBI lineage: Eukaryota > Metazoa > Chordata > Mammalia > Primates > Hominidae > Homo > Homo sapiens. The sequence continues at coordinate 43,253,055 of NC_000015.10, read as the reverse complement.
AAATGCTGTCAAAAGTCTCTCCTCTGTTTCTCAGGCCCATGGGTCTTCCAAGGCAGCCCACACATGGCATGTTGAGGAAATGGATGTTTCTAACACTTCTCTATATGGCTTCTCTTCAGATCAACAGCAATGATGATAATGGGGTGCTCAATGGAAACTGGAGTGAGAATTACACAGACGGCGCCAACCCTGCGGAGTGGACGGGCAGCGTGGCCATCCTGAAGCAGTGGAACGCCACAGGCTGCCAGCCCGTGCGCTACGGGCAATGCTGGGTCTTTGCTGCCGTCATGTGCACAGGTAGGAGGTAGAAAGGACCCCACAAAAAGGTCAGAAGTATAGCCGCTCATGTATGAGCCTTCTGAACCATTCCCATCCCAGTCCCACACAGTTCCCACCAAGGGACATTTGGAAGGAAGCCCTTTTCCTCTCTGAAATGTCTCGGCCGGGCACGGTGGCTCACACCTGTAATCCCAGCACTTTGGGAGCCCGAGGTGGGTGGATCCCAAGGTCAGGAGTTCAAGACCAGCCTGGCCAAGATGGTGAAACCCCGTCTCTACTAAAAATACAAAAATTAGCAGGGCACGGTGGCAGGCACCTGTAATCCCAGCTACTCGGGAGGCTGAGGCAGGAGAATTGCTTGAACCCGGGGGGGCAGAGGTTGCAATGAGCCAAGATCACGCCACTGCACTCCAGTCTGGGTGACAAGAGTGAGACTCCATCTCAAAAAATAAATAAAAAAATAAAGTGTCTCATCACGGACCTCAGACTGCACATGTCTGGGCTTATGTCAGACCATGGTTCCGAAGTGACAGTCACACGTCCCAGGACGCCTGACACCCTTGCTTCGTCTAAGCTTAGGCAACTTACCAGCATATTCCTAAGAGCTTGGCTGGGAACTGTCTAGGTTCAAGACAGAAATGAGATGAGAGGCTGAGTAATTAGGAAACTACAAACTGATTAGTGTCCTTTCTGAGCACAGAGAATGGGCTCAATGAAGATGTGTACATGGAAGGGAAACGTGAGTCAGGGCTGTGGTGTGGGCCATGGGGCCAGAGCAAGATGGCAACCCAAGGGAAATGACCTTGAATTTGGAGTTGTTGAGGGCCTGATAGCCTGACTCTGGCCAGAGGGTTAGGGGAAGGAAGAAAATGTGAGGTCAGCTTTTCAGATAAGGAATGGATACTACATTAGTAGAGGAAAAACTAAAAAATACATATGTGGAAAAGATGGCAAATGGAAGTTGGTTTGTGGGTGACAAGAGGAGGAGATGAGGAGGAAATCATGAGGGGAGTGATACTTGGAAATGAGTCACACATGGAGGTGAAAGGAGGAGGCCTTCTGCCTCACCCAGGGCCAAGCACTTGCTCCGGGTCCTCACCCTCACCCTGCCCCACACCCAGGCCTGCTCTCGGCCTCTTGGCTTGCGCATTCTGATTTGGGTGGCGATCAGAAGGTTATTTATTGTGTTAAGCTGGGGAGAGAAGCCAAGCAAGGTTTTCGCTCACAGGATTCTTTAGGGGAATCCAAGAATACCAGATCTGCCCATAGCTTGGTGTTTATTGGGGGCTCAGGCCTTCTGGGTAGAATTTTGTGTGTGACAAAGTTTGTTGCATTTCGTGTGCATATATGTGCCAGGCCCATCTCTGGGCTGTTGGAAGAATGCAACTTCCCTGAAGGAAGCTCAGAGAGCCCCAGGCATCTGTCCAAGGGCACGAGGAGGTGTTGCCACCGAGAGAGAGTGACTTTGCACAGTTGATGAGAATGATCAGTAAGCCCCAAGATTACTCCTCTGCAGCTGCAGAGCCAGCTCTTGAGTTGGATGAGTTGAGTTGGATGAGTTGAGTGCCCAGGTATAAGAAACAAGGAATTCCACAGCTTTGAGACTCCATGTCATGAATATTTGGGTGAAGTGAGAGGACTGAGTCCTTCAGGAAGCAAGCACAAGACTGACAGGTAGAGACTAGATCTTGTATAAGATAGAGAGAGAACCTTCCAGTGTGTGGAAAAGCCTAGCATCTAATGGGCCAGGTATGTGTGTGTAGAAGGAGTGAGCCAGGTTTGGGTGTGGTTGTCTGGAACTGCGTGATGAGAGAAGTGGAGCCAGTGAATGGAGATTATGCAATGACAGTAGACCAATTAACATGTTTGTGAGAATCATGGCCCTTTAGTGGCCTGGAAAACAAAGGGTTGGTCAAAGTAGGTCAAACGTGGCCCAGTCCCCTGTAGCTCAATCAGCACTAACCTTCCCCCAAAGAGCTACCATGTTATAAATTAAGAAATACAGCAGTTTGAAAAACTCATCCCTTCACAGCAATACTTACTGAGTCCTTATTCTACACCAGGCACTCACTGTGTTCCAAGAGCTCTTGGATACAAGATGGGTAAGACCCAGCTTCTGTCTTCAACCAAAGTTAAAATTAAAGATTTAGTCAAACTCCTTAACCTCAAACAGTTCCCAAAGCATGTTTTTTGAAAATATATATGTTATTATTTCATAGCCATAGTAACTAATGTTTATTGGGGACTTCCTTTGTGCCAGGCACTGTGCTAAAACCCTGACAGCCTAGAGTAGTGGAGAAGCTTGTGGACTCTGGAGGCAAGATGCGTGAGGTTGCATACCAGCACTACCATTAATTGGCTGAGTAACCTTGGGCAAGTCATTTAACTTGTGCCTCAGTTTCCTCAGATGTACAATGGGGAAAGTAGTGGTACCTACCTCATAGGATTATTGAAGGGATTGAGTGACTTCATACTGGAGAGTGCTTAGAATAGTGCCTGGCTATAGTGAGTGTTCAGGAAGCATCAGTTAGGGTCCTCTTGTCTGATCCCCTAAATGACCTTATGAGGTGGGACCTATCATCTCCATTTTTCAGAAGAGGAAATTGAGTGGTGGAGCCAGTCTCATACCCAAGTCTGGCTGGCTCTGTAAGCCATGTGCTAACCATCAGGCCATACCACCTCATGAACATTGCTAGCAGCTGCCATTAATCCAGCACCAAGTCCCTCAGGAACACACTGGACGCTTTCACTTTTACTAATCCTGACCACCACCTGCAAAGTCGATATATCATTATAGCCATTTCACAGATGAGGAAGCAGGCTTAAAGTGACTGAGGGACTCTGGTCTGACTCAGACATGCATCTCCCCTCTACGGCCCTGCCTCCCAGTGTGGCCTTTCAACACGTTGACACATTGACTTCAACTTCCCATAGAAAAACCACAAAAGGAGGCTTTGCGTGCCTCAAAGATGAGGTTATAGTTTTTGCACATCCATTTAGTTGCCTGTTACTTGAGAATTTTAGAGAACTCCCTGGCCTACCCTTTCTGTGCCCAGGGCCAGGCACCCTGGAGTTCTAGGCCCTCAGGCTCTTCCTGTTCTGGCCTTTCACTCTTTGACAAGATTGGAACCCTCAGCCCTCGGCTGAGGTCTGGGAAGTAGCCTGGATGCCTTTCACGATAGCAAGAGTACAGAGGGGACAGTGATGTTCTGTTGCCTGAAAACTCCCCAAAAGCCAGCTGTGAAAAAGCCACATAGTGTATAATTTCATACATATGAAATGTCCAGAGCAGGCAAATTCATAGAGATAGAAAGTAGAGCGTGGTTGCTTAGGGCTGGGAGGAGGGGATAGTTGGGAGTGACTGCTAATGTAATGAGGTTTCCTTTTGAGGTGAAAATGTTTTGGAGTTAGACAGTAAAGATTGTTGTACAACCTGTGACTGTATTACAAACCACTGAACTGTCCACTTTACAAGGCTGAACTTTATGGTATGTGAATTATATCTCAAGAAAATTATTTGAGAAGAAGCCAGGCATCCTGGGAATATGCCTGGTCTATTCTTGTCCATAACTGCCTGGGGTTGGAAGTGGGGTAGGGGACAGCAATGACTTGGGCTGAGGGTTGGGAGGTACTAATGTGTGACCGTAAGCAGGTGTACAGCATCATCCCTCTTCTGTAAAATAAGGTCCAAGGTCCCAGGGGCTGTAAGGGGAAGGGGAGGTAGGAAAGGGTGTGGGCGATGGGAGGCTGCCTGGTTGGGACTGGGACTGGGCCCTCTTAAACTAAAGCAACCCAACTTGCATGTCTTTTATACATCAAATCCTCACTTATGATTGGTTTGCATATAGGGCCCTCTGCTTAATACTTTTTTGAAAACCCCTGAGCTAGATATTATCTAAGATTTTTCTAACTCAATTATGTAGGGGCCTTTAAAACGTATCTCATCTTCATTTCAATACAATAACTCTTGTTCTCATTGTTTTTACCCTTAAGTCTCAAAGAAGGAACTGCAGCCAAGGCCCTGGTGCATACCCCAGCCTTTTCTTAGATCCCAGTTCAAACTCTTTTGTGCAGTGCCCTGGACTAAACACAAACCTTTCTTATTTTCCATTGATTTCCATTGACATAAGATAGTACGGAATGTTCCCTCGTAAGGTTGTTGACTAATACATGGAGAGTAGATAGAAAGATGTCTGGCCCATAAGTTTTATCTAAATGTTAGCTATTATAATTAGTCTGGTACTGTTTTAATCTCTGCCTCTTGGGCTCCAGGGCTTTGGCTGGGTCTTATTCAAAAGTTGTTTCGGCCAGGTGCAGTGGCTCATGCCTGTAATCCCAGCACTTTGGGAGGCCGAGGCAGGGGAATCACCAGGTCAGGAGATCGAGACCAACTTGACTAACATGGTGAAACCCCATCTGTACTAAAAATACAAAAAATTAGCTGGGCGTGGTGGTGGGTTCCTGTAGTCCCAGCTAATCAGGAGGCTGAGGCAGGAAAATGGCATGAACCTGGGAAGTGGAGCTTGCAGTGAGCTGAAATCAGGCCACTCCAGCCTGGGTGACAGAGCAAGACTCTGTCTCAAAAAATAAAAATAAATAAAAAAGTTGTTTCTAGCTATCCCTGAAACTTCAGTTCCCCTCTCTCCCACTTTTTTTCCCTTTTATTTCCTTTCTTTCTTGGAATGTTTAGAGTTAACTATATTCCTCATTTCATGGCACTTACCATAATTGGTCTGCTCAGGCCCCTCTTTGTAAAAGGCCCTTCTTATTAAAATTAATTTCCCCCTTTTATCTCATAGCCCACTTCCATTCACCTCTCTGCATGATAGGGAAACATTTTAATGTGTTTAATATGTAGCACTGTAGTTGGATGTGTTTTCGCAAAAAAATCATATTATTATCTTTGTGCAGTATTTTATTCAGTATGGTTTTGGTTTCATCTATTGTATTTGTCTTTTGCATGCATATGTATATAGTTTTATTTTTGTTTATTTTTTAGGGCTAGTCAAGTGAAGCAGTGGGAATGGAAAAGGAACAAAGAAATCTGTAACTTGTTGTGATGAATTAGTTGTAAACACCACTGCACTTGGACCCGTGTGTATTTTTCATCTTTAGAAGTTCCACTGAGTCTTTTTTTTTTTTACCTTCCATTTCTCTTCTCATTATGTTTTTGTTTTTCTATAACTCCCTTTGGGCATTTTGAGCATATTTATAATATTTAAAATAGCTCTTTGAGGTCCTTGTCTCCTTTTTTTTTTGAGGTCAGCTTTTTAAAAAATAATTTCAACTTCTATTTTAGATTCGGGGGTACCTGTGCAGGTGTGTTATGTGGGTATATTACATGATGCTGAAGTTTGGAGTATGGATGATTCGTCACTCAGTGCTAATTTCATTGTCTCTGGCATTTCTGAATCTGGTTCTATTGATTAATTTTTCTACTGGCTATGGGTCATATTTTTCTGTTTCTTTGCATGCTTGCCCATTTTTTATTGTGTTATGCTGTTGATAACTGGATTTTGTTTTATTCCTTTAAAGGACTTTGTGTGGTACAGCAATAACAAATTCCTTGCAGATTAATTTGAGCTTTTGGAGGTTTGCTTTTTTTTTTTTTTTTTTTTGAGACAGAGTCTCGCTCTTGTCGCCCAGGCTATAGTGCAGCAGCACAATCTCAGCTCACTGCAACCTCCACCTACCAGGTTCAAGCTATTCTCCTGCCTCAGCCTTCTGAGTAGCTGGGACTACAGGCACCCAACACCACGCCCGGCTAATTTTTGTTCTTTTAGTAGAGGCAGGGTTTCGCCATGTTGGCCAGGCTGGTCTCAAACTCCTTGAGGTTTGCTTTTAAGCTTTGTTATGATGGCTCCAGAGCAGTCTTTACCCTAAGCTTAATTTAGCCCCACTACTAAGTCATGCCTCTTCTGAAGACTCTTATCAAATGCCCTATGTATTATGAGGCGTCTCCACTCTATTGCTTTATCTGGCCTCCTGGAATTTCATCCCCATGCTTGCACAGATTACCACTCAGCCAAAGACTTGAAAGACCCCTCTGCAGATCTCTGGAATACTCTCTCTGTTCAGCTCTCTCCCCTCCATACACTCCATCCTGCAAATTTGAGCCATCTTAGCTTCCCTCAATTGTGATCTCATCTCGTTAACTTGTTAAGACTGCTGAGTTCTTTCTGGGCTTCCCGAGCCTGTGTTGTGGCCTGGATGCTGCTCTAGGAAGTTCCTCAATTGCGATTTGTCTGTTATTGTTCTCATGATCATACTAGAAGTATGTATTTTGGGGAGGAAGACAACAAAAGTAGTGCTTCCTGCTCACATAATATCAAGGGTGCCTGCTGTCAATACGACTTATCACTGTTGATGTTGACCTTGATGCCTGGCTGAGATGGTTCAGTCTTTGCTAGCATGAAGTGGCGGGGGACGAGGCTACAGGCTGTGTCTGTACAGTCAGTTTGTCCAAATCAGGATCTAATTAGGAACCAAACATTGCACCTGATTGCAATGTCCTCTGTGTCTCCTTTAATATCAAAGAGATCCTTTAATTCAATATGTGACTTTTTTGAAGACACTGAGACAGTTGTCCTGCACAACTCTACCTTTTAGACTTGCCCGAGGGCTTCATTGTATTGTTGGTCTTATGCCTCTGTTCTTTGTATTTTGCAACTGGAAGTTAGATATAAAATATTCATATTAAACATTTTGACTAGAGGTCTTTTAAAGCAGTCTTCTGATTGTCCATCCCCACACAAGCAGCTGAAATTTTTGTCTTTTCTCTGTTGGTCCAGGAGACTGACTTGTGTGAGGATGGAGGGAGTAGATTGTAGTGCTCATTGTGAAGGGGCCTTTTTTGCCATTTAAGACCCCCCCCCCCAACACACACACACAGATAACCCTTACAAATCTGCCACAGAGCCACAGAGCAGGTCTCACAGCTCCATGGCAACTGCCCAGTGCCATCTTCTGCGCTGCCATTTTCATCTAATACATGACCCAGGTCCTACATGCTGTGCTTTGCTCCTTCAAGGTTGATATCCTTGTTTCCATTTCCTATTTCTCTGTAAACAGTGCTCATTTGTACTTCTTGAGTAACAGGTTATTGCACTTCGATGACGAGGGTTCAGTTCTTAATTGCCCCCACCCCCTTATCAAAAAATAATTTTGGTAGGGCCCTGTCTTAGTGCAGGCTAGAAGACCGGAGATTATCATGGAAAACAGATGGTATACCTTTGCATACTTAAGGTACTATTAAGGAAACAAATAAGATTTCATTTCCTTGCCATTACAGGTGAGAGAGAACAGTTCAAATATGATTAGTGATGGCATATCTGAAAGACCAAAGCAATATGATCATCTTGGTTATAAGGGACGATTAAAGGCATGGGATAAAGAGCAGGAAGTGATATATTTATCATTTGGAAGCTTAATGCGTTCAGGGAGAAATTAAAAGGTGATAAAAGTCATCACATTTATACTCAATTACTTTGACTCTAAGAGCTGGAGTTTTGGCCACATTTCTCGATAAAAGCTATGGGAGTGTGGCAGTAAAGCTAACTGAATGCATTTCAATAAATTGAACTCTAACTTTCCACTGAATTTTCTTATAAAATTAGGGCCACATTCCACATTGCAGCAAAAAGAGCTTTACAGCCAGTCCTGAAACATACTAGATATTTTATTTTATTTTATTTTAGACAGGATCTCACTCTGTCACCCAGGCTGGAGCACCCAGGCTGGAGTGCAGTGGCGCCATTATGGCTCACTGCAGCCTCAACCTCCTGAGCTCAAGCGATTCTCCTGCCTCAGCCTCCTGAGTAGCTGGGACCACAGGCATGTGCCACTATACCCGGCCAATTTTTTTATTTTTTTGTAGAGGTGAAGTCTCACTATGTTGCCCAGGCTGGTCTCAAACTCCTGGGCTCAAGCAATCCTCCCTCCTTGGCCTCTCAAAGTGCTGGGATTACCAGCCTGAGCCACTGTGCCTGGCCCCATACTCATCATTTTAATACACCATTAGGACATGGTCCACTACCAGTCAAGTGAAATTGTATTCCTCGAAGGCAGGAATGTCTTTCATTTTTGTATCCTCTTCATCTAATTGACTACCTGGTCTCAACACTTATCACTGAATGACTACTAAATGGCTGAATGAAGAAATGTAATTACTAATGCTGAGAATGCAGTGTGATATACCTTGATAACTCTGTGGTCCCTTCCCAACTCTGAGATCTCGTTCACCTTTGCCCAGTTGTCACTGCATCAGTGCATGTAGTGTATGCATGTCCATAAGCACAGATGCCACACATGGGTTTCTCTTTCACGAGGGACTCAGATCCCACAAAATCATCAGTGACAGGTCACCTAAATCTCATGTCAAACTGTGAGTCATCAGGACTGATAGTCTGCAGAAACAGGTTAAAGGTGCCTCACTTTAACAGGAATATAATGAGCACCTACCCTGTGCCCAGCCTTGTACTAGGAATGTAGAAATGCAAGAAAAGTCTTATATGAGCTCAACTCTAGGGGGATTTGTAATTTGGCAGACAAGGTAAGACAGACACATTAAATTACAGAGAGCCGAATCCAGTGCTGAAATGTGTGACACAGGCGATCAGGGTTATGTGAGAGCATGAGAAGGGATGAGTGCGGTGTGGAGTCATTGGTGAAAACTTCACAGAGGAAGGTGCATTGAGACTGAGGTGTGGCTGGGATGTCCAATGGAGTTACAGTGTTGTGGCCTGCAGTTAAAAGCATGAGAGGCTTTGAGATCAGAGAGACATGGGTTTATGTCCTGCCCTGGTTTTTCTCTTCCTGCCCTGTGACCTTACCTCTCTAAACTTCAGGTGTCTCATCTTTAAAGTTGGGATAATCATATGGGTATGAAGAAGACTAAGGTAGATAATCCTTGTGCAGTGCTTGGCACCATGCCTGGTACCTATGATGATGATGATGTCCTTGACTAGAAAGGAAGACCGAGAAGGCTGGAAGACAATAAGTTCAGTAAGGGATGTGTTCAGTGACAGCAAGGTCTCTAGACAGGCTCAAGATTCAAATTCAAGAGTCCTGGGCACAGAAGTGGGAGAGAAAGCCATAGTCGGGATGAGCTCTTTGTGGGAGGACAGAACCAGAAGGACAGAGCTCTGGAGCAAGGCCCCTGGAAACATGTATGTGCATGACTTCTGGTGAACAGATCTGAGTGCCTTGAAGCTGATGCCTTGGCTTCACCCCCTATGTAAGAAACCATTCTTGCCCCTCTGTAACTTCATTCTGTTCTACTGTGACAATCTGCTCCCCATCCAAGTCCTCTCACAAGCCATGATGAGCAAAGGGTGAGACTGGATCAGTGCAAATCCATCACCACTCAAAGCTTATGCTCTACGGACAGTTGAGCTTGGTACCCAAAGCATATCCCACAACCATCAGGATAGTGGTGAGTTGAACTCAGAAATCACCAGAACAGGCAAAAGATTCACAAGACACCACTCATCCATCCATCCAGCAAAGATGCAGCAAGATGCAAAATGGGCCTTGCCCTGTATTGTTAATGGTTGAGTAATGATAAAGATGAATAACACACAATCCCTGCCCTCAGGAAGACAGACTCATAAACAATTCATTACAAGCCTCATACTCTGGTTAATGGAGAACTTCAAAGTGCTTCAGGACCAGTTACCTGTGTTAGGGTGGGAAAGTGCCCATCGAGTCATGTTTAGCAGGAGTTGACACCACTATTGACACTTCAGGTGGCCACTCATGAACTCATCCATCTGGGTGAAGGGCAGGGGGAGGCTTGCTCCCTGCTCTCCCTCCCTGCCCTCTTCTTTGGCACGTTTTCTTGTCACTGTGAGTGTCATCCACCCTCCTGACTGTACTTTTAGCATAAATGCGCCCCTGCAATGCTGCTCTCTTGCCTCACTGCTGTCTCAGGGTCCTTCAGTGACAGCTTTTCAAACTTCAGCCTCACCTCTGCAGCTGTCCTGTGTCACCTCCACCTACAACCCACTTGTCAGCTCTACCCACCACCTGCCCTAGTTCTTCAGCCCTGTTCAAACCTGCCACGCGAGCTCAAGGCTCCCTTTGGGCTTCTCCCCTCCCTTTTCTGGTCGCATCCAGAGGCCTGTCCCCACCCTGGCCTGGAGAGGCTCTGTGTCAAAGTGCAGAATAAGAAGAGGGTGAGCTAAAATCTGTACACAATTAAATGTTTAAACTAAAAATTATAAACTTTTAAGAAATGACAGTAGTGTGTGTGAAGAACCCTTAGAAATAACCATATTTTTGACTCAGTCACTTTACCCCTTAGAATATGTCCCAGGGGAGGGGGGATATTGATCTACAAAGGTATTTATCACAGTATTTACAACAGGGGGAAAATTGAAAACCAACTAAATGTTTCAAAATAATCACCACTAAAATCTTGCTTTCGGCAAATATTCGATAAAATAGGAAAATGCTTAGGATGTAAAATTAGGTAAAAACACTAAGATGCTGAACTGTATGCATACTACCAAAAGCTGGACTCAGTATTGATTGCAAGCTTAGCAGTGAAACCAGGATTTTAGTGGTAGCTCTGCCTCTTACTAGCTGTGTGACCTTGGTCAAGGTAGCAAACTTTCTTAGCCTCTGATTCTTTGTCTTCAAAATGGAGATAATAATAGTAGCCATCAGATAGAGTTGTTTAAGGATACTATGTGTGAAGCATTTAGCACTATGCCCAGCTGGTAGATACTATTATTGTCATTATTAGATTGAGTGGACTGTCATTGCTGGACATGAAGGGACAGGAATCCCCAGAGCATTTCATGGTCAGATTTTCCTGTACTTAAAAGAGCACAGAGGCCGGGCGCGGTGGCTCACGCCTGTAATCCCAGCACTTTGGGAGGCCAAGGCAGGCGGATCACTTGAGGTCAGGAGTTCGAGACCAGCCTGGCCAACATGGTAAAACCCCGTCTCTACTAAAAATACAAAAAAAAAAATTAGCCGGGTGTGGTGTTGTGTGCCTGTAATCCCAGCTACTCAGGGGGCTGAGGCAGGAGAATTGCTTGAACCCGGGAGGAGGAGGAGGCTGGAGTGCGATTTTTTTGACTTCAAAAAAAATAAAAAGCACAGAATGGAAATACAGCAGAGGATAAAGAAAGGAAGTTGGCTGGCAAACAGAATGCATGGCCCCCAGGAATAAAGACAACACTCTACCTTCTTTCAAGAATTTCTCTACCAGGTAGAAACTCTCACTTTTCTAAGCTCTTGTTACATGGTTTTCTTTCCTCTTGGCTTAATCTATGATGCTTTTCTAGAGAGGCTTCCAAGATCATATACCCAGGAAAAGGGGGAATCAAAGCCACAGAATATTTTGCTTGAGAATCTGATGGTCTGAAGCAATAATCCTAACTACAGAAAGGAATGGAATTCCAGCTTTGGCTTGAAGATGGAGATTTAGGGCCAGAAGAGAAATGCAGTTGAGTCAGGCCTCTGAGTTTTGCCAAAGGAAAGGCTTGCCAGTCCCACCCTCCTGGCGTAAGCAGAGCTCACAGCTTGCTAGACTTTACTGGCTCAGGCAGTGCTTGTCTGAGCAGTCAGCATCCCCACCTTTGCCTAGAATCTCTCCCATGAGCTCCAGAAGTGGGGAAGGAAGTTGGAAATATCACTATTCCAGTGTTCCAGACAGCTCCAGCATGTTCCTGCAGATGGCAAATGGAAGATTTCCCCAGGTCCAGGCCCCAAAGTCCAGGAATATACGGGTCCGGAATCTACAGCTCACAGGTGATTTTTTTGTGCCCTTTTTGCAGTGATGAGGTGTCTGGGGATCCCTACCCGTGTGATCACCAACTTCGACTCTGGCCACGATACAGATGGAAACCTGATCATAGATGAGTATTATGACAACACAGGCAGGATTTTGGGGAATAAGAAGAAGGATACTATCTGGTGAGAAACAACCTCTCAACCTATTTCTAGGGCCACACATCAGAGCCAAGCCCCATGGCAGGAGGAAGGGCAGAACGAGGTCCATGAGCCTGGTCCCTCCCCTTCACCTCCTCCACACCCCCTCACCCTCCCCCACCCACCCCCCACCAAGGCTGTCCCCACACCTCTTGCCAATCTTCAGCTGGGAGACATCTGAACAAAGCCCATTTGGGGTTTAGAAGTCTCATATCATAAGAGTGTTCTGCCCTGGGTTGAGGTTTTCATCTTTGTCACCTCCATCACAGAACCTCCTGGCTCTATGGGGCCTGGAGAAAATTTCCCCACTGCCCTTTGAAGGTTTGTTTAAAAAAAAAAAATCAACTCACAAAATCAGATCAATAGGAGAAAAGGCATACACATTAATTAACGTATATACAGGAGCCTTCAGAATGAAGACCCAAAGATACAGGGGAAATTGTCCATTTTTATGCTTAGTCTAACAGAGTATGGACAGCCATGTAGAAATCTGCTTGGACAAATGGTATGACCTAATGGTAATAGACTGAGTGGGGAAACCCAGCCCTGTTTGTCTACATTCTGCTTGGCCTCTCTGAGCATGAGTTCCTTCCTTCCCAATATGGGGCAGAACCCTCTCTAGAATGAGGGTTTTTTGACCTACAGTCAAACAAGGTAGGTCAGATAAATTTTTTATGGCCAGTTTTTATACAAAAAGGCAGAAGGAAAGCTAGGGTAATATTTTTAGGTTTTAAGACTGCCTTTGGGGAAAAGGGGTTCTGGTTTCCATGACCTTCCCACCTTGGGGAGGCGAGATTTTAATTTCTATGCCTAGCCATGGGGGTAAATGAGACTGAGAGACAGGAAGACAGGAAAAGGTCCAAAAAAACACTTCTGCTTCTGAGACCTTCATTTTGGAGTATTGTTTCCTGAGTCCCAACAGTTCTGACCACAGGACGGCCTTACCTCCGAATACAAAGACCACGAGTGCCTCTGTGAGTCATCAACGCACACAAAGGGGCCACAAAGACTGTTTCATGAGACAGTGAAGGATTTTTAACTTCAGTGGACTCTGGAAGCCTTCACTTTCTGTTCACAAGCTGAGTCCGCAGAGGGAGACTCTTTTCTGGGAGGCAAAGAGAGGTCCACAAGAGGAAGACCTGTCACTAATTAATTACTTTTTTGAGACAAGGTCTGGCTTTGCTGCCCAGGCTGGAGCACAGTGGTATGATCAAGGTCAAGCCTTGATCTCCCAGGCTCAAGTGATCCTCCACCTCAGCCTCCCAAGTAGGTGGGACTATAGGCATGTGCCATGATGCCTAGTTAATTTTTTTTTTTTTTTGAGACGAGATCTTCCTTTTTTGCCCAGGTTAATCTTGAACTCCTGAGCTCAAGCAATCCTCTCACCTCAGACTCCCAAAGTACTAAGATTACTGGCATGAGCCATCGTGCCTGGCTATCCACAGAGGTTTTAAGCCCTGTGTGTGCTAAGTCTGTCTTTCTATCCAACAGTTCATTTGCTCATCCCTCCCTTGCCTTGTTCTAGAAAGACCAAGCAGTACAACGTCTCCCTTGGCTCTGTTTGACACAGGAACTTCCATGTCTGGAATGAGTGCTGGATGGCCCGGAAGGATCTGCCCCCTGCATATGGAGGCTGGCAGGTGCTGGACGCCACACCTCAGGAGATGAGCAACGGTGAGGCTCTCCAGAAGAAAGGCAGGCCCCGCTCCCGTGGAAAGCACCCCACCCCTGCCCAGCCCTGCAACAAACAGCCCACCGAGGCTCCCCTGTTCTCCTTCAGGCGTCTACTGCTGTGGCCCTGCCTCTGTCAGAGCCATCAAAGAAGGAGAAGTGGACCTGAACTATGACACGCCCTTTGTGTTTTCGATGGTGAATGCTGACTGCATGTCCTGGCTCGTCCAGGGAGGGAAGGAGCAGAAGCTTCACCAGGACACGAGTTCTGTTGGCAATTTTATCAGCACAAAGAGCATCCAGAGTGACGAGCGGGATGACATCACAGAGAACTACAAGTATGAAGAAGGTAAGTAAGCAAGCCAGCCCTACTCAGAGCCCCAGCCCTGCAGGAACCTTCCCCTACCCCAGGGAGCCAGAGAGCATCTGCGAGGCAGGACCCAGCCCCACTGTCTCCTCAGCTGTTCAGTTTTGAGGCCCCAGTTGGGGTGGCCTCACAGCCTCACTTCTTCATGACACCCCCACCCCACATCCTGCAGGCCAGCGAGCTCCCGCCACAAGGCGCTGACATGGACCGTGGAGCCCAAACAGAATATGAATACTTCACCCCTGCTTCCCCCTAAAATCAGCCTCCCACTGAAGATGGCAGGGAATTTAGTAAACACTCTGCCATTCATTTATTTTATTTAGGGTATTATTTAATTCACTGTGTTTCACTGAGTCTTTGGAGGACAGGCTGAAGTGAGCCCAGATGTTCACTCCCACCACTCCTCCCTGTGGGAACGGCACGGCCAGAGGCTGACTCTGAGGTGACAGCCCTGGCAGCAGGGTCACAGGGGAGGCTGTGTTAGTCAGCTATAGATGAATGCCTGGACATTGAGAAGCGCCAGCCACTAGGTTCAATTACCAGGGAGCCAGGCAAAAATATCCAGTCCATGAGGGCCAGAGGCAGGGTGAGGGCCAGAGCTGGGATCTGGCTGGGGAGGATCTGAGCAGGTGCAAGGCAGGGTGGCTGAAGGGCGGTGGGGAGGGCTGAGCAGTTGCTGGGAGTGCTGGTGAGTGGGTGTCTGTGGTTCGTCTACGTGGGCCTCGGGGACAGACGCAGGGAGGCTCCAGAATTCCCCACCTGGGAAGGGGATTTGCAGTAGGGGGCAAGTGTTGAACACAGCCCAGCAGTGCCATCACCACCCACTCCCTGGGGCCTCCGGCCTCATCTTGGCTGGGCTGCCCCAGAAATGGATCCTGAGGCAAGCATTCAAATACAGGTGGTTTATTTTTTAGGCTATCCTGGAAATCCTGGAGCAGAGTGAGGGAGACAGGGAAGGGAAGGAAGTGGATGTAAGAGTACATTTTCAAGCCTGTTAGCACAGTGACAGCTGGCTGGGAGCTCTGGAAGTGGGGTTGTCAGAGAAAATAAAGGACAAATAATGCTTTAGCATAAATTTGTCCCAGGCCAGGAGCTGTAAGCTCACACCTGCAATCCCAACACTTTGGGAGGCTGAGACGGGAGGATCACTTTAGCCTCAGAATTTGAGGCTGCAGTGAACTATGATGGCAACACTGCACTCCAGCCTAGGCAATAGAGTGAGACCTCATTTCTAAACAAAAAAAAAAAAGGCTGTCCCAAATTATTTGTTGTTTATTTGAAATTCAAATTAAATTGCCTTGTATTTTTGTTTGCTAAATCTGGCAACCCTATCACTGATTCGGTGTGAAGTGTAGAACAATACTGCTGATTTATCACACCAGAGAGTCACAGGGGCTAGGGTGTTTATCCATCAACTCCTGTTGGTCATGAGTTGAGGGCTGTTCCTGGGGGATGTAAATTCTTTAGCACTTCTGGCCTGCCCCATGCATGAGCTGAGTCTGCTCTGGTAGCAGAGAAAACCTCAGACAGAGTTGCAGGGGCTGCAATTTGAAAAGTAGGGCCTGTGGACACTGAAATGGCAAGTGCCAAGGGAATATGGGCAGGGCTTTGATGGCATTTGCTAGAGAGGCCCACGGGGTCCCCTGTGGACTCAGGGGGATTGGAGCCATACCCGAGTGGACCTGAGTGTCCTGCTTAGGTGCTCCTCAGGCCAGCAGTATTCAGTCTTCTCCCACCCAGCCTGACAGGGTCTGGGGTCGCACAGACCGCAGATGCGCTAAATCAGATTCCCATCTTCCTGGGCCCACTCTTTTTTTTTTTTTTTTTTTTGAGACAGAGTCTTGCTCTGTCACCTAGGCTGGAGGGCAACAGCATGATCTCCGCTCACTGCAACCTCTGCTTCCTGGGTTCAAGCAATTCTCCTGTCTCAGCCTCCCAAGTAGCTGGGATTATAGGTGCCTGCCACCATGCCTGGCTAAATTTTTTGTATTTTTAGTAGAAACAGGGTTTCACCATGTTGGTCAGGCTGGTCTCGAACTCCAGACCTCAAGTAATCCACCCTCCTTGGCCTCCCAAAGTGGTGGGATTACAGGTGTGAGCCACTGCCCTCAGCCTGTGGGCCCACTCTTACTGAAGCAAATGTCTCCAGATTCTCTTTTGTCTGGAACTGGCCTTAGAATGAACCCCAGAGCAAGGGGATAAAAGTGGCCTCTGCCTCAGGAAGTTGTGGCAAATGCATTGAAGGGGTAGAGCTGGTCCCTGGGGATAGTAAGTACTCAACAAAAGCAGCTTCTGGAATTATGAGGCGTGGGCAAGTATTCCTGCACATGCGGCCCACAGGGACCCCCAGGATAGAGCAGGGAAGCTGGGGCCACCCTGGGAACTCTGCACGCCTAGACCTCCTCTCATATGTATTTACTTATTTACTGTGCTTCTCCTTTCCCTTAGTTTCCAGGAATTAGTCTATGCCTGACCAATAATCTGGCTCTGGAACAGGACATCACACCATGCCCTGCTGTCTTTATGAGGTTTATTTCTCTGCATTTGTGGGCCTTCATCTTTCCCTTGAGGAGATCAGGATAGAGTTGAGCGGTCACAGGCACGGGTTTTAGAGTTGGGCAGGTTTGCTTCCCACCTGGGATCTGCTCCTTACTAGTTGTGTGACTTGGGCAGGTGACATGACTTCCATTAGCCTCCTTTTCTTTATCTGTGTATGGAAGAAGAAGAAGAAGAAGAATGCTAATGGTAATACACCTTGCTTGTGGTTGATACAGGAGGAAGGGTGTGAAGTGGCCAGCAGAGCCTGCCTGGGAAAGCACATGAGGAGTGGAGGGAGTGCTTGTTACTGGGAGTGAAGGCCTGAAGTTGTTGGTGGAGATATTGGGTGGGGGATGGCGCTCAGCCTCAGTCTACCCCGGTCAGCCTGGCTCACAGCTGGTGCTGTGCTCTCCCCAACTTCAGGATCCCTCCAGGAGAGGCAGGTGTTTCTGAAGGCTCTGCAGAAGCTGAAGGCTAGAAGCTTCCATGGCTCCCAAAGAGGAGCAGAGTTGCAACCTTCCAGGCCCACATCACTGAGCCAGGACAGCCCTCGGAGCCTGCATACACCTTCCCTTCGACCCAGTGATGTGGTGCAAGTCTCCCTGAAATTCAAGCTGCTCGACCCGCCCAACATGGGCCAGGATATATGCTTTGTCCTGCTGGCCCTCAACATGTCCTCCCAGTTCAAGGACCTCAAAGTGAACCTGAGTGCCCAGTCTCTGCTGCACGATGGCAGCCCCCTGTCCCCATTCTGGCAGGACACAGCGTTCATCACACTCTCTCCTAAAGAAGGTACGCATGTGCACAGTTTGTGTACGCAGAGTTGGTTTTGGCAATGTCAGTGGGGTCAAGCCAGCCAACAGGGTTCTGGGGGCAGACCCCTGAGACACCATCATTTCTACTGTCCCCTCTGGCACGATTCCCCTCCTTCCCTCTTCTCCTTCCCCCTTCCTTCCTTCCTTCCTTCCCTCCCTCCCTCCTTCCCTCCCTCCCTCTCTTCCTTCCTTCGTTGTATCTCCTCTCTCCCTCCTTTCTCTTCCTCCTCCTTTCCTACCACAACAAAAGTAGCTGGTTTTGCAGAAAAAGCCTGAGATTTGGAGTCTCTGAGACCTTCGTTGGAGCCTCAGCTCTCCCATTTCCTAGCAGAATGGCCTTGGGCAGCCATTTTGGCTCTTTTCAGCTCATTTCCTCATCTAAAAAGCTGCCACCTGCTTCCCTGGGATTTGGTACTTGTTGACTTTCTCTTCTCTGTGGAAGAGAGACCCAGGTCCAACCCAGGTACGGCTGATTTTCTCAGCTACTCTCACCCCATCCTTGTGTTCTTTCTTTAGCAAAGACCTACCCCTGCAAAATCTCCTATTCCCAGTACAGCCAGTACCTGTCAACAGACAAGCTGATCCGCATCAGTGCCCTGGGTGAAGAGAAAAGCAGTCCTGAGAAAATCCTGGTGAACAAGATCATCACCTTATCTTATCCAAGCATCACGATTAATGTAGGCAGGAGTCCTGCAAATGGCTTGTGGGGCTCCTTGGATCTGGCGGGGAGGGGGTGAAGCCCTGTGAGAGGGCAGCCTGGGCCTGCTTAGGAGAGCATCCCCTCCTTCCTTTGCCTCTTCTGGTGCTCCAGGAGGGAGAAGTTTGTCTGAGAGATCTTCATCCTCTTGCACCACTCACTAGAGGCCCTATGGATGGGTCCTTGAGCAGGTGCCATGGACAATAGGAGAGACCCCCCTCTTGTGCCCCTCCTGCTGTTGGCCTTCCCCATGGGTCAACATAAGGAAAGTGAGCACAGATGGGAGGGTCTCTGGTCGGGGGAGAGCCCTGTCTGAAAGTCAGTTCAGACTTGATTTGCCATTTTTTGGCTGTGTATCCTTGGACAGGGCCTTGGGCCTCTGTTTCTTGAACTGTTAGAGAGGGGATTAGGCTAGATGGCCTCTGAGGACCCCGCCTGCTCTGACATTCTGCGGTCTTCCAAGTGGGAAGATTTTAAGGTCTCCCTTCCTTCCCGTGCTGTCTCCCCAAAGTCAACCAGCCTCCTAGACCCTGTTAAGTAAGCCCATGGAGCCCCTTCCGGTGGGGAAACATGAAGGTTTGGCTAGAACTTGGGCTTTTGTGGCATCTTAGCAAAGAAGCAATATGTTTTTAGAGAAGTGACAAGAGAAAAGGAAAGGACCTTGAGTCTCAAGGGGTGGCAAATTTTGGGAAGGCAAATACATGGGAAACTCATGGTAGATAAAACTTAGAAAGTTTGTTGTGTAGATTCCTCTGGTGCCCTCTCCAGGCTCGTAAAGGTCTGAAGGCATCTCTGGTGATCAGCCTTTGTCCTTCCTGGTAGAGAGGGGAGGGGGGACACCTTTGTAAATTTATGTCCTGCTTTTAGGCAAATAAAGGGAAACTAGAGAGCTTTTCTTATATCTGCTTCTTCTCAATTGTCTTCGGCTCAAAGAATTCTTATGCCAAAGTGGCATATTTGGAGGTGGCATATCCTGCCACCTTACAGAATGGTGCCCTTCGTAAATATCTGGTGAGTTGGGGAATGAGAACTAATTCTCCTTCCCCTCCTGGTCTGTTTAGGTTCTAGGAGCAGCCGTTGTGAACCAGCCACTCTCCATACAGGTGATATTTTCAAACCCCCTCTCGGAGCAGGTTGAGGACTGTGTGCTGACTGTGGAAGGAAGTGGCCTCTTCAAGAAACAGCAGAAAGTCTTGTAAGTGCTGCAAGTGCTCAGCCTTCTCCTGTTTTTCCCCCCTGAGATTAGCACTATCCTTCCTGAACATGGGTTCCTGAGCCAGACTCCACAACACCGGGGAAGGGAAAGTGGAAGCACTCCCTCCCACTCAGGAAGCTGGGTGGAAAAGGGCTCCAGGGTCATTATCATGCTTTTGGTTTTCTGACATGCTCCATTCTCTGTTGCAGCCTTGGAGTCCTCAAACCCCAACACCAAGCAAGCATCATTCTGGAGACCGTCCCCTTCAAGAGTGGACAAAGGCAGATCCAAGCTAATATGAGAAGCAACAAGTTTAAGGACATTAAGGGTTACAGGAATGTTTATGTAGACTTTGCATTATAAATTCTGGAACAACGCGCCAGACGTGTGAATTTCAAGCTTCAGGAAAAGGAGCAAGTTCAAATGCAAGCTGCGCCATTCCCCACCACAACAGAGGCTTCACAGGGCTCCAGCAAGAGCCACAGAGGGGATGACGTGTTCATTTTCTGTCTCTCCTGACTCCACTAGAAATTTAAGCTCCATGAGGGCAAAGACTTTGCTTTGTTTACTACCCCTATACTCAGAACCATTTCTGGCATATGCTAGGCACTCAACAAATATTTTTTGAATGAATGAATAGGAGACTCCAGCATCCAGAGAACAGGTAGGAAATGTCTATGGATGGATATTTCCCTGGACCATTTGCACAGCTCCCCTGGACTCTTTTCAGGGCCCAGGGATTCCACTGTGTCCCATCCAGAGATTCCAGGATTCCAGTCTCCTATCCAGAAGCGTGATTTGGCACAGAGGTCAGAGGATACTGGTAGGACTTGGCCATGACTTAACTGCCCCCTGCCCCAGATATCCAGGAAAGAAAAAGACAGGCTGAACAGCTCACTGTTGTTTTGTTGTTGCGAAAGCTAATTCCCTAGTATGAATAAACTTCAGACCTTGCTCTCCTTTGCCTCATGTAGTCATCACTTTCCTATCTGTTCCTTGGATGCTGCAGTCTCCATTCATTCAAAAAAGTATTTATTGAGTGCCTAGCATATGCCAGAAGTGGTTCTGAGTGTAGGGGTACAAAGTAAACAAAGCAAAGTCCCTGCCCTCATGGAGCTTACATTTCTAGTGGAGGCAGGGGACATAGACAATGAACACGTCCACAAATAAGTGAGATACTCACAGGTGGTGTATCAGCCATGATCCAGCTAGAAAAAACAAAAACTCACAGGTGTTTCTACTTACTACCTACCATCTTTGTGTCTTGGGGGGAAAAAAAAGTCTGGGAGACCTTTCACCCTTGGCCTTCCTTTGAATCCTTTCCCATATGACATCTAAGAGGTCCCTCAGTCCTAACAGTACCAGCCTATTCACTCAAAACTCACTGACGCACTGTGGTCCTGGATGGCCTTGGGTTGGCTGGGGAGATAAAGCTGGCTGAATAACACAATGAGGTAGACTTTGAGTGGGAAATGGAATACTCTCAGAGTTTTCTATTAGTTGCAGCCTGTGTTTATGGTCATGCAAACTCCACGCTTTCTGGGTCCTACTGAACACAAAAAAATTCTGATCATTATCTCCTCTTGTGGCACTGCACAAAGTTCTGCACAAAGAAAGGCATGATGCACTTGCTCTCTCAGTACTGACTATATGACTGAGACAGCTGTCCTATCAAATACACACACAGTAAATAAAGAAGATGAAGACTTCCAGGCCGGGCGCGGTGGCTCACGCCTGTAATCCCAGCACTTTGGGAGGCCGAGGCGGGCGGATCACGAGGTCAGGAGATCGAGACCATCCCAGCTAAAACGGTGAAACCCCGTCTCTACTAAAAATACAAAAAATTAGCCGGGCGTAGTGGCGGGCGCCTGTAGTCCCAGCTACTTGGGAGGCTGAGGCAGGAGAATGGCGTGAACCCGGGAGGCGGAGCTTGCAGTGAGCCGAGATCCCGCCACTGCACTCCAGCCTGGGCGACAGAGCGAGACTCCGTCTCAAAAAAAAAAAAAAAAAAAAGACTTCCAGTATGTATAAACCAAAGGTATGTGTAGTTAATCAGTGGGATAGAAGGGCATGTGGCAAGAATTAGGGAAAGTAGGGAAATAGTCCTGTGAGAGAGTGGGCTGAGAACCAGGAGCTACTGGCAGGGAGCTGGAAGTAACTTAAAATTATTTCATCTTATAATTATTACCTGACAATCATGAGAAATAGTTTAAGGAAAACACCAGAGAGAGAAACATCTTATAGACACAATGACCTCTGAAGCACATGGAAGATTTCAGGAACTGCACCCTAGGACTCTTTAATGAGTCCTGATTTTAACACCACATTCATTAATTCTTTGATTCAACAAAAATTTACTGAGTTTCTACTAGGGGCCAGGCCCTGAGCCAGGTAGGCCCTAAGGACACAAGAAGGACCAGGGCCTGCACTCAAGGAGCTCAAGTCTAAGGATGTGGAGAATGAAAAATAAACAGGAGGTTATAACACAGAGTGGTGAGATCCACCACTGGGGTAAACCAGGGTGTTGTGGGAGCACAAGGAGGGCCAGCTAGTCCAGCCTTGGGATATTGGTTCAAGGAAGGCTTCCTGGAGGAAGTGGTATTTAAGTGGAGCCCTAAAAGCTAGTGGTTGGTCAAAGACTAGGAATTGGAAGGAGAGGGAGTGGAATAAAGCAGCCAGGAACTGCAAGTCATTCAGATGGCCAGAGGTCAGAATGGGAGGGAGCAAGAAGCAGGAAAGAAATGAGGCAAGAGCCAGGGGGTGAAGAGCTTCAGGCCGCAGTCTAAGGAATTTGGGTCACAATCATCTTCAGGCATCTGCCTCCTCTAAGTCTTGGATCACAATCACTTCCTGCAGTGTCAGTGCTCAGGGCCGATTCCACTTTGCAGAGCTGAGCAGACTTCATGTGACTTAAGAAGCACTTAAAGGACAAATAGTTCTCCACCCTTGTCTGCCATAGGAGCTTGCAATTCCCATCAGAGTCACTTCTTTGAGCGCAAAGGCCTTCCTTAAATGCAAAGGTTGTCTTTCATCCGTTCGTTTAACATTTTTTGAGTTCCTAATGTGCTGAGTGTTCTAGGTGTAGGGAATAGACCAATAAACACGGCAAATAAGGTTCTCCCCAACCCATTCCCAATGGACAACCTCACAGCCCCTCATCCCCCAACCCCAGTGGAACTCAGTATAATTTTCTTCTGACAACGCTCAGCTCAGCTCCAGGCAAAAAGGGTTTTTGAAGAAATTTCTTTTTCCTTATTGTGTGTAGCCTTGGTCGATCTGCCAGTGAAGAAGCCCTGCCCGCCCATGGCCAAGAGGTGGGCATGTGACTTATGCTGGGACAATCAGACACTTCTCCCAGGACTTTGACTGCAGAGTGAAGTGGGTTAGAAAAGGGAGAAACTTGGAGTCCATCCATCTTGGCAGCAGAGACCCAGAGACAGACCAGCCTCTGTTCCTGCTGCCTAGTCACTCGAGCTGCCCTGGAGTCCATCCTTCTCCTAGTCCTGGCTCTCCTTTTCCCCATCAATCTACGAGCTCCTTCATACTCTTGTTTTTTTAAGTTGACCAACACTAGTTTTGGCTTTGCTTGCATTCAAAGGACAATCATGAGACAAAAGGACTTTATCTAGTTCAGAGAAATTGGGTAATTTGTTTAAGACCACACAGCAAAGTCTGTCTGATTCCAAATTCCCCCCATGTCACACTGCCCAGTACTCCCATAGGTCTGCCCTTGGGTCCTAAAGGTGTCTTTGTTAGTGTCATAAGTTAGCCTGAAGTTCAAGGAAGTGTCAGAAGCTCTCATTCACCCCAACCTGGTGAATAACTGGAGAGCTGGGAGCTGGCTGTGTGGAAAGGGCAGGCAGCAACAAGAGCTACACTTTGTTTCCCAGAGCTCGCTCCTCCTTTAGTCCCTGGCCCTCCAAGGCCCACTGTTCAGTTTTTCTTCCCCACCACTTGCCCACTGACCAGCAGCCAACCAACCAATGAGCAGCTGGTACCACTTCTCTACCTGTCCCTGAGACCTGACTTCCCAGTATCCAGGAGCCACTTGGTGCCAGTTTTGGGGCTGCTGCTTTTTCAGGAGTACAGACAAAAAGAATTTGATTGCAGAGTGCTGATCTCAGATATACCCAGCTTTCCTCCAACCCCAGAGGATAGGCTTGGCTTCAGACTCCATGAGAGCCTGGAGCTTCCTGAGGGGAGGCAGGCCACGTGCCTGGTATAGCAAGTGTTAGCAGAAGGTCTGAGCTGGGATGCTGAATGAATCTGTGGGAATGTGAGAAAGAACTCTGTGAACATAGATAATGTTAGGCTCTGGATAATGCTAATATCCTCCAGAGAATGTTCTTTCTGGTAGGAAGTTAGGATAGTGGGAGAGTGCCATAATGGAGATTTATTTAAAACCAGGCTTCAGCTTTTTTTTTTTTTTGAAGCAGAGTTTCGCTCTTGCTGCCCAGGCTGGAATGCAATGGCACGATCTCCAGCTCACTGCAACCTCTGCCTCCCGGGTTCAAGCCATTCTCCTGCCTCAGCCTCCCAAGTAGCTGGGATTACAGGCATGTGCCACCACACCCGGCTAATTTTGTTTTTTGTTGTTGTTGTTGTTGTTTTTTGTTTGTTTGTTTTCCATAGAGACAGGGTTTCCCCATGTTGGTCAGGTTTCCCAACCTCAGGTGATCTACCCACCTCAGCCTCCCAAAGTACTGGGATTACAGGTGTGAGCCACCGCGCCCAGCCAACTTCAGCCTTTTATAAGGATTAGTCTATTTCCTACTTAACTCAACTCCTGGGGCATAGCCCTTCTGCAGTCCCAACAGAAAGCCTGGGGTGTTTATTGGGGCCCCTCATCCTTAATGACCCTCAAACTCAAACCCTGCTAGACTGCCAGATTCTCAGGCTCTTATCTGCCAACTATGAATGGGCAAATGCCCCAGATAGAAGAGTGGCAGCCAGTTTCAAGTTCACTCTCTGCTCTTCTCCCCCAAGATCTTGATCCCTCAAGTCCTCACTGCCTTGATGCCTTCAAAGAGATATTTAAAATATTTCATTCAACTTTTCTAATTGTTCCCAACAGAGAGGATGGTAACAAGCTAGTCTGCTGTATTTAGATACAGAAATTCTTGAAAGATTTTAAAAGAAGGTTGAATAGAGAGACCTTCTCAGTGGTGGCTAGGATTAAGGCTAATGTGAAATCACATATGTGGGGTATGAGTTGGAAGACCTCAGTTTGAGTCTAGGCTTTACCATAAGCTGTGAGATATTGGGAAACCTTCCCTTCTGGAGCTTAGAGGTAAGTTTCTCGTATGTGGAACACATGTGGATAGGTAGGCTATAGTATGCACTTTTAGCCTCCTCCTTGGCTCTGTTTGGGTTCCATCTTTATTCTTTCATCATTTGCATCATTGTAATGTGCTCTTCTGCAATACCATATTTCACTGTTAGTCTTAAATTCTTTCTGGAATGAGGCAGTATATTAATTGATCTTACATTCGCTAAAATAAATGTTAACTCTCTGAACGTATTTTCTCATCAGTAAAATTGGAATCATGATCCCTTAATGCAGTTTACAAGATTGAGGTTCAGATCATACAAGATAATGTACGCGAAAGTGCTTTGTAAAGCAATGTGCCAGCATAATTAACTTATTTGCACCTGGGAGTCATGTTGAGTATCTTTTCCTCTCTGCCCTCCACCCTGATATCCTGTCCATTAGCACGTCATATCCATTTAACCTCCTACATCTCCGTCAAATCTGTCCATGTCTTTTTTTTTTTTTTTTTTTTTGAGATGGAGTCTTGCTCTGTGGCCCAGGCTGGAGTGCAGTGGCATGATCTTGGCTTACTGCAACCTCCACCTTCTAGGTTCAAACGATTCTCCTGCCTCGGTATCCCGAGTAGCTGCGATTACAGGCGCCCGCCACCACGCCCAGCTAATTTTTGTATTTTTAGTAGAGACGGGGTTTCGCCATGTTGGCCAGGCTGGTCTCAAACTCCTGACCTCAGGTGATCCGCCTGTCTTGGCCTCCCAAAGTGCTGGGATTACAGGCGTGAGCCACCGTGACCGGCCTATGTCTATCTTTACTAACACCCCCCGGAGTAGACCACCATCATCTTTCACGTGGGCCATTACCCTAGTCTCTTATTGGTCATCTCTCTTCCCTTTTTGCCCCCTCTAAATCATTTCCCCCATATTAGCCAGTATTTTAAAAATACAAATCTGATTGTGTTACTCCCTTGCTTCAAATATCATTTCAATGGCTTCTCACTGCTCTGAGAATAAAATCCAAAATTCGCAGCTCAACTCTGCAAGATTTAGCCCTTGCCTTACCTCTCCCCATCTCTCTCTGTGATGCAGACCCACTGACCTGCTTTCAGATGCCTCCTGCCTTAGCGCCTGTGCACGTGCTGTTTTCTCTCCTCTCACGCCAACCCTTGTCCTGTTGAGAGGTGACAGCTTGCTGGCAGCCCTGGCAGCCCTCGCTCGCTCTCGGTGCCTCCTCGTTCTCGGCGCCCATTCTGGCCGCGCTTGAGGAGCCCTTCAGCTCGCCGCTGCACTGTGGGAGCCTTTCTCTGGGCTGGTCCAGGCCGGAGCCGGCTCCCTCAGCTTGCGGGGAGGTGTGGAGGGAGAGGCACGGGCGGGAACCGGGGCTGCGCGCGGCGCTTGCGGGCCAGCTAGAGTTCCCGGTGGGCGTGGGTTTGGCGGGCCCGTACTCGGAGCGGCTGGCCAGCCCTGCCGGCCCGGGCAGTGAGGGGCTTAGCACCCGGGCCAGCAGCTGCGGAGCGTGCGCCGGGTCCCTCAGCACTGCCGGCCTACCGGTGCTGCTCTCGATTCCTCCCGGGCCTTAGCTGCCTCCCCGCAGGGCAGGGCTCGGGACCTGCAGCCCGCCATGCCTGAGCCTCCCCAAGGAGCGCCGCCCTCTGCTCCACGGCGCCCGGTCCCATCGACCGCCAAAGGGCTGAGGAAAGCGGGCCCACAGCGCAGGACAGGCAGGCAGCTCCACCTGCGGCCCCAGTGCGGGATCCACTGGGTGAAGCCAGCTGCGCTCCTGAGTCTGGTGGGGACTTGGAGAACCTTTATGTCTAGCTCATGGTTTGTAAATACACCAATCAACACTCTGTATCTAGCTAATCTAGTGGGTACCTGGAGAACTTTTGTGTCCAGCTCAGGGATTGTAAACGCACCAATCAGCACCCTGTCAAAACGGACCAATCAGCTCTCTGTAAAACAGACCAATCGGCTCTCTGTAAAATGGACAAATCAGCAGGATGTGGGTGGGGCCAGATAAGAGAATAAAAGCAGGCTGCCCTAGACAGCAGTGGCAACCCCTTCGGGTCTGCTTCTGTGTTGTGGAAGCTTTGTTCTTTACCTCTTTGCAGTAACTCTTGCTTCTGCTCACTGTTTGGGTCCACACTGCCTTTATGAGCTGTAACACTCACCGCGAAGGTGTACAGCTTCACTGCTGAAGCCCCCGAAACCACGAACCCACCAGGAAGAACGAATAACTCCAGACGCGCCCCCTTAAGAGCTGTAACACTCACCGCGAAGGTCTGCAGCTTCACTCCTGAGCCAGCGAGACCACGAACCCACCAGAAGGAACAAACTCCGAACACATCAGAACATGAGAAGGAACAAACTCCGGACACGCGGCCTTTAAGAACTGTAACACTCACTGCGAGGGTCGGCGGCTTCATTCTTGAAGTCAGTGAGACCAAGTACCCACCAATTCCGGACACACTATTAGCTAGCTAACTCCTATTTATCCTCCCTTAAATATCACCTTCTGAGAGAAGCCTACCCTGACCGTCCACACCTGGGTCCAAGAGCACTCAAACTTCTTTTTTACAGCATTTGGCACACTTGACAGAGAAATAGCTAATGGTGTACGCACTTAGTATTGTTTGTCTCCCCCTGCTGGAATAGAAGCTCCTTGGTGGCAGAGACGCGTCTATAGAGCTTTACTGCTGTACCACCAGTATCTAACGCGGTTCCTAACAGTTCCTAACGGTACCTCAGAAAGTGCCCCGACTGAAATACTGCCAGAGACTGGATCTCTGTGAAGCTCTCATGGGAACTGTACCGGGAAAGAGAAGATTCTCTTTGCTAGAACCAGAAGGAGAACACATTCCCCAAAGGGAGACCAGCCCACAACCTCCCCATTGCTCTCCTAGGTAAGGGGCCCTCTGTGGTGAAAATAGTTCTTTCAGCCAGACTTTTCTTTCCCCTAAAAGTTTTTGTTACTTTAAAAATATTAACACATAAATACAAGTTCATGGCACAAAGATACAAAGGGTATATAGAAAAAAGCCTTGTGCCTAGGCACTGATGTCTCTATCTAGAAGCAATAATTTTCTAGAAATAGTCTATATAAACACAAGCAAATTCATATATATTCTCCCCACGCACACATACCCTTTACACAAAGATAGTATACTATTCACATTGTTCTCTACCTTGCTTATTCCACTTAACAATACAGCTTGGACTGGGCGCGGTGGCTCATGCCTGTGATCCCAACACTTTGGGAGGCCAAGGCTGGGGGATCACTTGAGCACCGGAGTTCAAGACCAGCCTGGGAAACATAGTGGGACCCCATCTCTACAAAAAATAAAAATTAGCCAGATGTAGTGGCACATGCCTGTAGTCCCAGCTACTCTGGAGGCTGAAGTGGGAGGATCACTTGAGCCCAGGGGTTGAGGCTGCAGTGAGCCATGATTGCACCACTGCACTCCAGCCTGGGTGACAGAGCAAGACCCTGTCTCAAAACAAATAAACAAACATACAAATCAAGCTTGGAGATTGTTCCACATCCTTTTATATAGAGCTACTTCATTCTTTTTCACCTTTATGTATTTTATTGAATGCATGTTCCATAATTTATCTACCTAATACCTTATGCATGGATGTTTAGGTAGTTTCTAGTATTTGGCTATTATAAATATCAATGCCTTGAATATACTTGTATAAATTTCATTTTACACCTGTTTGATCATTTGTATGATAAATACCTAGAAGTAGAATGGCTGAATCAAAAGTATAGACTTTTTTTTTTTTAAGTGAGAGCAAGTTTATTAAGAAAGTAAAGGAATAAAGAATGGCTAATCCATAGGCAGAGCAGCAAAAAGTATAGACATTTAAAGTTTTGGTAGAAACCACTTAATTTCCCTTTGTTCTGGACTGAATTGTGTCCTCCCCAAAAATTCATATGTTGAAGCCCTAACCCCCAATGTGACTGTATTTGGAGATGGGACCTATAAGAAGGTAATAAAGGTGAAGTGGGGTCATAAGAATGGGCTTCAATCCAATAGGAATGATGTCCTTATAAGAAGACGAAAAGGAAAAGACACCAGAGATCTTTCTCTTTCCGCGTGGACACAGGGAAGAGGGCATGTGAGGAAGAGAGCCTTCACCAGACACCAAGCCTAAAGGCCCTGATCTTGAACTTCCATCCTACAGAAGGGTGAAAACATAAATATCTGTTGTTTAAGCCACCCAGTCTGACTAACACTCTCCGTAGAGGCTGCACAAATTTGGAGAGGCTGCACCAATTATTTATTAATTAATTTATTTATTTCTATTTTTTTGAGACAATGTCTTGCTCTGTTGTCAAGGCTGGAATACAGTGGCATGATCTTGGCTAACTGCAACCTCCACCCACCAGGTCAAGCGATTTTCATGTCTCAGTCTCCTGAGTAGCTGAGATTACAGGCACCCACCACCATGTCTGGCTAATTATTGTATTTTTAGTAGAGATTGGTTTTCACCATCTTGGCCTGGCTGGTTTCGAACTCCTGACCTCAAGTGATTCACCTGCCTCCCAAAGTGCTGGGATTACAGGCATGAGCCACCGCGCCCAGCCGAGGCTGCACCAATTTAAATTTGCACTCCCACTAGTATTATAAGAGAGCAACTATTTTCCTAAAACATCACCAACTCAAAATGTTGTCAAACTCTTTTATCTTTGCCAATCTAATAGGTGAAGAAAGAATGATATCTCAGGGTGTTTTTATTTTGCATTTTTATTAAATGAGGCTGAACATCTTTCCATGGAATTGATAGACATTTTTATTTCCTTTTCTGTGAATTGTCTATCATATCCTTTACTCATTTTTCTAATAGTTTGTTATTCTTTTCTTATTGATTTATAGGCATCTTTTATATTAAGGAGATTAATCCTTCGTGATATGAGTTTCAAATATTTTACCCAACTTGTTGCATATCTTGTTTTGTTTTGTTTTTGAGACGGATTCTCACTCTGTGGCCCAGGCTGGAGCACAGTGGCCCAGTTTCAGCTCACCGCAACCTCCAACCTCCCGGGTTCAAGCTATTCTCCTGCCTCAGCCTCCCAAGTAGCTGGGATTACAGGCACATGCCACCACGCTCAGCTAATTTTTTGTATTTTTAGTAGACATGGGGTTTCACCAAGTTGGCCAGGCTGGTCTCAAACTCCTGACCTCGTGATCCACCCGCCTCGGCCTCCCAAAGTTCTGGGATTACAGGTGTGAGCCACCGTGCCCCATCTGCATATCTTTTAACATTGTGAATATTTCCATTTAAAAATTTTTAAGGAATCAAATTTCTCAGTATTTTCTTTTTGTCTTCTGAGTTTTGCATAATATTTTTAAAGGTTTTCCCAAGTTAACTTAAGAAGAAGTGTCTCATTTTTTCTTCTATTACTTTAAGAATTTAATAAGAGTTTTGATCCATCTGAAATTTATTTTGATGTGTGGCATAAGATAGGAAGCCAACTGTATTTTGACAAGCTAGTTGTCCCAAAATCATTTACTGATAAATCCTTCATTTCCCCATGGATTTGAAGTGCCACATTTAGCATACATTTAATACATGTATTTTGATCTATGGACTTTTCAATTACAGTAATATCATATTATGTGTTCATATCTAGGAAGGCTGGTCACACTTTATTATTATCTTAGAAATTTCCTTTTGAACCTTAGAATCAGTTTACCTAGTTTCAAAAAACAATCTTGGTGTTTTTATTGGGAATGAATTAAACTTAAGATCAACTTGGGAAGAAATGACCGCTTTATAAAGTTGAGTTGTCCTACACAGGATGGTGATCTTCCTTTTTATCTGCTCAAGTCTTATTTGGTGTCCCTCCATACCGTTTCCAAGTGTTTTACTGACAGCACTTCACATTTCTTAAGTTTATTTCTAGAAATTTCACCTTTTGTTGTTGTTGCTATTATAGGTTGGGTCTTTAATTACAGTTTCTGACTTGTTATTGATTGCAGGTATGAAAACTATTGGCTTCTATACTTTTGGTATTAGCCAGCTCACTAAATTACCTTTTATAATCATTGTTAGTAGATTCAAGTTTTCCAGGTAAAAAATGACATCTTCAAATAATGAAAAATTAACTTCTTCATTTCTTATGAAGGATTTTTTTTTTTTTTTCTGAGATGGAGTCTTGCTCCATGCTGGCTGTGCAGTGGCACGATCTTGGCTCACTGCAACCTCAGCCTCCCAGGTTCAAGCAATTCTTCTGCCTTAGCCTCCTGAGTAGCTGGGAGTACAGGCGCCTGCCACCACGCCCAGCTAATTTTTGTATTTTTAGTAGAGAGAGGGTTTCACCATATTGGCCAGGCTGGTCTCGAACTCCTGACCTCAGGTGATCCGCCTGACTTGGCTTCCCAAAGTGCTGGGATTACAGGCATGAGCCACTGCGCTAGTGAAAGGCAGAAGTTTCATTTTTTTTTTTTTTTTTTTTTTTTACATAATAAGATCCTTCAAATGAGTTCAAAAGTTCAAAGTTTTAAAAGTATAAAAGAGTAAACAGCAGAAAGATAACCTTTCTACCCCACTGCCCAGATCCCCTCCCCACAGGCAACCAATATTTTTGGCAGTGTGTTTTATATCATTCTATAGACGTCTCATGTATATGCAGCAAGTACAGCTGCCCTGAAAGTGCTTCTGGTAACACAGTTTCACAAGCCCAGGTAGGGCCAAATATGAGATCCTTCTCTTGTCTCTTCAGGAACTAAAGAAAGAAAAATTGAAAAGACATAGGGCCTGAGTCCCAAGATAGTTCCCAACCTTCTCTGGTAGAGGGTCCCAGACCAGGTAGGCTTGGAAGAGTTGGGGCCCCAGCTTCTACTTTTAATACATTTATTTTTCACCAACAAATTCTACTTCCTTATCTTTTTCACACAGATAAATTGCAGATGCACGTGTTCTCTCTATTATCAAAACAGCCCATGAACATCTTGCAACTTGCAGCCCCTGTCACGTTTAGGGCCTGAGATTTGGAGTTGGATATGGGACTCCTGTTTGTGGCCTCCTCTCTTCCAGAGTCTTCCAGTGCAGTCCAGATAACATCTCTGAGAGTCTCTTGAGACCACTGAAGCAAGAGGCTTCAAGGTTTGTTCTAGGCTTCTCTAGTTGGCAGGTCTTCCCCATCCCACCCCCTCCCCCAGGGCTGCCAGGCGTATTCCTGCCTGGGCCTCCTGGCACAAGAGATAAAATGAACAGGGTTACTCCCAGTAACTGGTCCAGGAGATACCAGCAGAGAGGGAGTAGGAGAGAAGAAACATGTCAGGGTGCTCACAGGAGTAGTGGGGGGAGGTTTTGCTATTTCCAGATTCTTAAGCCAACAAAAGTGCCTTCATATTTTCTGTCTGGAAGACAGAAAGCCCAGAAGGAGCCCAGAAGCAACAGTTTGAGAGAGGCGCTTTCTGCGGCCAAGTGGATAAGAGGAGCGGCCTGCAACCATGGGACAGGGTGAGCCAAGCCAGCGCTCGACAGGGCTTGCTGGACTGTATGCAGCCCCCGCAGCATCACCTGTTTTCATTAAAGGAAGTGGGATGGATGGTAGGCGGGGAGATGGTGGTATAACTATGGTGGGGGAGGGGGTACTGGTGATAATGAGGTGGCTGTGGGGGGGGGGTGTGGTAGGTGGGTGCTGGTAGAGGTGATAGTGAGCTGGCTGTGGAGCGTGGTGTGATGATGGGTGCTGGTGGAGGCGGAGGCGGAGGTGATGGTGATGTTGCTGTGGGGTGGTTATGGGGTAGCATGTTGGGGTAAACTGGTCATGATAGTTGTATGATGGTGAGATGGTGATGGTGGTTAACATGGATTTATATTCTTATCCCAAGGTCATCATAGCATAAGTGTTCACAGCTTACTGATACAAATGAGAGACACCCTGGGTAGCATGAAGGTGTCACAGCTTCTACACCAAATGGGAGAGAAGGAGAGGAGGGAGTCAGGGAATCCACCTAAAAGGGGCAGAGGCAGACACAAAGCAAGAAACCAACACAGGTGGTCAGAGTCGCAGCACTCTTGGCAGGAATTATTATATCCTGGCCTGGGAATTGCCTGGCTGTTTTGTGTCCTGGGAGAAGCAAGCGGGTAGGCAGAGGGAAATGGTGCAGAGGTGTGGGGACAGTGGGGTGCAGCTGTGGTTCTGTTGCTATAGAAACTGCCTCACTCCCCTGCCCTGGTTGGTCTGGTGTGCGGAGGGCAACTGACGCTGAGACCAACAGCTGAGAAGGGAAGAAAAAGAACTCTGGGTGAATTAAGTCAATAATCTCAGCCACGTCTTGTGAAAATAGGGCAGACACCAATAAATTGTCCTTTTTTTTTTTTTTTTTAAACGGAGTCTCTCTCTGTCACCAGGCTAGAGTTCAGTGGCGCAATCTCGGCTCACTGCAACCTCCGCCTCCTGGGTTCAAGTGATTCTCCTGCCTCAGCCTTCTGAGTAGCTGGGACTACAGGCACCCACCACCATGCCCGGCTAATTTTTTGTATTTTTAGTAGAGACGGAGTTTCACCTTGTTGGCCAGGATGGTCTCGATCTCTTGACCTCGTGATCCTCCGCCTCGGCCTCCCAAAGTTCTGGGATTACAGGCGTGAGCCACTGCGCCTGGCCAAATCGTTCTTTTTATTCTGTAGAGACCAGACAAATTAAAATCTACTCAATCAGAGAAACACAAAGATATCAGGAGATTGTTTAGTCTAGTCCCAAACCAGAGGATGCCCCTGGGCACTAAATTCTTTCCAGGCAGTGGGTGGCAGAGGGCCCAGTAGCCACCAGATGAGAATCACTGAGTATGAACTCATGACATGCTGCAGTGGCTGGAGCTGGCTTGTGCTGACTTGCAAGAGCCAATTGCTAAATTTTGAGGAACCTTGTGAACCAGTTCTTAAACACAGGCATTATTAAAAATTAAATTGTATAAACTTACAAGTAAAAAATTTATATTAAAAAGAAAGATAATAAGTACTCTAAACTCATCACTTCCTACGTATTTTACTCCTTTTTACCTTTATGTTCTTGAGGGCGTTTATGTCTCCTGTATCTCTGTGCTGGAAAAACCACATGATGATGTGCCAGTCCGCGCCTCTTCACAGCTCTGCGCTTGCTGACATCACCTCAGTAGCTTCAGACTGGCCACAGGGGGCGTAGTTTACACAACAGAACTTGGCAAATGCTGTAACTCAGTACGCCCTTTCCCCTCACCGCCCCCTCCCCCCAGCCAGTCGTTAAACACAGAACTGCTTGAGGGGCACATCTGAGGCAGCTCTGGGGTATTGTGAAAGGCAGAGAGGGAGGAGGGTGGGGTATTGTGCACCTCTGAAGAGCATTCCACATGATCTCCGGGTTAACACAACTTCTCATGGGCTGTGGTACAAATAGGAGATGGTGAGAAAACACGAAGGTATCATTGCCTCAAGACCCAGTGGGAGAGAAGGGGAGGCAGGAGTCAATGAATCCACCTAAAAGGGGCAGAGGCAGAGATAAACCAAGAAACCAGGCAGACCTAAAGAATGCAGAAACCTCAGGGGCCCTGCGAGGGTCTGGCAGCACAGGTGGGGGCCTGAGGCCCCTGTGATGTATCTGAGAAAATCTCCTTTAAGGCCGTCTCAATGTTCTCATCCATTCATTGACGGAGCAAACACTGATTGGCTATCTATTGAGTTCTGCTGGGACAGAGGATGCAGATATGAGAAAGCACTGTATCTTGGGGAGCTCACAGTGAAAAGGGGAGCAGAGGACTAAGCAGGTGATGGGTATCAAATGGGATAAGTGCTGAAGAAAGTGGAGCAGAGTACTGTGGGAGTCCAGAGGACTGACCTCTGCCAGGAGGAGTCAGTGAAGGCTACAGAGGTGGGTGCCTTTGGATCTTGGAAGATGAGTAGACATCTGCCAGGTAGAGAAGAGATGGTGGGAGCCTTCTAGACAGAACAAGAATCCAAATGAATTCTAGTGACTCTTGCCGTAACACTATGGTCATTACGTGGGTTCGGATACACGGAGGCTCAAGTCATATGACTTAGGATGTGACTAAGGCATTCCACCATCCAATCCAACTCAACCAGTCTGCAGAGGCAGGGCTTACCCTGGGCCCCAGCACGAGCTTTGTGCTAAGCAGAAAGAGGAATCGTTTTTGGTTTCTGAGTGCTGCTGTACTTCAGTTTACAAATCCCAGCCTCCCCATGGCTACTTTATCTATAGCCATGGCCTGACCAAGCCAAGTGGAGGAGGGGGATACAAGGATGCAAGGGGCACCCAGGGACATGAGGACCAGACACAGAGAGGTTCCTTCCCTCCTCTGCACACTTTCACATTTCTTCATATTCAATAATGTCAGTTCTTTTGCCCTAAATAGACATCATTGGCATCTTCTATCATCCCCATCACCAGTGAAAGAAAAGTAGAACATCCTTCCCCTCTACTCTTCAGCTCTAAGTCAGAGAGACTGGGAATTGAGGAAAATTTGAAGTAGGAGTATCCTGAATTTGACAAGATCCGTCTTGTAGTCTAAAGGACCTTGCTATCAGGGTCATATCACTTCCCTGAAGTGGGTTAGACCTCATTTCATACCTGTGAGCAAAAGCCATAGTTTCTCTCTTGTGGCAGTTGAGCCAGTGCAAAAACTGCAGGCTGCCTTTCAGACCAAGGAGATTCCCAATGGCCTTCTGCTATTAAAGGAACAAAAAGTACACAATTCCTTTGCTGCAAAAACAAAACAAAACAAAAAAACCAACTTTTTTTCCAGCATTGTTCCTTATCTTGCGCTTGCTGAACATATCTTTTGACTTCTCTACTCCTTGTTTTTTTCTTCCCTCTTGTATTAGTCGGTTCTCACACTGCTATAAAG
Organism: Homo sapiens; assembly: GCF_000001405.40. NCBI lineage: Eukaryota > Metazoa > Chordata > Mammalia > Primates > Hominidae > Homo > Homo sapiens. The sequence continues at coordinate 43,217,432 of NC_000015.10, read as the reverse complement.
ACATACCTGAGATGGGGTAATTTATAAAGAAAAGAAGTTTAACTGGCTCATGGTTCTGCGGGCTATACAAGCTTCTGCTCCTGGGGAGGCCTCAGGAAACTTACAATCATGGCAGAATGTGAAGGGGAAGCAAGCACATCTTCACATGGCTGGTGGGAAAGAGAGAGAGAGAGTGAAGGAGGAGGTGCTACACACTTTTAAACAAGCAGCACTAGGGGGATGGTGCTAAACCATTAGAAACTGCCCCCATGATCCAATCACCTCCCACCAGGCCCCTCCTCTAACACTGGGGATTACAATTCGACCTGAAATTTGGGCAGGGACCCAAAGCCAAACCATATCACTTCTGTTAAATGAGAATTGATTAACAGACTGTTGTAATACTCTTGAGCCACCTCCGTGAAGGGTTTTTCTGGGCTGCATAGAGCTGTGAGTTTATAGTAAGACTTTAGGTCAAAAAGCTACCATGCACAGTCTTGGGTGAGACAGTTCCACACTCAGCCTCACTCTTCTCATCTATAAAACAAGAGAATTGGACTCAGTGATCTCAAAACTAGCTCTAAAAATTATCTGATTGTGCTCTAAGAAAAAATGAGTAGGTGCGAGAAAGATTTTGGGTTTTATTCATTGCTTGTGGATTGGGACCAGAAAAAGGAGGCCAACAATGAGAGTAAGCAACGCACTTATTAATAATAATAACAACAACAACAGTTTCATTTAATGGGACTTACTGTGTATCTGACACGGCTAAATGTATTGTACATCATCTAATCCCCACAACTCTGAAGGGAGGGATGATTATTCTAAGGAAAAGGAAACTGAGGCTCAGGGTGGTTAAGTTACTTGCCTGGGATTGCGCAGCTAAAACGTAAGTGGAGCCGAGGATTAGAACCCTGGTCTCTCTGACTCCAGAATCTCTGCTTGTACTTACATTGTCACATGTACTTAGTTTCCGTGACTTCTCTCTTTCCCACAACAGCCCTGGGTATCAAGAGCTGTGACTTTCAGGCAGCAAGAAACAATGAGGAGCACCACACCAAGGCCCTCAGCTCCCGGCGCCTCTTTGTGAGGAGGGGGCAGCCCTTCACCATCATCCTGTACTTCCGCGCTCCAGTCCGTGCATTTCTGCCTGCCCTGAAGAAGGTGGCCCTCACTGCACAAACTGGTTAGTGAGTCAGGCCTAGACTCCTTTGGCAGCAGGCCTGGGGGGTTCTCTGTTCTCTCCAGCACCCTGTTAGGGAATCAAGGGACAAATGGCCCACACTGCAGCTGGGCCGTAAGAAGTCCTGCCCACCTGGCAGGGCAGTCATGAGGGTGCCACGAGATTATGTGCCTGGTAAATATTGTTTATGATGACTCAGAAGCTGCCTAGCAGCAGCATCACCAAGAGCTTCTTTTCAGTTGCAAATATAATAGTAGCTTTGTAGAAAATTCTGGATGGGGCCGGGTGTGGTGGCTCACGCCTGTAATCCCAGCGCTTTGGGAGGCCGAGGCGGGTGGATTACCTGAGGTCAGGAGTTCAAGACCAGCCTGACCAACGTGGTGAAGCCCCGTTTCTACTAAAAATACAAAAAATTAGCCAGGCATGGTGGCCTATAATCCCAGCTACTGGGGAGGCTGAGGCAGTAGAATCACTTGAACCCAGGAGGTGGAGGTTGCAATGAGCCGAGATCGTGCCATTGCACTCCAGCCTGGGCGACAAAAGCAAAACTCCGTCTCAAAAAGAAAGAAAGAAAAAGAAAATTCTGGATGGAATCGAACCCAGGCTAAATACAACATTTAATTGCTACTGTTTATTGAATCCATACTACCTGTCAGATGTATGCAAGTACTTCACATGCAATATTTCATTCAGTCCTCCCATGGACCATGAAGAAGTTACTATTACAATGCCCATTTTATAGACTGTGATGAAGGTCCATGGGTGCCAAAAGCCTTTGCTCTCCTATCACTCTTTCTTGATGGGCCTCATTTCTAGGTGGGTCACTTTCATTATCCTCCAAAAACAAATTTCACCTGCTCCATCTTTGTAATACCCTGACCTTATTACTCTGAGTTGTGACCAAGAAGTCCCAGTGACAGACTAATCACCGTGTGACTACAGGAGAGCAGCCTTCCAAGATCAACAGGACCCAAGCCACATTCCCAATTTCCAGTCTGGGGGACCGAAAGTGGTGGAGTGCAGTGGTGGAGGAGAGAGATGCCCAGTCCTGGACCATCTCTGTGACCACACCTGCGGACGCTGTCATTGGCCACTACTCGCTTCTGCTGCAGGTCTCAGGCAGGAAGCAACTCCTCTTGGGTCAGTTCACACTGCTTTTTAACCCCTGGAATAGAGGTAAGTTTGGACCTGGGCCAGCCTGGGCTGCATGGAGACTCCAGACACTGGAGCTGGGGTGCAGCTCTGGCAGGGAGCACCTGCACCAGGCCCCTGTGGCAGCCCTCTCTAAGGACAGCACCAACACCCAGTCTGTGCCAGGGCTTTCTCCCTGAATGAACCAGCTCTCAGACCCAGGGTCCTGTTTTGGTGTCACCCCTGGGAGAAGCAGGTTGAGCCTTCCCACTGAAAGCAAAAGCTTGTCTCACCACCAGACCCTGGTGCTGGCTCAGGCTATTTTGGTCACAGGAGTTGAGACTCACTGAGATGACCCTGGGAAAGCTGCCCTTCATTATAACAGTGCAGGGGTGAGAACTGGAGAGGGCCTCGGGAATGAGGTGGCCTGAGGATGGGCTTCTCTCTCTCTCCCCGGCTATTCTGTTTCCAGAGTGCACTCAGGCTTTGCAGGACCTGAAGCTGATGCAATCTGGGGGACCCTCTTTAAGAAAAAGAATATACCATTTTGAATTGATAAGGCTCCCCGGCCGACCAGGGCCCCAAGAGGTCTGTGTTATTCCACAAGCTTCTGCTTCCGCTTCCCAGAAAATCTACACTTCCCTGTCTTTGCTCCTCTCTTCCGGCTCATTCTGTTCTTGCAGATTGCTGGGCGCTCTCCAGACCCCCCTACCCAAGGGTCTGACAGGACCCTACGGTTCACCAGACTATGAGCGGCTTCCCTGGGGTCAGGTGACCTGCTGTGCCCCGCCCCCCCAACCGTGGCCACCTCTAGCAAAGCTCAGCCCTAGCTGTGGCTGGAGCTGTGTCGTCTAGAAATGGCCATCTGACATAATACATGTCCAAATAAGACCCAAAGTAGGACCCATCTTCTCTTCCTCCCCACTCTGAAGATTGTGTCTGTCTTTGCTTTTAAATCTATCTCACCCACCTTCAACCTTGGGCTCCCTGAAGGGTTTGTTGGGAGAATGGAAAAGAGTTTCTCCCGGCTTTCCTGTCTTTACAACATCAAACGAGTACATAGCCCTTTTCCTCTCAAGAGTTTTGCTGCCAGCCTGAAGGAGGCCCCGTGGCAAGGCAGGGCTGGGAAACTGACGGAAACATGGGGAGGTGGAAGAACCTTCCCAGGTTCTTAAGCCTGGCCTCATGTCTGGCCCGCAGCTCCTGACTGCTTTTCTCTGTGGTACCTAAATCCCAGTGGGTTCTCTCTCCACTTCTTCTGTCCAGGGCAGCGTTCTCCCCGACTTCAGGTGGCCCCACCTGTCCTCAGCTCAGGCCCTTATTTCCTGCTCCAAGGGCGCAGGCAGGTGGATCAGCAGATGGGAGCTAGTATTCATCCAGGTGCCCCACGTGGTTGAATGTAGATGCAGGGCCCCTGGGCTGGGGGAGGCCCTTTGACTTTCCATGACTGGCAGAAAGCCCTTCAAGCTGCTTCCCTCCGAAGCTGAGGCATTGGTGTACCCCCAGATCACCCTGAGTCTGCTTCCAGAGCCAGGCCCTGGTGACCGCCATAAAGACCCAGCAAAGAGTTCTAGGACAGTGCTTGGCTCAGGGTGCCCACACTCTTGACTCCAGTGCCAGGAGTCCTGCCTTTGTGCTCAGTTTGTAGGGACCTGCCTAGGGAGGGCCTCTCTGCCTGAGTGTGGGTGGAGGTCTCTGTCTGGGCAGGGGAGAGTCATTGGCTCCGCTCATCTGGGAGGTGACTGAGAAGTTTTCAGATTCCCTGGCATCTCAGTGTCATCTTGCCATGCTTGGAGATGGGGATTCAAAATGAAATTTTACATCATTTTACATCCTATGATAAAAGTTGGAGCCCTGCTCACAGGCCAGGCACTTTATAAAGGGGGCTACATACACCCAAGCAGAGAGGAGGAGGCTGGCACTGCCCATGCTCTCATAAGCTACTTCCTAGAGCCCTGTAGATCCTGGGGCCAAACACCTCAGTTTGAAGTAATTTCCAAAAAAATAAAAAATAAAAAACAGTGATGCCTAGCTGACTTCAGAGAGTACTCAGGATGGAAGGCAGGAGTGGAGGGCTCCTTGGGCATATGGGTCTGTAATTTTAGGCCCCAGATTTTTCAGGGCTTCCTCATTTCTGGTGTCTTATCCTTCTGTTGCCTTCAGGACCCTCATCCCCAGATGGATCCCTGGAGGGCTCCAGAGAGGTTAGCCTAGCAGCTCCTCTGGATGATTTGGAAATCCTTTTCTCTCTGTAGTCCCCAGAAACTAGTCTAACCCCTGTCCACTCCACCTCGGCCACTGGGTCAGAGTGATTAGCCCTAAGCAGTTGCCCTCCTGCTTCTAGCTTCCCAGAATGGGTGATGGCCCCAAAGTCGCCCACCCTCCTCATGATTTCCAGCCCAACCCTAGGATGAGGAAAGCAGGAGGGGCACCGGGAGGAGACTGAGGGAGCCCTAGACTCACTTGGACACCCCCGGGGCAGAAATCCAATGTTCTGACTTCCACCTCTCAACCCCGCTGCTCCTTCCAACCCTCCAACCCTGTTTTGCCAAATGCTCCTCTTCCCTCTGCTTACATCCGTCAGCCTATGCTTAATTGTCTTTTTTCTGAAACACCTGTTTTTGGTCACAAATTGAATTTGTGGGAAAGACATACAAGCCATTGGGAAGCTCCCTGGCCTGTTGCCAATTTATCCAGGGACGATAGTGTTCTGGCTGTGAACGACTAGGATTTTCTTTTTTTTTTCTTTTTTCTTTTTTTTTTTTTTTTTGAGACGGAGTTTCACTCTTGTTGCCCAAGCTGGAGTGCGATGGCATGATCTCAGCTCACTGCAGCCTCCGCCTCCTGGATTCAAGAGATTCTTCTGCCTTAGCCTCCCAAGTAGCTGGAACTACAAGCACGTGCCACCACACCCACCTAATTTTTTGTATTTTTAGTAGAGACAGGGTTTCACCATGTTGGTCAGGCTGGTCTTGATCTCCTGACCTCAGGTGATCCACCCGCCTCAGCCTCCCAAAGTGCTGGGATTACAGGCGTGAGCCACCACGCCTGGCTGGTTTTCATTTTTTTTTAAGAGAAAGTCTCTCACTCTGTCACCCAGGCTGGAGTGCAGTGGCACCATCATAGCTCATTGCAACCTCAAACTCCTGGGCTCAAGTTTCCTCCCGCTTCAGCCTCCTGAATAGCTAGGACTACAAGTGCGTACCACCACACCTGGCTGTTTTTTTTTTATTTTTTGTAGAGACAGAGTCTTGCTGTGTTGCCCAGGCTGGTCTCGAACTCCTGGCCTCAAACTGTCCTGCTTTGGCCTCCCAAAGTGCTGGGATTATAGGCGTGAGCCACTGCACCTGGCCAGCCAAGCTTTTTAAGGTTGTTCTTGTCTTCCTGGCTGACCATAAAGGCCACACCCTGATTGACCCAGGGACTCTGGGCTGGGTCCCAGTGGGGGCAGTGAAAGAGGGACTTCCTCCTCAGTCTTCATTAGGCCCAGAGCTGACGGGGTGGCCTGCAGCCAAACCTAATCTCGGCAGGGAGGACAGAGGCCTGGATGTGGAGGGTGGACCTAGGACCCCCACAGGCCCTCATCCCTACCCACCTCTCACCAGAGGATGCTGTGTTCCTGAAGAATGAGGCTCAGCGCATGGAGTACTTGTTGAACCAGAATGGTCTCATCTACCTGGGTACAGCTGACTGCATCCAGGCAGAGTCCTGGGACTTTGGCCAGGTACCAGGGCCCTCTAGGGGAGGAGTGTGTAGAGTGACTGTCCCATAACCTTGCATGTTGAGGCTAGACAGAGCTGGTAGGTCCAAAAACCCCTGGTCATGAGACCATTTCTTTAGCCCATTTCAGCTTTGTGGTGCCTCTCCTTCCTCTGGGCCATATCAGAACATCCTCCGGGAGCTCCCAGAATTATTTTCCTTAAAACTGTGGCAAATCAAGCCCCAGTTACATCCCCACTGTCTTTGAGATAAAGACCAAATCCCCCTAGCCTAACATCCACGGCCCTTCCAGCCAGGACCCTGCTTTCCTTTCCCCATGAACCGCCCCATGTTCCAACTCCTCACCATCCTCAGAGCAACAGGCTGAACGTTCCCTCTGCCAGGAAGGGCTTCCCACTCTTATCTCCTGGCAAGCTCCTACCCATCTCTCAAGACCTTCTCGAAGCCTTCCCCAATCCCCGAAGGCAGGGGGAGCCTCTCCACTGTGCTGCTCTGTGCCGGCATCTCTACAAGAGCCCTGGCCATGCTGCTGTGCTCTGTAATCTAAGGGGCTGCACTGCGTGTCCATCTCCAGTCCTAAACCGTGGGCTCCTCAGGAACAGGAGCTGCCTCGGTATCCTCCACTCCCGGTTCAGGGCTGGTAGGACAGTCAGGGTTCACTAAATGGAAATGGAATGCAGTGCAATGAAACGAAACAGTACAGCACGGGTCCCCGAGAGCTCACACCCTACCGGGAGTCAGACAACAGATAGGCAAAGGACTGGATGCCTGGGAAAAGGAACCCAGGTCCCATTGAGAGGTTGGGGGAGGGAGCCAGAGCTCCTCAGAGGGATGAGGCAAGGGAGGCAGGTGTGGAGTGCGGGTCTGGGAGAAGGACGAGATGATGAGGCTGTCCTGCAGGATGAGTGCCTGACCTGGGGACCCTTCCTCATGGCCCTGTGTGGGGACCCTTCATCATGGCCCTGTGTGATCCTTAACAGTTCGAGGGGGATGTCATTGACCTCAGCCTGCGCTTGCTGAGCAAGGACAAGCAGGTAGAGAAGTGGAGCCAGCCGGTGCACGTGGCCCGTGTGTTGGGTGCCTTGGTAAGCGAGAGGCTGGGGAACCAGAATGGGGCAGGGGTGAGAAAAAAGCCCTCTGAGAGACCTGCCCCACCACCGTGGCCTCAGAAACCCCCAAATCACAAATGGCCCCCTCCTCCCAGGGTGTGGGGACAGTTCCTACAGAAGCGTCCGAGGAGGACAAAAAGACAGGCAATAGCATCCACAGCGGGGAGAAAAGCAAAGAAATGTGTGATCCCTCAGGATGCAAGCCCGCAGAAGACTAAGCCTCTTTTCCCTCCCCACACCCAGTCCCATCCTGGAGCTTAGGCCCATGGGAAGGAGTGGGTAGGGCCCATCTTACCCAGGGCTTGCTGCTGCAGTGATCGAAGGGACTTCTTTTATACTTCTAAATTATTCATAAGAATATGCAGACCATGATGGTAACTCGGTGCTTTTCCTTGTCCCTAAAAATCCTCTCAGAGGAGTCATGTGTTCACCATTCCCTCTTTGCCGCTGAAGTCCCCTCTGAAAAGATGGTGAGAGTCCAGGCCAGCCTGTGAGTTGAAAGAAGCTTGGGATAAGTGGCCTCCAGGACCCAGGTGCAAAGCACCTCAAACGAGTCAGGGTGGAGGACTAAGAACCGGTGAAACCAGCCCCCAAGGAAGGGCAGCTCTAATGCTCCTCTTTGTGGCTGGAGCCAGAGAACTTGTTAAGAAGGAGGGTCCTGGGCTCCAGCCCTAGAGCTATGACCCAGGGGCCTAGGATGGAGCCCAGAAGCATGCAGGTTTAACCAGTACCAGGTGGCTCTAATGCTGGGGATCTGTTCACCATGGTTGGAGTACTGTGATGAGCCCTCCTTACCCATGCCCTGGAAGCTGTCCTGCCCAAGGGACTCATACTGACATCCACACATTTCCCCAAACAGCTGCATTTTCTCAAGGAGCAGAGGGTCCTGCCCACCCCGCAGACCCAGGCCACCCAGGAAGGGGCCTTGCTGAACAAGCGCCGGGGCAGCGTGCCCATCCTGCGGCAGTGGCTCACCGGCCGAGGCCGACCTGTGTATGATGGCCAGGCCTGGGTGTTGGCTGCTGTTGCTTGCACAGGTTGGTCCCCTTGTCTCCTGTAGAGTGCCCTGCCTCCTGGGTTGTTCCCTGGCCTCCCATGTGGGAAGGACATCTCCAAAAGCAGGTGCTGCCTCCCTGCGGCCGCATTTCCCCATCTCATCACACAGAAGTAGTTGTCCCAGGCAGCTCCTCCCGCCAGCTTCTGCTGCTTTTCCCCTCAGCAAAGTTGGGCTCATTTGCAAACTCCTTTCCCAAATTCACTTACTTCCCTAACCCTGCCCTAGCAGAGCAGCCCCGCAGCGCTGTGTTCTATGCTCTGTTGCCTTCTCCCCTGGTATATGCCCCGCATGCGGTGGAACCTGTGCCTTATTGATCAGCCTTCATGCATCCTGTTCTTGGCTGCCACTTCTAGGTTCCTGCACTCCTCTTCTTTCCAAGTTTTCAGTGCCCAGAGGAGACACTGAAAATCCTAGCCTCCCACACGCCCCCAGCCCGGTCTCTCAAGCGCCCCCTGACACTCCGCCCCTCTTCTCACAGTGCTGCGATGCCTGGGAATCCCTGCCCGCGTGGTGACCACGTTTGCCTCAGCACAGGGCACCGGTGGGCGTCTTCTCATAGATGAATACTATAATGAGGAGGGACTTCAGAACGGAGAAGGCCAGAGAGGCAGAATCTGGTGAGAAGCCCAAGGGAGATGAGGTTCCAGTCCAGGAAGGGCTCCAACCCTGCATAGCACACCTCTGCAGGAGCCCCACCCCCTGCATGGCCCTGGCATGGAGAGTAGGCTTTCAAGACCCTTAGAGGCGGCGCTGATGGTCAGTGATGGTGTGCACGCCCCTTCCTGGGAGTGCCACAGCCACTTTGACACAGTGACCTCCCATCCCACTGGAACAACAACAGCTCTGCCAGGCTGCATTTCCAGAACCTCTTCAGCACTCGTTTTCTTTCCCACTTGAATTTTTCTCTTTGCTGCATTCAGGATCTTCCAGACTTCCACAGAGTGCTGGATGACGCGGCCTGCCTTGCCCCAGGGTTATGATGGATGGCAGATTCTGCACCCAAGTGCTCCTAATGGAGGTGGAGGTAAAGCCTAGGGGTGGGTCCAGGACCACGCAGGGCTGCACAGAGCTGAAGTCCCCAGAGAGGACTCGGGAGCAGCAGGCAGTCCCAAGGGGGTCTGCATCCTCGAAAACAGTAGAAGCACGAGGCATGACAGCAGCCAGCAGAAAGCTGACCTGATGCCAGTGGGCTCATGGGAATAGAGGTGCCTGCTATCCCGGCTACAAGGCTGTAGGTAGATGAGGCACCTTAGAGCTGTGGGTGAGGGAGTTGGGTCACAGTGAAGGGCAGAGGATCTTAAGATGGCAAGTGGCTGTGCTAGGCCAGGGGCTTACAGCAGAGGTTCTGAGGTTCTGGACACGGATGAAGAGGGCATCGGGATAGGCTCAAGCCCAGAAAAGGAAGCTTCAGGACCCACAAAAAGATAGCTCTTCCTCACCCAGGAACAGAAATGGCACAGAGCCTGGCACCTAGTAAGTGCTCAAGAAAGGTAGCCCTATTCCTGTCATATCCATAGTAAAGCTGGCTTGAGAGCTCCTCACGCTAAATATGACCCTCTGAGCTTCTGCCTGTCCAGTTCCTGAGAGGGCTTCTGCCAGGGACCATGACCAAAAAGTTTTATCACTAAATAGTTGATCACTAAATAGTTTCACCTCTGTGACTCTCTCAGAAACCCTGCCTAGTGCTCACCTCTGACCTTGGTCCTCGTGGAGGGAAAATAGGCTAGAGGATGGGGACTGAGGTTACGCAGTTCTGAACTGAGCAGAGGTCTAGGCGCAGCTCCCATGCTCACCAACCTTTCTCTCCCTCAGTCCTGGGGTCCTGTGATCTGGTGCCGGTCAGAGCAGTCAAGGAGGGGACGCTGGGGCTGACCCCAGCAGTGTCAGACCTTTTTGCTGCCATAAATGCCTCATGTGTGGTCTGGAAGTGCTGTGAGGATGGGACACTGGAGTTGACTGACTCCAACACAAAGTATGTTGGCAACAACATCAGCACCAAGGGTGTGGGCAGTGACCGCTGCGAGGACATCACTCAGAACTACAAGTATCCTGAAGGTACGGGCCAGGGAAGGGCCCCAGGCTTCTCGGTACCTGAAACGGCAAGCGAGGGAAAGGGATGGGCCTGGTAGATGCAGCCAGAAAGAGACTTGTCCTTTCCGCATCATATAAAACAGGGTTTCTCAACCCCATTTGACACCATTGACATTTGGGCCCAGATATGTCTTTGTTGTACAGGCTGTGCACCCTAGGACATTTAGCAGCATTCCTGACCCTCAGAGGAAGTCTAAATTCTTTCACATAGGAAAATTCAGTTCCCTGCAAAACTGTCCTCAGAGACAGTGTTGACTTGTCCCCAACCTTGCTCTCTCATCATTCAAGGGGAGAATTCATAGCACTTGAAAAAGAACTTGGTCCTTGAGTGGTTTGGAAGAGACACACTGTATCGGTGGTGGAGCTGCCTGACACAGACATTTTTGGGCTAAATATGGCCTTAGAGGCTTGCTGAGTTCTTGTGACTTTGGCATTTGAGCAGAAGTGGGTAAATGGTTTTGATTCCCAGGGTTTTATTAGAAGCATTTATACCACCCGGGTAAAAGGTCAGCTTTGTTTCTTCCCTTCTCCAGGGTCTCTTCAGGAAAAAGAGGTGCTGGAGAGAGTCGAGAAAGAGAAAATGGAACGTGAGAAAGACAACGGCATCCGTCCTCCCAGTCTCGAGACTGCCAGTCCTCTGTACCTGCTCTTGAAAGCACCCAGCTCCCTACCCCTGAGAGGGGATGCCCAGATCTCAGTGACGCTGGTTAATCACAGTGAGCAGGAGAAGGCAGTGCAGCTGGCAATTGGGGTCCAGGCTGTACACTACAACGGTGTCCTTGCTGCCAAGCTCTGGAGGAAGAAGCTGCACCTCACGCTCAGTGCCAACCTGGGTAATGCTCTATGGCCCCACCAGACACCCCCCGACACACACACACACATGGCCCCTGCCTTGGGCAGGCAGCAGCCACAGGGCACCCCCTGCAGTCTCTAGAGATGGCTTTGAGCCCCTGCTGCTCACTCTCATGTTCTCTCTCATTCATTCATTCAACACATATTTATTGGGCCTGAAGCAGGAAAAAAACACGATGCCAACTGCAGTCAGATAAGTAAACAGACCCTTCGTAGCAGTGTGAGAAGTGTTTGCTGAGTTTAACAGAGTACAGTGGCAGGAGAGCACCTCCCCCCAGGCTGGAATAAGCTGCCCCCAAATAAATTGTACTGCATGGAATCTGGAAGGATGAGTAGGAGAGTAATGGCCAGAAAAGTAAGTCTTGGCATTCCAGACGGAAGGAGCAACGTGTGCAAAGGGCCCTGCTCATCCCTGAGGTTCTTTCTTAATTGGTCTGAGATGGGGTCCAGGTATTGTTTTTTTCTTTTTTTAACACCCTGTGTTATTCTACAGTTAAGATTCCCTGAACCAGAACAATTGTTTTTAAATTTTGCTGCACATTAGAATCACCTGGGGGAAGTTTGATGCTCAGCCTGCATCTCAGGCCAATTAAATGACAGATTCTATGGTGGGCTGGACGCAGTGGCTCATGCCTGTAATCCCAGCACTTTGGGAGGCCAAAGTGGACAGATCACCTGAGGTCAGGAGTTCAAGATCAGCCTGGGCAACATGGTGAAACCCCGACTCTACTAAAAATACAAAAATTAGCCAGGCTTGGTGGCACACAACTGTAATCCCAGCTACTGGGGAGACTGAGGCAGGAGAATCGCTTGAACCCAGGAGGCAGAGGTTGCAGTGAGCCAAGATCATGCCACTGCACTCCAGCCTGGGTGACACAGTGACACTCCGTCTCAAAAAGAAAAAAAACAAAAACTCCATGGTGGAACACATCAGAATTTTTAAAAACTGAAGTAATTCCGATGTGCAGACAAGTGTGAGAATCAGTTGACGAGAGCTTGTCTACAGCATTGCAACAGCCTTCTAACCGGTCACCTCACCTCCAGTCTCTGTATCACTCTTCCCTTTCCAAGCATGGGAGGAGTGGAGTTGGGAGAGTGGCGTGAGAACTGGACAGGGCCCAGGTGACACAGGGTCTTGTCTCTCTTGCTAAGGAGTTTGAGTTTTGTTCTCTGGGTAATGGAAAACTGGTGGAAGGTTTCAACCAGGGTAGTCAATGGAATCAGAAATTCATTTTAACAAGAAAGAACTTTTGGCAGAATGGAATGGAAGGGGTCATATAAGAAGAGTGCTTCTTAACCTTAGCTGCACATTGAGTCATCTTGGGAACTTTTTTTTGGGGGGGGGGCGGAGGGGGCAGCCTTCTGAGCCAGAGTAGGTTCAGAGACTCCGATCATCTGGGGAACTTTTAAAAATACTGATGTCTGGGCTTCATCGCCAGAGTCTGATGTAACTGATTTGGGGTGTGGCCTGGCATTGGGATTGTTTTGTAAAGCTCCCCACTTGATTCTAACATGCATCCAGTCTTGAGAACCACTGGATTGAAGATGAGAAGGTTGTGTAAATCATCAAGTCAAGAAATCAAGGCCAAACTAAGCTAGCAGCACTTAGAGTTAAAACATATTAAGGAGTTGAGATAGATGGGGCTTGTGAATGTGTGAATGTGTATATGTGTGTGGTGGGTGCTTCTGGTTTGGGTGAGTCACTAGAATAGGAAAAATGGGGAGGAGCAAGTTTGGGGAGAAAAAGGATGGATTTGGTTGTGGCACATTGTGTCTGAAAGCCCGTGACACACGCAAGTGGAGCTGGCCAGCAGGTGGCAGGAGACCTTGGTAAGATAAAGTTCTGGGCTGGAGCTCAGACGTGGAAATCCCAGCACAGGGGGGCCAACAAAGAGTCAGGGCATAGATGAGCTCATGGCAGTGGGGAGAGGTCAGTGAGTAGATGAGAGGGTGAGGAGGGAACCCAGCAGCAGCAGCAGCATTTAGGGGGCGATCAGAGGAAAAGCAGAGTAAGGGAGGTCAAATAGTCAAAGAAAGGGGGCACCCAGCAAGGTCAGCAGAAAGGGCACGAGGTGTCAAGGCTGAAAAGCACCATTAAGAGAGTGGACTTACAGAGAAGCTTCCTGGGCGTTAAGCCAATTGCGTTGGGAAGGTGAGACAAACTGTCTAGTCCTCCCTGGAGGCATGACAGGAAAAGGTGAGGCTGGGGAGTAGTCAGCCAGGGACACTGGGCAGAGGGAGAGAGTTGAACCTGCTTCTATGCTGAGGAAAATAAGCAGGCAAGAGGGAAAGAATGGAGCCTCAGGAGAGATGGGTTAAAATTGATAGTGCTATGCTTGGGGATATGAGACAACTAGAATAATTGTAGCTCACATTTATCAGGCACTTACTATTTGCCCAAAATGGTGTTAAGTGCTTTATATGCATCATATGCATCATCTTGTTAGCCCTCACAACCACGTTCTGTGGCAAGAACCATTGCTATCCCCACTTTACAGATGAGGAGATGAGACACAGAGAGGGTCGTTAATTTACTCAGGGTTACACAGCTAGTGTGATGGGGTCAGGATGGGGCACAGATTTAGAAAGCAGAGGATTCAACTTAGGCAGGGGGGATACCTCATCCCCTGAGCAGTAGTGACAGTAGGAGTAGATATTTCTTCTGTAAGGTGACAAAGCGAGACCCTGTCTCTAAAACAAAACAAAAACCCTACAAACAACACAAACCATCCCACTAGGTAGGCATTATTAGACAAGGACACTGAGGCCGAAAGAGCTTAACTTGTTCCAGTTCACAGGGGACCCTTTCCCAACCCCACTGAGGTGGTCTGCCAAGAGCATTGTCGGGGTTGGTGATGGGGATGAGGGTGAGGAGTGAGGTCTTGAGTGAGTTCCAAGTGTACAATTGCTGGGGAAAATGGTGCATCTTTCTGGCCTCAGTGAGGCCCTGAGTCCTTTGTATTGTGTGTGTAACTATGGCTGTTTCTGGGGTACATACACCTGTTGCCACTGACTCCACCTGTCATGTGTTTCAGAAAAGATAATAACCATCGGCCTGTTCTTCTCCAATTTTGAGCGAAACCCACCCGAGAACACCTTCCTTAGACTCACCGCCATGGCAACACACTCTGAATCCAACCTTAGCTGCTTTGCTCAGGAAGACATTGCCATTTGTAGACCACACCTTGCCATCAAGGTAGGCACCAGTCCTCCCCTGAGTTGCCCTCGTCTGCCACCACTCAGGTCCCCATTTCAGAAGGAATCCAGGCCCCTTCAGAGCAGATGACTGTGCTGCAAGATTACCAGAAAATGCTACATTTAAGAGCTCCTTCCCTTGAAAGACATAGTTTCTTACATGCCCTATTAAGGTTTAAATCTTCCAACTTCTTTAGTTAAGTAAAGGTTTCTAAAATTGGGGCCTTCCCAGTTACTGCCTCCTACCTACAGGGATCATAATAGCCTATGTTTATTTAGCACCTCATACACATGCCAGAGGATTTTCAGCTCCTTTATTTCTTTCTAAGCCCTGTGAGGTAGAACTGTTCCCATTATTCAGATGAAAAAAGTGAGCCCTAGAGAGCAACATGCCCAAGATTATAAAAACAGGAAGTTCTAGAGGCTTATGGCTCTTGGTCCAGCCCTCTTTCCATGTGTCTACCCTGGCCAAAATGAATGAGATCTGATCCCTGCCCGCAAGCAGGTTATAGTTTAGTTAGGGAGACACAACATTTGGTCTTCCAGATAAGTGCTTTAATAGATGCACAAAGTTGCTATGGAATAAGTGAAGCAAAGGGAATTAATTCCAGCTGGTGGGTTTGGGGATGACCTTATGAAAGAGATGACATCTATGCTGGGCCTTGAAAAATGGGTACCCTTTCAGTACAGAGGTAGGGGAAGGCCACTGAAGACAGAAGAAGACAGCAAAGAGGTGTAATGGAAGGTAGCGTGAGGCGTGTGCTGGGGATGGAACAGTCCCTGACGGGGCTGGGATGTCACTTAGTCATGGGAAGAACAGGTGAGGTGGGAGAGGGGGTTTGGGGACACACCATGAAGAACGTTGAATACAATGTAAACTGAATTCCCAAGACAGTGGGAAACCCTCCAAGGGGTCTGCATAGAGGAGAGGCGACATCAGAAATCATCAGTGAAGGACCAAGGGTGGGAATAAATGCAGGAAGAGCAGGTAGAGCGGTAGAAGACATCAGCTGTGAAGTTTGAGTCAGCTTGGCAGAGATGAGGAAACTTACTGAGGAGGGTACAGGGGTGCATGGGAGGAGAGAGTGACTGCAGCTGTGCCCTTGGCATCCACACCAGGTATTGCCTCTTCCCACAGATGCCAGAGAAAGCAGAGCAGTATCAACCCCTCACAGCCTCAGTCAGCCTCCAGAACTCCCTAGATGCCCCCATGGAGGACTGTGTGATCTCCATCCTGGGAAGGGGGCTCATTCACAGAGAGAGGAGCTACAGGTAAGTGATGGCAGGCTTCTCATCCCCCTGAAATGTCTCAATGGGTCAGAAAGGCAGGGCCCAAGAGAGAAACTCTCTCTTTGCCATGTCCATGCAGACAGCAGATACCCCTAGAAACTAAACTAAAGGATTAGGGCTACCAAGTGGCTTCCCTCATCCTAGGACCACCATATCTGCAGGAGGATGGGAGTGAGGCAGGCTGTGCGGGCCCCTTGGGCACCCGCCTGCCCTGGTTGCTGCCCTGATCCTGCAGGGAGAGCCTGGGTGTTGCTGTGAATATAGGCGAGGGCATTAGGGCTGGGTATTGGAGAGTAATGAAGGGAGGACAGGCTATCTTTCATTGTGGTCAGAGGGCTACATTCTGGTAGTCACCACCACAATATACAATTTTGTTTAATTTATTCCCTTTTATTCCCATTTTCACCACCATCCTTCATATCCTTTTATTCGTACGTATAAAATGTGTACTGTTGCTTTCATGAGCCTGTACTTTTAACTTATATAAATTTATATTTAATTGCTTTCTTACTTTTCACTCAGAACTATGTTAAGATTTATGCCCATATGTCTTCTGCTACATAATATTTCATCGTGTACACCCACCACTTTCTACCACTCCACTCCACAGAGATGGGCACCCAGAGTGCCTCCAACTCTCTGACACTGCAAATAATGTTGCAGTGCACATCCTCACACAAGTCTCCTTATATACTTGTTTGAAAATTTGGTGGCCAGGCCCGGTGGCTCACGCCTGTAATCCCAGCACTTTGGGAGGCCAAGGTAGGTGGATCACAAGGTCAGGAGGATCGAGACCATCCTGGCTAACACAGTGAAACACCGTCTCTACTAAAATTACAAAAAATTAGCCGGGCACAGTGGCAGACGCCTGTAGTCTCAGCTACTTGAGAGGCTGAGGCAGGAGAATGGTGTGAACCTGGGAGGCGGAGCTTGCAGTGAGCCGAGATCACGCCACTGCAGTCCAGCCCGGGTGAAAGAGCGAGACTCCATCTCAAAAAAAAAAAAAAATTTGGTGGAGTCTGGGGATATATACCCAGGAATAGAATTGCTGGGTCCTAGGCTATGATGTGGTTTGACCAGGTACTGTCAGATTTGCAGAATGGCTGCAAGAGTCTCCACTCCCTCCAGCAGCACATGAGAATTTCTGTATTCCTACCCCTCCTTCATTCCTGGCAATACCCAGCTATTAACATTTTCTTCCAGTCCAATAAAAATGAAGTAATATCTTACTATTATTTTAATTGCAACTCTTCATATGTTTGTTAGCCTTTTATGTTTTCTTCTCAGTAAGTAGTTTGTCTTATTTTGCCCACTTTTCTTTTGGTGTTTCTGTGCTTCCTTCTTATTGATCTGTAGAAGTTTCCTGTATAGTCCAGGTATTAGTCCCTTGTTGGTTTTAGACGTTGCAAATATCTTCTTTCATTATGTCTACTGCATCCTTAGTTGAACAGACAGTATAAAGTTCAAGATACTTACTCCTACCCTCCCTGAGGTCCCTAACAGGTGTGTGGGTTACTGAGCCACTGCCTCAGCCTCATGAAACTTAATGAGACATTCTTGCCAAGAAATCAAGAGAAGGGACTGTCAACATTTAACCATACTTTTGTGGTCTCCCAAATCAGTTGTGGGGCAAAGCTCCCCAAAGGAAGTCTGTCACCAAAAGAAGGTTTATAGGCAGGCCAGGAGGTTGCTGACAAGGCTCCAAACACCACCTGCTGACATACTGACATCCTCTCAATAAGCCCTGCTACATCCACTGTGCTTAGCAATAAGCAAGGGTTCCAAAGCTATAGCTCTTTATATTAGTTCGTGTTCACGCTGCTGATAAAGACATACCCAAGGCTGGGAAGAAAAAGAGGTTTAATGGGACTTATAGTTCCACATGACTGGGGAGGCCTCAGAATCATGGCGGGAGGTGAAAGGCATTTATAACATGGTGGTGGCAAGAGAAAATGAGGAAGAAGCGAAAGTGGAAACCCATGAGAAACCTATCAGATCTCATGGGACTTACTATCACAAGAATAGCATGGGAAAGACCAGCTCCCATAATTCAATTACTTCCCCCTGGGTCCCTCCCATGAGGAATGGGAGATAGAACTCAAGTTGAGATTTGGGTGGGGACACAGCAAAATCATATCATTCCATCCCTGGCCCCTCCCAATCTCATGTCCTCACATTTCAAAACCAATCATGCCTTCCCAACAGTTCCCCAAAGTCTTAACTCATTTCAGCATTAATCCAAAAGTCCACAATCCAAAGTCTCACCCGAGACAAGGCAAGTCCCTTCTGCCTATGAGCCTGTAAAATCAAAAGCAAGCTAGTTACTTCCTAGATACAGTGGGGGTACAGGTATTGGGTAAATACAGCCATTCCAAATGGAGAAATTGGCCAAAACAAAGGAGTTACAGGGCCCATGCAAGTCCAAAATCCAGCAGGGCAGTCAAATTTTAAAGCTCCAAAATGATCTCCTTTGACTCTAGGTCACAATAATGCAAGAGGTGGGTTCCCATGGTCTTGGGCAGTTCTCTCTGCCCCTGTGGCTTTGCAGGGTACAGCGTCCCTCCCAGTTGCTCTCACAGGCTGGCGCTGAGTGTCTGTGGCTTTTCCAGGCAGACAGTGCAAGTTGTCAGTGGATCTACCATTCTGGGGTGTGGAGGATGGCGGCCCTCTTCTCACAGCTCCACTAGGCAGTGCCCCAGCAGGGACTCTGTGTGGGGGCTCTGACCCCATATTTGCCTTCTGCACTGCCCTAGCAGAGGTTCTCCATGAGGGTCCTGCCCTTGCAGCAAACTTTTGCCTGGGCCCCCAGAATTTCCATAGATATTCTGAAATCTAGGCAGAGGTTCCCAAACCTCAGTTCTTGACTTCTGTGCACCCATAGGCTCAACACCATTTGGAAGCTGCCAAGGCTTGCGGCTTCCACCCTCTGAAGCCACAGCCCAAGCGGTATGTTGGCCCCTTTCAGCCATGGCTGGAGTGGCTGGGACACAGGGCACCAAGTCCTTAGGCTGCATACAACACAGGAACCCTGGGCCTGGCCCACTAAACCACTTTTTCCTCCTGAGCCTCCGGGCCTGTGATGGGAGGGGCTGCCATGAAGTTCTCTGACATGGCCTGGAGACATTTCCCCCTTGATCTTCAGGTTTAACATTAGGCTCCTTGTTACTTATGCAAATTTCTGCAGCCAGCTTGAATTTTTCCCTAGAAAATGGGTTTTTCTTTTCTATTGCATAGTCAGGCTGCAAATTTTCCAAACTTTTACGCTCTGCTTCCTTTATAAAACTGAATGCCTTTGACAGCACCCAAGTCACCTCTTGAATGCTTTGCTACTTAGAAATTTCTTCCACCAGATACCCTAAATCATCTTTCTCAAGTTCAAAGTTCCACAAATCTCTAGGGCAGGGTCAAAATGCCACCAGTCTCTTTGCTAAAACATAAGAGTCACCTTTGCTCCAGTTCCTAACAAGTTCCTCATCTCTATCTGAGACCACCTCAGCCTGGATTTTATTGTCCATATTGCTATCAGCATTTTCGGCAAAGCTATGCGACAAGTCTCTAGGAAGTTCCAAGCTTTCCCACATTTTCATCTTCTTCTGAGCACTTCAAGCTGCTCCAATCTCTGCCTGTTACCCAGTTCCAAAGTCACTTCCACATTTTCGGGTATCTTTTCAGCCATGCCCCACTCTACTCATACCAATTTACTGTATTGTTTGTTTTCACGCTGCTGATAAAGACATACCTGAGACTGGGAAGAAAAAGAGGTTTAATTGGACTTACAGTTCCACATGGCTGGGGAGGCCTCAGAATCATGGCAGGAGGCAAAGGCACTTCTAACAGGGTGGTGGCAAGAGAAAATGAGGAAGAAGCAAAAGCAGAAACCTCTGATAAGCCCATCAGGTCTCCTGAGACTTATTCACTATCACGAGAATAGCACAGGAAAGACCAGCCCCCATGATTCAATTACCTCCCCCTGGGTCCCTTCCACAACTCATGGGAATTCTGGGAGATAGAATTCAAGTTGAGATTTGGGTGGGGACACAGCCAAACCATATCACTCTTCCAAACAAACTCCAATACAATTACCAGGAATTGAACCAGAAGGAAGTCACAGATGACAAAAGGAACAACAGATGTAGCTTGGAAGCCCTTAGGATGTACCTCTTCTCAACCATGCAGTTGCTCAGCATTGGGTGGCTCCTGTCTTCTATTCCTTTATAAACACTTCCATTTTAATAGCAAGGTACTTAGATGTTTATTTCTGCATGGTCCACCTCTTCAAGCAAGGAAGGATCAAAGTCACTGGGACCAGCAGAGCAATGAACCTGGGACAGAACTAGCACCTGCCTTTTCCTTTATTTCAGATTCCGTTCAGTGTGGCCTGAAAACACCATGTGTGCCAAGTTCCAGTTCACGCCAACACATGTGGGGCTCCAGAGACTCACTGTGGAAGTGGACTGCAACATGTTCCAGAACCTAACCAACTATAAAAGCGTCACCGTGGTAGCCCCTGAACTATCAGCTTAAACTTCCAGCTCTATCACCACTCTCCTGCCAACCCTTGTTCTACAATCTAAACCAAACATGTGCTAGGAAGAGAAACTTTGCGTCTCAGTGTTTGTGTTGCTATAAAGGAATAACTGAGGCTGGGTAGTTTAAAAGAAAAGAGCTTTATTTGGCTCACGGCTCTGCAGGCTGTACAAGAAACAGTGAGGGCTTCAGGCTGCTTCCACTTATGCAGGAAGATGAAGGGAGGCAACGTGAGCAGAGATCACAGGGCAAGAATGGGTTGAGGGGTAGGGGTAAGTGCCAGGTGCCAGCCTCGTTTTAACAGCCAGCTCTGGGGTGGGGGAGGGACATATAGAGCGAGAACTTACTCATTACCCCACCAATGGAACGAAGCCATTCATGAGGGATCCAAACACCTCCCATTAGGCCCCACCTCCAACACTGGGAATCCAATTTCAGCATGAGGTTTGCAGGGTTGAATATCCAAACTACATCACTTTATCAGATAAATGAGTAGTCATTCAGGTTGAAAAGGTGCTCAGATACCTTTAAGGAGTACATTCAGATTGTTCAGGTTCAGGTTTTTTGCAACCATTTTACTGCTCATTAATACATTCATTAACTTACAGATAAGGGAAAGGACCTAACACTTAAATCATTCTAATATTTCTGATGAAGTGGGATATTATCCCAAAATGGAATTTTTAGGTAATCTTAAAATTACATTGATCAAGCTGGGCTCGGTGGCTCACATCTGTAATCCCAGCACTTTGGGAGGCTGACGTGGGCAGATCACCTGAGGTCAGGAGTTTGAGACCAGCCTGGCCAACATGGTGAAACCCCATCTCTACTAAAAATACAAAAATTAGCTGGACATGGTGGTGTGCATCTGTAGTCCCAGCTACTTGAGAGGCTGAAGCCAGAGAATTGCTTGAGAACCTGGGAGGCGGAGGTTGCAGTGAGCCGAGAGTGTGCCACTGCACTCCAGCTTGGGGGACAGAGCAAGACTCCATCTCAAAAAAAAAAAAAAAAAAAAAAAAATTACATTGATCAGTGCTTTCCCTGATCATTATCCTTAAAGATCCAAACATGACTGAACGAAGTTATACAATACAGGACCTGAGAGAATAATTCAGCTAGAGGTAAGTCTTTATATTAGAGTTCTATATTCATTAAGTATCCCACAATTAAAGTCTGATGTTAATAACATGAATTTGGTCCAGTAGAGAAATATAAAAGTATATAAAAAATAGGCTCTATATGAAAGGATAAAAGAACTAGACTGTTGTACAATGTTATTATTTTGTTTATGTTATTTTGTTGCCTTGACACTCTGTCAGTTTGATTTTAGTTCCTTCCCTTCATGACACTTGTTAACAATACAAAATGGCACTTCAAAACAGTAAGCTAAAACTCATTTGGCTTAAGGAATTTCAACCCCAACCCCAAGTATACATTAGTCACTCAAAGAATGACTGCTGTTGCTGATTATACCTAAAGACAGCAGAAAGGCATATGTTATGAATTACACCTACAAAAGGAAGATGATGGGCATGAGAGGTGGCGGAGACCTGTAGGACATGCATAATGCCCTATTCAGCTCACCAGAATATACATCATTATAGATTTACACTGCTTTCCAATATGCAGTCTTCTAGACTGATGCAAAAGTATAATTAAGTGGTGATGGTTTTGCAAAAGGATGAACTGAAAAGGCCCTTAAAATTACATAAAATCTCTTACACACTAAAAAATTTTTGATTTATAAAAATTTGGTATTTACATTTGGGGACACACGTAACCAAGGACAACACAAGTATGTATAAGGAAAATAAATCTGTTCAATAAGGTGGGCAAACCTAACAAATGAGCTCAATGCCAATATATTTTAGAGACATGGAGTAATCTGTGATAATATTCAGAAGGACTTGCTGATAATAATATATAACATGGTGAAATACTAAGATGAATTTTGGAGTCATCTTTTATAAATAAAGTGTTTTGTTCTAAATATACTTCTGATTAGAATCAGATTTTTAAACCTACAAACCCAAATGAAAGCAATGTTCTAGTCTCAATCCACTGTATTTCTGGTAAAAAGAAACTTTGGAAGGGCACTCATTTAATCACTGGCAAGTTAGCATTTTATTGAGACCATCAACATCTTTACAATGAAAACAACATACTTTACTGCAAAAAGAGAATAAGGCAGCTTTCCTAGGAATCTCTGAGAAATGACTCAGGAATGAGAAATCATGCAATTATTTTTCATATATAGCACAGAAAAATATACGCATATGGTTTATAAATAGGTGTCAATCTGGCCTAACCAACAATCTTTGGTAATAGTGTCTCTTGCTAAATATAGATAGGCACTCCCTTTCAATCCAGCAAGCATTCTAGCTCCATTTTAAAAGCAGGTATCAGAGCCTGACCATGACGATGAGAGGGGAAGAGAGTACAAATGAGCCTGAAAAGTCATAATTCAAGTTCACTCTGAGTGAGCTCCTTGATTCTATTCATGCAATGATCAATGGCATTAATAAGTAAAGGGATCCAACTATCTTCTGGCTGAGGGGTCACATGACTTGCTCTGTGAATAGAATAGGAAAGAAGTAAGTTAAACTTATTAGGATGTCAAGGGAAAACCTATCCTCAGGAGGGAGCACAGGGAAAACTAAAATTTTTTTAAAGGGAAGCTTCTTTGCAGAATCTCAGCTGCCCCACAACTGAAGCTGAAAGAAAATCCCACACCCACCCTTTCCCACTCCTTGAAATGGGAGCTAGGGAGTTGAGAACGTCTGGACAGCAGTTCCGTTTTACTCACAAAAAGCTATCTGAGAAGTCTTCATACTTACTTTGTAATTTCAAGTGCCTTCTTTAAAACAGATACAAGTTTCGCAGACTAGAAAAGAAACACAGAAGTTATTCACCCTGAGCCCTACCATAAAAAGGTGAGTTCAAATATTTTTAAAGACCCAAGTAATAAAAAAATTATTTAGAAAAAGGACCTGAAGGAAGTATGCAAAATTTAAAATGCTGATTAGGTTAGGGTGGCAGGATTACGGGTTCTTTTCTATTTAGCAAGATCTTATTAATACTATTGCTATAACATTTTAATAAGATTTTTTAGATCTAAAATATTTTCAATTTAAAAAAGGACAGAAAAAGGAAAATGTAACCTGAATTGGTCCCAAATGCTGATAGCTCAAAATATAAAGCAGAAATGACTAAGGTTCCTTTAAAAAAAAAAAAAAAAAAAAAAAAAAAAAAGCGCATTAAGAATTTTAAGAACACCAATATAAGGATAAGATGGAGACGTTTAATATAAAATATCAATACATATAAGATGCATATGCAGTACACATTTTAAAATTGCTAGAGCAGATACTATGTTTGGGATAGCTGACTAGGCATATTGCTAAAAATGTTTATTTCTTAGGAAGTCAATTTTTTAAAAGTTAATGCCAAAAAAATGTTAATGCCCAAAAGGATCCTATTCTACTTCAAGGTGTTTATACATCATGAAGACACATCTGATGAATCTAATTTCCATTATCCAATTTATCAAATATTACTAGAATTGATACATTCAATTGTAAAATATAAGCCATTTGGCAGTTTTACTGCTCTTTCCAATAACATTAGAGAGAACAGAACTCTCTCTAGTAAAGGGCACAGAACCTCAAAGAATACAATAAAATCAGATTTTTATAAGAAAGTTGACTCTCCATAGTTAAATCACACAATGTGTTTGTATTAGAACAGAGTATGTTTCTGGAACACTTATTTCTGCCTTGTCTAGAAATCAGAAACATGTGACCTCAGCCAGCTACTTCATGAACAGCTGAAGTTCAATCTAATTGCTGCCTAGTCTAGAAATTAGAAACTTGTGACTTCAAGTTGAGAAGTTCCTAAATTACCGTGTAATTAAGACTTTCTTTTCAAAGAAGCTTTTTTTTTTTTTTTTTTTTTTTTTTTTTTTTTGAGACAGAGTCTTGCTCTGTTGCTCAGGCTGGAGTGCAGTGGCGCGATGTCGGCTCACTGCAACCTCCACTTCCCGGCTTCAAGCGATTCTCCTGCTTAAGCCTTCCAAGTAGCTGGGATTATAGGTGCATGATGCCCGGCTAATTTTTGTATTCTTAGTAGAGACAAGGTTTCGCCATGTTGGCCAGGCTGGTCTCAACTCCTGACCTCCGCCTCCTGGAGTGCTGGGATTACAGGTGTGAGCTACCGCGCCCAGCCTTAAAGCATCATTTTCTAAGGCCTTTGGGCTTTTCTGAATGATTACCCAGGTGATTATGGAAGAGAGAACTACCAAAGCTCATGGCTATTATAATTCAACTTCAGTGAATATTTATCAACCCCAAACGCATGCAAGAACTGTGACATTACTGTTGTACTTCCATCCAAATGTGACTAATAAATATGTACCCTATAGCTTACAGGAAATACTAGTGATTAGTGAAATTCTGCCCATTTGTTCTGTAGCTATTCCCTCAAAGCCAGTACTTACATTGATTCGCACGGTCAGGTGACACATAGGTGGATATATGCTCAGAGCCAAATCATCCACACTAAGAGCAGAAAACAAAAGTAATCATTAACAAAAAAACGCAGCCAGGTTGTTTCTAGTACACAACTATGGATGTCAACAGTGAGAAACTGTCCCAGAAATGCCTGTCAGTTTTTAAAATTGGGCAACTGGGCAACCAATACAGAATGAGTTCAACCAGTCTTTATTGAAACAACCATACCCCATTTCACTAGGAAGCTGGGGGGGAAATTCCCTTGGTTCATAGTAGGGTGCATGATCAATTCAGTCAAAAATGTGAGGATGTGAAACCATCAGTTTAATAACTAATATAGGCAGGCAGCCTTCATCAGTGGAAGCTAAAATTAGAGTAAAATATACCTTTACTAAAGTGAGCACCACTTTAAGTGATCAAATTTAGTACCACCAATAATGAGGCAAACCAACATCATGTGCCTCCCTAATATGATAAAATGAGATGTACAAAACACTTAATTATATGATATTCTTGCAAAAATGAGAACTAACAATCACGTGAATCCAGGTTGTTGGATATTTTACAAGACAACTGTCCTGGTTTCTTTTTAAAATGTTGATTAAAAAAGACTACAAAGGATAGGAACTGTTCTAGATTTCAAGAGACTAAAGAGATGACAATTAAATGCAATGTGGGACCTTGACAGAACCCTGAATTTATATGACATTTTAGATACAGACAACTGGGGAAATCTGAATATTAGATAATACTATTATATTCAATGTCAAATTTCTTGGATGTGATAATAAGAGTAGGAATAAGAGTACTTCAGGAGATACATACTGAAGTATTTAGGGGTGAAATGTCATTGCTGTCTGCAATTTACTCTCAAAACATTCTGGAATAAATATGAAACAGTATCTCTTGAGAAATAAACCAATATAGGAAAAAATGTGAACAACAGGCAAATCTAATAGAAGGATATAGGGGTGTTCACTGAAGGTACTTTTTAAACTTTCCTATAGGTTTGAAAAATTTCAAAATATAAAAAAACTGTGAAAACCTTGAGGTGACAACACAAATTGAAATCAGAACGCTGCTGCTCAGATGTTTCAAGTGGGGATCCCGCTTACCTAGGGCTGATTTCATCAGAAATATCCACAATGTCATCCAGCTGTGCCACCTGATCCTTCTTCCCATTCTCTGCCACTAACATCCGAATTTTCTTCAGGCAGGCTTTGGATGCTCTCACCAGCGCAAGGCATGGGATTATGAGCTCTTGATCGTCCTCTGACCAATACAAGTCCTGATTGCTGGGAAACCCCAACACATCATCCTCATGATTGTGGTTGTCAGAGTTGTTCTCCTCAGTATCATTCAAGAGGCCAGAGTAAGGGTCACATTCTTCCACAGCCTAAGACATACCATGATGTATGTGAATGCAAAAAAAAAAAAAAAAAAAAAAGGCGAGGCCTATTATTATACTTTTACCACGATGTCTTAGTTGTCCAAAAATCTTAGCCAGCCACTTCACTAAGGGCTACAGAGTTGAATCACTTCATAAACCCTGTTCTCGCTCTCCTTGTCCAGTAAGGGAACACAGAGGAGTGGTACTAAATCAAACACTAACAAGCAGTGGGAGATGGAAGACAGAGGACAGTAGTGAGAATGGGACCTATCTGGTCAATGCTCAGGAAATCTCTCTTTATAATTAATTCTCATCTACTAGTCAAGGAGTTGCCTTCCAATGATGGAGGTCCCCTCACCTGCTCCATTTCTTCATGTGCATCCTTCACAAAATCCACATTCTTGGTCAGCATCAAAAGAGCTGCAGCTTTGTTATCTATGAGTGAAAAATCAGAAGCACTAGAATTAGAGGAGAAATCCAACAATTTTCTTATGACTGCAAGGAACAATCACATTGTTCCTATTGATGGGAGTGCCAAGGACGGTTGACAAGGGTGCGGGTTTAATAAAAAATTCTCACTACATCCCCTGGTATCTAGATAGGGGTTTAAAAAGCTTGTATTTTATTCACAAGAAGAAATAAAATGGTCACATGATGTTTATCATCATGGTCCTCTTGGACAACCACTGTTTTGGCCTAGCTGTCTCTACCTCATAACTGCTTCAGTGTGCTCCATAATACTACTCTTGGGGTAGGACTAGGAAAACAAACCATACTTGTTCAACAAGAGACAGCCACAGCAAGGGGGAGTGGAATTTAGAAGTATGATAACTAGAGAATGACAAAAAGTATTAATACCTACCTATTAATTTCATTAATAAAATATATATATTTCACTAGACTGTTTATATAAATTCAAATACATGTTACAAAGCTGGAAGCTAGACATGAGGTCTCTTTGCTTTGGCCAGCAGACATGGCCCACTGCCCACTTTCACTCACCTCTTGGTATCTGAGGCATCTGCTGGCACGCAACCCAGACACTGTTGTAGGAAATAAGGTCATTGTTCTCAGGGCTGGGGAAAGAAATCAGTAAGGATATATTAATAACCTAGGTTCCTGTCTCCTAAAAAGCTTCTTCCTGCTGGTCATTACTCTCAGCTGTCAGTAACTTTGCTGTTAAAATGAGCTTTTCCCCTCTGAGGCAAGGAACCCCAATAACTGGTAACCTAAACTGTGGCATCACTACCTCTGAGTTGGAGTGACGGAAAGTACTTCCATGAGCTGAGCCATGCCATCCACGATGTCCAGGGTGGCGCCCCGTACCAGCTTTCTCAGGGTGATCCCTGTGGCCAAACCCAAAGAATAAGCAACCTGGTGTTCTTTTCAGAAGCACCATCTGCTTTCCTGAGTCTAAGCATTACAGAACTATAAGGTAATGTACACCCACATGCTTTAACCTACATGCTAACACAAAACTCAGGTCTTACTTATATCCCCATGGCATTTTCTTGCCCCTCCTGCCATTCCTTAGTGTTTTCTTCAAAAGAGATTTGGAACAAAATCTTTCCGTGACACCATGTATTCATTCATTAAGGACCGTGATCTCTTAACAACTGTAGATGAAACACTTGAAGTTTAAGCCACTTGAGTAACCCTGAAGATCCATGACATGTATTCAGTTATAATTTTGGCATGATTATAATCAATGCATGATTCTACAGGCAGGGCTGGAGGCCATTTAACCTATGCAGATGTTCAGAAATAGGGTGAGATATAACATGGGTGGAGGAAAGTAAGGATGGCCTGAGCCTGCATATGGGGCTGAGAGCCAGCCAGTATCTGTGGTGTTAAAACGGGTTGAAGAGGGAGAAGGCTGTGAGAATTAAAAGCCTTATGAGTCAGGCAAGGCAGGGGAGATGGGAAGTCATAGGAACAAAGCATCTGTATCTTAGAATAATGGCTTGTTTATATAAGTCACTTACATTACAAAATTATCCTTCACTGTATTTTATGGGAGAAAGTTACATGTTCAAGTTGGGTAAAGGTAAAAGTCACAAGACATAATCCACAATATTAGCAAAGATCTACACGATAAATGCAACACTTATGTGGCTTACCCTGATCCTTTGGAAGCAAATAGTACACTGCAATAAATGCCTTGATGGCAGCATGGACTTGTTCACAGAACTTCTGGGTTTCCTATGAAAAAGGAAACAGATTAGATCAAAGTGGTCAACCCTTCTGCTGTGGAATAGAGCAGATATTTCTTTTCTTTTTCTTTTCTTTCTTTTTCTTTTTTTTTTTTTTTTTTTTTTTTTTTGAGACAGAGTCTCACTCTGTCACCCAGGCTGGAGTGCAATGGCGCAATCTTGGCTCACTGCAACCTCCACCTCCCAGGTTCAAGCAGTTCTCCTGCCTCAGCCTCCCAAGTAGCTGGGATTACAGGCACCCGCCACCACACCCAGCTAATTTTTTGTATTTTTAGTAGAGATGGGGTTTTGCCACACTGGCCACACTGGTCTCGAACTCCTGACCTCAGGTGATCCACCTCCCTTGGCCTCCCAAAGTGCTGAGATTACAGGTGTAAGCCACTGCACCCGGCCTAGGGCAGATATTTCTACAGCATCATCAAACATTTTCTGAAGTCCTGGTATGAAGGCAGGCCTACTATACTCATCACATACCAGGGAGGAGTTAGCTATATAGTAGATATTGGGCTGACAACTCAATAAACCATTAAGAAACAGCAGGAAAAAACTTATTCCTGATACTCTGTATCCCAAGATATTCATGATATCTTAGACCAGGAGCTGGCAAACTGTGGTCCTCAGGCCAAGTCAGGCCCCACTGCCTGTTTTTGGAAATGAAGTGTATTGGGACACAGCCATACTCACTGGTTTTAATGTCTGTAGTTGTGTTTGCTCTATAAGGGCAGAGTTGGGTAGTTGGTTACAAAATCTAAAATATTTACTAACTGGCCCTTTACAGAAAAGAGAGGGAGGGAGAGAGACAGACAGACCAACTGACAGACCATGGTTATTAAACCATTAACCAGGTCTCTCTCTTTTTTTAACAGAATCAGAATATGTAACTAAAGGTAACTAGCATGGACTCGACAATGCTCCATGTTAACTATTTTCCTTCTAGGTGGTCACTGGCTTTCTCATCTTCCTTGTCCTCAATTTTCTGTTAAATTCTAAGTCAATACTATACAAATGTGGTCCAGGTTGGAGCCAGTCTACAAACTGTTTGTGACCAGTCAGGGATGAGATAAGCAGTGACTGAGAGTGTTTAGAAACTTTTATGGCAATTTGACATTTATTCAACATCCGAGCACATAATTTTATTAAAGTATCATTCCATACAGATTGGAATTTAAAAAACAACAACAACAACAAAAAAAAACCAACAACCACCCATCTTTTAGTAGGACTAAAGTGGTGAGATCTCAAGAAGGCAATGATGATTCATGTGTATGTATGTGTGTATATACACACATATATACATATATGTATTTATTTGAATATATGTATATACTTGAATATTTGTATATATTTCAAATAAATCCAAATTCTAACTTTTCATCTATGAGTGAAACTACTGTCCTGAGCATGTATAGAAAATCAGTTCTATGCTGCCTCCTTGTGGTATCTTACTTGCAGTGAGTTTTAGCAGCAAGTCCTAAGTGCATTTGAAAGAAAGGGGTTAGCAGATAAGAAAAATAAGGTAATATTAACTACTCTTTTTGAAATAAGTATTTTCCATGAATCTTTTGAAGTGCTCTCATACAATTCATCTCTTGTTTCCTCATCACAAATCTCAAAGGTAGGCCAGGCACGGTGGCTCACACCTGTAATCCCAACACTGTGGGAGGCCAAGGCAGGCGGATCACTTGAGGTCAGGAGTTCGAGACTAGCCTGCCCAACATGGTGAAACCCCGTCTCAACTAAAAATACAAAAATTAGCCAGGCGTGGTGACAGGTGCCTGTAATCCCAGCTACTCGAGAGGCTGAGGCAGGAGAACTGCTTGAACCCGGTAGGCAGAGGATGCAGTGAGCCCAGACTGTGCCACTGCACTCCAGCCTGAGTGACAGAGAGAGACTCTGTCTCAAAAAAAAAAAAAAAATCTCAAAGGTATGTAGGAGGAGAGAGTTTATCACTGTAGGTACATGCAGCAGAAGATATTTATATCCTTTCCAAACACCTATATATGTAGACTGAAAAATTAAAACAATTGACTATGAAAATCAAATAAGGCAATGAATATGCCATTTTAAAAGAATCTTACTCCTATATTAAGCATACACAACTCTAGAAAAACTGAGCATAGAGCATACGTGGTCATAGCCAACATGTTTACTTTCATTAGTTTTATAATAAAGGAATATTTAAAATGCATAAATCTTTGTTCTAGCAATTCTACTTCCGGGAATTTTTTCTACCAATATACACACATACACAGAATTAGGTAATTCATCACGACACTGTTTGCAGTAATTCTAAGTTGGAAGGTCCAGAACAGTGTTTATGTATCATTTGTGTAAAAAGAAGCTGACACATACAGATAAATGTATATGAATGTATATATGCACAGAATATACGTGGAATAATGCAAAAGGAACTGGGGGAGACAAAAATGAGAAAGTGGGTGGAAAGGTAAACTTAACACACTTTGATATCTGTTGAATTTTGTACTATCTACATATGTTACTGATTAAATATAAAAAATAATATAAAAAGGGTATTATGCAGTATAACAGAATAGGTAGCTTAGACATCAGATAGACCTTGATTTAAATTCTAGCCCCCCTGCTTTTTTTTAAATCTTAAGCTGAGCTTCTGAGCCTCCTTGCTCATCTGTCAGATGGCCATCAAGTATGTGAAAACACCCAGCAAATAAAAAGTGCTTAAAAAATTATCAGAAGGGAAACAACCAGGATAAACTTCAGACTGAACCAATATTTATAAGACCTGCCTACTCCGCGCCAGGAACTGCACTTGGCAATTCGGTCTTCACAACAATCCTGTGAAGTAAAAACGGTAACCTCACTGGACAGATGAAGAAAAGAAATCTCCTGGCGTGCGTGCAAAAGGTGGAAAGAAAATTAGAGGATTCCTAAGGTGTAACTCGGCAGCCCAAGGATTCCACGAAAGTGAAGCCCACCTGTGGAGACGGCAGTGGAAGCTGAGAGAAGACTATGGTCAGAGTCGTGGCTTCCCTTGACACAGTCACAGCTGCCTCATCTGGGGGGTGGCCGAAGAGGAGGCAGGTGCCAATACGTTAGTGCTGCACGGACTTGGAAGACTTCCCTTACCGACCGAGACTTCTCAAAAACACTTCCCGAATGTCGAGGTTAGAATTCTATTTCACCCTCTCAGGTGCTGAGGTGGGTAAGGTACCTCACAGAAAGGATGCAGCGGGGGAGAGCAGTCCCCTCCGTGGGGGACAGCGGGAGGAAAAGGGGTCGGGACGCTGGAGGAACTGAGGCAAGGGGAGCCCGGAAGGAGGCGCACTCACTGAGTCTTCTCCAGAACATCTCTCGATTAAACTCCTCGGTGGTCTCCTGGGCTTCGCCGACTTGTGGGTGTGGCGTGTGGGGGCCGAACGGTGGCGAATGGAAAAGCTGAGGTAAGCGGAGCCACCTCCCTCGCCCAAGCCCGGCTCCCCGCCGCCGCCCCAGCCCGCCCTCTCCGCGACCCCGAGCCCGGCCTCTCCCCGACCCCGAGCCCGGCCTCTCCCCGACCCCGAGCCCGCCCCTGCCGTCGCCCGTTCTAACTCCGTCAGCTCACCCCGCACTCGAGGCAGGAGCAACCGCAGCTCCTCCGCCAAGTGCCGGAGCTGCTCCAAAGGCGAAGCCAGGGTGGGGACTGCGGCTGCAGGTGCAGTTGCGCTCGCCATCTCAGTCGCTTGCCGAAGGCCGCAAACACAGGCCTCCGCTGCCACTGCCGGAGCCGCACTGCGACAGCCGCTCCACTTCCGGGCCACAGCGTCAAGGGCTCGTTTCCGTCAACAAGCCGTCCAGCCCCGTCCCAGAGGCCCTGCCCTGCCTCCTCCCGCCACGAGGCCCGGCCCCGCCCGAGGTCCAGCACCACCCATCCCGTTATCAGAGACCAGGCCTGGCCCCGCCTCCTCCCGCCCCGCCCTGTCCCCTGAGGTACAGCACCAACCATCCCACTCTCAGAGGCCAGGACAGGCCACGCCTTCTCTTGCCCCTTAGGCCAGGCTACACAAGCAAGCCTCAGGCTCACCGTCTTTCTTATTCATCATTCATTCATTTATTTGATTAGTTGAAAACACTTCCGACTAAGGAAGCAGAGAGCCCACAATCCTGTGGGAAAACAGGCCTGGGAACTAATATCTCAGGGGTAGTGAGGGTCGGGCCCAGATCCTCAAAGGTTCCCTGCCCCTGAAATTGCACCTTTGACAGCTGCTGAATTCCAAGCACAGCGGTAAGTGCTTTACATGGGGTAACCCTAAAAAACACACTGGGCCTCAGACACTCCCGTACACACACCCAACCTCTACCCTGTGGATGTCCTAGATAAGGGTTTTCTCTTCACAAAGGTAAATCAACTCTTTGCCTCCTTAGGGAGGGAAGGAATAAAGGCATTATTTTTGAGACTTTTCTGCAGTCCATTCTGCAGGTATCAGTAGTGGGTAATCCCTCCAACGTCCAGGACTCCAAACGAGCAGCTGCTCCCTAAAGCTCACCCACCAATCCTGGCCCTCCACCTGCTACTGGGGTAGAGGCCTGGGCTACAGACACAGAGGCTGGGCTTCTGCCCAGCTGCCAGTGGTGAGACATGGCCTTCAGGAGCTCAGGTGGCTTTTTAACTGCACCATGAAGATTCCAAACTTGGTGGAGTTCAGTGTCCACACATAACGAATGAGAACAGGTGTCAGCAGTGTCAACCAGGTCCGCAAAGGGGAGAATAAAAAAGCTAGGGTGCCGTATGTTGCATAAAGAAAGTAGCAGGAATAAACCTGCCAGATGTACAGCAGTAGCATAAGTAGGTGAACAGGCATAATTTTCAAGTATTTTCTTTGATGGAGATGAGACCTGAAGTTGTGACCAAAGCACCGCTGCAGCAAGCTCCAACACATGTAAGCCATCAAGGGGATGTTAAAAAACGCCAGCTGGAAAAGAACAGAACCATAGCTTACTCCCAAGTCCTTGGAAGAGTTTGGTCTTAATAATGCATTATTAGTGGATCCTAAGACTATGCTGCTATCTGTCTTGGCGTTAGCTAATTTACTTCAAGCACAGTTGCTTATAACACAACAGCTGACTTGTGGCTAGTTGTGTATTTGCCCATGTCCTTTTATTCATCTTAGAGGCAGGTATCATTTAATTTATGCTGAAGTCCCAACTTGTAGTACAGTATCATATACACAGTTAATACCCAATGGTGTTAAGCTGGAATTGAACTGAGTAAATGTATACACACACATACAACAACCCCTCTTTTTTGGTGGAGTGAGGGGAGGACTTGGCTATCAGTATTTTTTTTCTTACCTCCATTTTTGTTTGAGGTAGCATGATAAGTACTGGAATATAAATTAGAGTATCTAAATTATAATCCAAGTTGAGCTGCTGTATGATTCATTCATTTAACAAATATTTATTGAGCACCCATTATGTAGCAGGCATGAGCTAGGCTCCAAGTTGGGGACACAATGGCAAACAAGTTAGAAAAGGTCCGTCATAGAGCTTACATTCTAACAGGGAGAAGACAGACAAAAAAAAAAACCAAAAAATATAATTACAGATCGTGATTAGTTCAATGAAGGAAAGAACTGGGTCATGAGAAGGTAACTGGGAGAAAGGCTCTCAGAGGCCAGAAGGACAAGAATGAATCAGCGGAGGGAAGTGCATTCTAGGCAGAAGGAACAAATGAAAAGCCCAGAGGTGGGAGAGGTCTTGGCCTCTTTAAGGAAGTGCATGCAGAGCATGAGCCAGGTGGAAATTGGGGCAGTCGGCAGGACCCAGATCACTGCTCTGCTTCAAAGCATTTCAAGCTGAAAAGTAAGTGAGCTGATTGTAAAGTTTTTAAAAGAGCACACTGGATGCTCTGTATTAAGCTGAGAGTAAGGAGGCAAGAATATCAGGGAGAAGACCCAGGCAAGAAATAATTACAACTTAGATTAGGAAAACAGAAATGGAGAGAAGTGGATGGATTCAAGATATGCATTGGAAGCAGATCAAATAAGGTAGAGCTTGCTGGTGAAATAGATACAGGGTATGAAGGAAAGGGAATAATTGAGGATACATCTTGGAGAAATCAGGTGAATGGTGGAGTCATTTATTAAAACTGGAAAAACAGAGAGGAACAGGTTTGGGGTGGAAATAATGTTCCTATCAGAGAGACATCACATGAAGTTGAGATGCCTGTTAGACATCTGTGGCCATTGGATATAGAGGCACTTGAAGTGCAGAGAAGAGGTCTAGATCAGAGATATAGATTTGGGATTCATGGGTCTGGATGATACATAAAATCCATTATTAGTGTACTATTTATTAGAATATGAATGTAAACATTTACAAAGGAAAAAACCCTGCCTTTTGGTAAGGCTCAGGATTCATTTGGTATGAGAGAGCTCCTTAGAGACAGCCTCCATCAACATAATAGAAAACTGCAATGAGGCTGGGTGCAGTGGCTCACGCCTGTAATCCCAGCACTTTGGGAGGCCGAGACGGGCGGATCACCTGAGGTCAGGAGTTCGAGACCATCCTGGCCAACACAGTGAAACCCTGTCTCTACTAAAAATACAAAAATTAGCCGGGCATGGTGGCAGGCACCTGTAACCCCAGCTACATGGGAGGCTGAGGCAGGAGAATCACTTGAATTAGGGAGGCAGAGGTTGCAGTGAGCCGAGACGATGCCATTGCACTCCAGCCTGGACGACAAGATCGAGACTCCATCTCAAAAAAAAAAAAAAAAAGAAAAGAAAAGAAAAGAAAACTGAAATGAACCCAGGACCTACTCATGTATATAATGCTGCTATGCAGAGAATATTCTGGACTTGGGTCAGTGTTTGCTAGGCAGAAGTCTTTCCTACTTGGCTGTCTCTAATCCTGTTGGATCATGTTCTACTGCCCTGTTAGAAGGCCATGAACTTATTTTGAATGTTTTTGGATCTCTTCCAAAACTTCAAATTTTGGTCCACTAACTCCATTAGGTGAGTAAAATAAAGAAACTGTTAGATAAATACTTTTCAAATCTGTTTATGTAGTTTTTCTATGGATCAAGGTTCTTTGTGTGTTTATTTTAAAGGAATCAAATGTAAACCTAATACATCAGTTTGTTTCCTAAACAAGTACATTGCTAGGAAAGCCCAGGTCTGGTTTTTGAATAATGCAGTTTCCACTGAATAACTGACCCATTTTTTTAATGTGTCTATTTTTTAGTTTCCTCCCTCTAAAATATTTTCCTTCTTCATCATCATAATCAGTTTTGGTTTACTCAGAAATCTAAAACTTTTTCTACCATAATCCCTTGTTTCATTTTTTTGTCAATGAAAAAGCACAGTGAAACAAAAACAACAAAAACTTCTTTCACCTCTTATAAACACTTCATGACAAAAATGTATTTTAGGCTAGGCATGGTGGCTCACGCCTATAATCCTAGCACTTTCGGAGGCCAAGGCAGGTGAATCATCTGAGGTCAGGAGTTCGAGACCAGCCTGGCCAACATGGTGAAACCCTGTCTCTACTAAAAGTGCAAAAATTAGCCAGGCATGGTGGCACATGCCTGTAATCCCAGCTACCCAGGAGGCTGAGGCAGGAAAATCGCTGGAACCCAAGAGGTGGAGGCTGCAGTGAGCCAAGATTGCACCACTGTGCTTCAGCCTGGGCGACAGCAGAACACTGTCTTGGGGAAAAAAAAATGTATTTTAGATGTTTACATGAGAGTGGTGGAAGGAGTTTAGGAAGCACTTTAAAAGCAAATGAAGCTTTTATTAAAGACTGCCCTGCAAGTAAAGTAGGAAAGATGATCTATGGTACTTAATTCTGGATTTTGGATTTAATTCATAACTGTTATGCAATTAGTCTGACAAGTCCAAGATGTTCTTAAATTGCTTTTCTGACTTCTTACCTGGAGAATTCCAATTATAAATGTTATGCTGCCTTGTAGGAAATGTCCATTAACAAATATCCCAAAGGAAAAGCAGCAACCAAATTTGCCATCAATGATTTCACCAAAAAACCATGGACCTAAAAGAGGCAATGGACAAAAAAGGAGGAGATTAAATAACTATAATTCTGATTACATATATCATGAGATACATTTATAGGAATAAAGCAGAGATATGAGACTAGCCATCTATAAGCATTTTATTTCATAGCCTTCCCTCTTTGCTAGTCTCTGTGTTGTACTTGATATCCTTGCTAACCAACTATTTTTTGGATTGTGAAATTGTCTTAGTAGACACTATACCTAGAACAGATATGTGTCTTATAGATTCTAGAAACAAAAAAAGCACACTCACATTTTTGAAAATTCCATTGCAATAATAACCTCAATATAATGCATTAACATTTCCTTTAAGATGTAAAGAGGTATTCCACAGAAGTTAAATTTCCAGATGATTGAGATTTACTCCTTAAAGCAAAAAAACTTCAACTACTTTTTGAAAGAAATCTTTCTAAGATGCACTCGTTAATATAATGAATGTATTTTAACCTCTTCTTGAAGGCCCACAGTCATTACTTTGTATATCAACTACATAATCACGGTTACCATGTAGAAAGTTTAACTTGCTTCAGTTTTCTCATCTGGAATGCCATGCTGACTTTTCTATCCTCCCTATTATTATTTACTGCCCCATTCTCAGTGTGTGAGTTTCTAGGTATTATTATTATTATTATTGTCATTTTGTCTTGTAAGTGTGCTGGTCTCCATAAGAGTGTCAAGTTGTTTGTCAAGAGTGATAAGGGACAGTTAGATTTCCGTTTGCAAAATGCAAATACTAGGCCAGGCAGGGTGGCTCATGCCTATAATCCCAGCACTTTGGGAGGCCAAGGCCGGCAGATCACCTGAGGTCAGGAGTTCAAGACCAGCCTGGCCAACATGGTGAAATCCTGTCTGTACTAAAAATACAAAAATTAGTCAGGTGTGGTGGCACATGCCTGTAATGCCAGCTAGTCGGGAGGCTGAGGTAGGAGAATTGTTTGAACCCAGGAGGCAGAGGCTGCAGTGAGCCAAGATTGCACCACTGTACTCCAGCCTGGGCAACAAAGCAAGACTACATCTCAAAAAAAAAATGCAAATACCATCATTTGCTGGCAAGAATAGGGTTCAGCTTTAAAAAGTCAGAGGCAATTTTCTCAGATATACTTTATATAAACTGCATTAAAGACATATGAGTCTAAAAAGGTGTTTTGTCTTCAGATTTCAACTTTCTGAATGGAACAATTCTTCCCTATTAATGTATTTTGTTTTGTTTTGTTTTACAGCCCAGGAACCAAATTACTTGCTTTACCTCATTGTGTAAGACAAGCGTCAAAAACAGCTTCAACCTATCTTGAACAAGAGAACTTACCTCCAAAGGTGATCTGCCATAGCTTACACAGAATCATAAAGTGTTATATTTTCATTTGTTCTCTGGTGGGAGTTACTAATGAGCAAAGTGCAAAGGGAGGATAAAAGTGTAAAATAAAGACTAAGACTAGGCAACAAATAGGCTAATGTACTCCTAATTGACTTTTAGTCACTAAGAAACATAAGCAAAAAAGCCTAAAAGATTTATGGTGATTTCTGCTTTTATAAGTGTGGCTAAGTGACTTTATAAGTACAGTCATGCATTGCTTCACCATGAGGATGCATTCTGAGAGATGTGTCCTTAGGCAATTTTGTCCTTACATATCATACACAAACCTACATGATATAGTCTATTATATACCTCCAGCTCCACTAGAGTCTTATGGGACCACCACTGTATATGTGGTCCCTTGTTGACTGAAATGTTTGTCATATGCCACATGATACTACTGGGTATAATAATACAACAGAAGAGTGCAGATATGCCTGAACTATTGCTCATCTCAGTTTCTCTCTTTTTTGAGCTGAATTTTTGAGAGCCACACATTAGTAAATATTCAATGAACTACATACTAAGCAAAATAGGCAAAATACCAATGGATAGATATATATACTTTTTTTTTAGATGGCGTCTTGCTGTGTTGCCCAGGCTGGATTTGACCTCCTGGACTCAAGCAGTACTCTCGCCTCAGCCCCCAAGTAGCTGGAACTACAGGCATGAGCCACCGTACCCGCCTACCAGTGAATATTTTAATGAGTTAATAGATAATAAACACAGAAGATAGGTATAAATTCTGATAAAGGTAATGATGGAAGTAAAACCTGTGATGAGATATAGACTAAAACTTTAAGATAGACAAAGAAGGTTGCTCTGAGGAGGTGCTATTTAAGCTTCTATTAGGTTTCTACACAAATACTAATTCTGTAGCAGTCTTCTCAGCACCCTTAAGTTAACTTGGTGTTAACTAAATGTCCTTTAAACATGTTAGGCACGAGCTTTATTTTCCAAAACCATGTCCCAGAAAATGATTTATGAAGAATCCATGAGCCATTTGTTATACCCTCAAGAGTCTAATTCTATTGTCAAAATTGTTAATATATTCTTTGGCAAAATTCCCCATAATCTGTACTAATTTACTTACCCAGCACTGTATACAGGGTCAACAACAACACAGAATAGTAGAAGATGTTTATTTTGCTCAAGACATGAAGAGAAAATGAGGTCAGATTTATAAACCCTGAAGGTTCTAAAAAACATAAAGTTGAAAAACCCAGTGAACACATGCAAAGTTCAGTTTCTTTATGACATTTTCTAGAAGATTTTCATGGGCTATCTACCATATATTCAGCAAATCCTTTGTTAGATGGTAACTATACAGATGACACCACTTTAAATTCAGAATTTGGCAGGAATCCTGGTGAGACAGTTCACTTAGAATTGCAAAAGGCAGAGAGTTCGAAGAAATGGTGTAGTTGTGAGATATTTTATATATATCATAAGATACATAATTGTTATATATATCACAATATATCGAACTCATATATATATGCACATATATGTACATATACATATATATATAATAACTGAAAGCAATGGACACACCTACCAGAGCACCATACTATTTTATCTTTATATAGGTTTGAAAGATAGTGGTTTGTTCAAAGGATGATCAAGTCTCTGTTTTCTATGGAATTTAGTGTCCAAATGTACAAACTTCAAAAAGGTATATCAAAATACTTCAAAAGTAAATTAAAAGAAATATCAAAATATCTTCATTCTAATCATAAATATGAGTATCTGTCCAAATATGGTCCTTTCCTATACATTATACAGTTCTTTTTTTTTAATTTTTATTATTATACTTTAAGTTTTAGGGTACATGTGCACAATGTGCAGGTTAGTTACATATGTATACATGTGCCATGCTGGTGTGCTGCACCCATTAACTCGTCATTTAGCATTAGGTATATCTCCTAATGCTATCCCTCCCCCTGACCCCACCCCACAACAGTCCCCAGAGTGTGATGTTCCCCTTCCTGTGTCCATGTGTTCTCATTGTTCAATTCCCACCGATGAGTGAGAACATACGGTGTTTGGTTTTTTGTCCTTGCGATAGTTTACTGAGAATGATGATTTCCAATTTCATCCATGTCCCTACAAAGGACATGAACTCATTTTTTATGGCTGCATAGTATTCCATGGTGTATATGTGCCACATTTTCTTAATCCAGTCTATCGTTGTTGGACATTTGGGTTGGTTCCAAGTCTTTGCTATTCTGAATAGTGCCACAATAAACATACATGTGCATGTGTCTTTATAGCAGCATGATTTATAGTCTTTTGGGTATATACCCAGTAATGGGATGGCTGGGTCAAATGGTATTTCTAGTTCTAGATCCCTGAAGAATCACCACACCAACTTCCACAATGGTTGAACTAGTTTACAGTCCCACCAACAGTGTAAAAGTGTTCCTATTTCTCCACATCCTCTCCAGCACCTGTTGCTTCCTGACTTTTTAATGATTGCCATTCTAACTGGTGTGAGATGGTATCTCATTGTGGTTTTGATTTCCATTTCTCTGATGGCCAGTGACGGTGAGTATTTTTTCATGTGTTTTTTGGCTGCATAAGTGTCTTCTTTTCACATAGCAGATTTGGTCTTTTCACATAGTCCCATATTTCTTGGAGGCTTTGCTCGTTTCTTTTTATTCTTTTTTCTCTAAACTTCCCTTCTCGCTTCATTTCATTCATTTCATCTTCCATCGCTGATACCCTTTCTTCCAGTTGATCGCATCGGCTCCTGAGGCTTCTACATTCTTCACGTAGTTCTCGAGCCTTGGCTTTCAGCTCCATCAGCTCCTTTAAGCACTTCTCTGTATTGGTTATTCTAGTTACACATTTGTCTAAATTTTTTTCAAAGTTTTTAACTTCTTTGCCTTTGGTTTGAATTTCCTCCTGTAGCTCGGAGTAGTTTGATCGTCTGAAGCCTTCTTCTCTCAACTTGTCAAAGTCATTCTCCGTCCAGCTTTGTTCCATTGCTGGTGAGGAACTGTGTTCCTTTGGAGGAGGAGAGGCGCTCTGCTTTTTAGAGTTTTCCAGTTTTTCTGCTCTGTTTTTTTCCCCATCTTTGTGGTTTTATCTACTTTTGGTCTTTGATGATGGTGATGTACAGATGGGTTTTTGGTGTGGATGTCCTTTCTGTTTGTTAGTTTTCCTTCTAACAGACAGGACCCTCAGCTGCAGGTCTGTTGGAGTTTGCTAGAGGTCCACTCCAGACCCTGTTTGCCTGGGTATCATCAGTGGTGGCTGCAGAACAGCGGATTTTCGTGAACCGCGAATGCTGCTGTCTGATCGTTCCTCTGGAACTTTTGTCTCAGAGGAGTACCCGGCCGTGTGAGATGTCAGTCTGCCCCTACTGGGGGTGCCTCCCAGTTGGGCTGCTCGGGGGTCAGGGGTCAGGGACCCACTTGAGGAGGCAGTCTGCCCATTCTCAGATCTCCAGCTGCGTGCTGGGAGAACCACTGCTCTCTTCAAAGCTGTCAGACAGGGACATTTAAGTCTTCAGAGGTGACTGCTGTCTTTTTGTTTGTCTGTGCCCTGCCCCCAGAGGTGGAGCCTACAGAGGCAGGCAGGCCTCCTTGAGCTGTGGTGGGCTCCACCCAGTTCGAGCTTCCCGGCTGCTTTGTTTACCTAAGCAAGCCTGGGCAATGGCGGGCGCCCCTCCCCCAGCCTCACTGCTGCCTTGCAGTTTGATCTCAGACCGCTGTGCTAGCAATCAGCGAGACTCCGTGGGTGTAGGACCCTCCAAGCCAGGTGCGGGATATAATCTGCTGGTGCGCTGTTTTTTAAGCCCATCAGAAAAGCGCAGTATTAGGGTGGGAGTGACCCAATTGTCCAGGTGCCCTCTGTTACCCCTTTCTTTGACTAGGAAAGGGAACTCCCCGACCCCTTGCGCTTCCCGAGTGAGGCAATGCCTCGCCCTGCTTCGGCTCACGCACGGTGCGCTGGACCCACTGTCCTGCGCCCACTGTCTGGCACTCCCTAGTGAGATGAACCTGGTACCTCAGATGGAAATGCAGAAATCACCCGTCTTCTGTGTCACTCACGCTGGGAGGTGTAGACCGGAGCTGTTCCTGTTCGGCCATCTTGGCTGCCAGCGCTTTCCCTATTTCTACAGTTCTTAACGCACAGCTAACCTCTTACTCCAACTGAAAGGCTTCCCTAAACTTTCCAAATTAACGTGCTTTTAAAATACAGTGCCAAAAAGCCCAAGTGTAAGGGCTTGACTCAGAGAAGCTCCATTCTGCGGCCACAGTCTACAGTACCACAGATCCTCAGCCCCAACCAGCCATGTCACCCATGCATGTGGCTGGCCATAAACCAGTCAGCTGAGGACTATGAAAGGAAGTTCAGTATACACTGAGCAACACTACTGGTAAAAAATATTTAAAGGACTAGTCTCAATGAAAGACAGTCTGATGTAAGTTAAATAAGTCATGTCTTTGCTAAAAGACCAGCACATTCATTTTATACTTATAACCTTGCTCAGCCTAACACTTCATTTTATGCAAAGCCTGATAATGCATGACCTTTCCTACTTTGTGTTACTCTCTCAGCTTCTTTTTTGTTCTAGTCTGTACTTCTCAAAGTATTAGCCTACATATTCAGATAGAATAATAATTATTTATTATTTTAAAAAATCCTTTAGCCTTAGAGGCAGCTATTCTTTAAATTTTAAGTAATTATTCTCCATTTTGGCTGCACATTAGAATAACCTAGGGGAACTTTTAGAAAATACTCATGCTTGTATCTCACCCTCCAGAGATTCTGATTTAATTTGCCTGGGGTAGAGGGAGATCTTAGGCAGCAACCCAGTGATTCTAAGCAGTCAGGATTGAGAAATACTGCTTTAGACAAAGCCGTGCTTCTCAGTCTTGACTGCACATTGGAATCATCCAGGGAGCTTTAAAAGATACTGATGCTTAGGTCCCACCCTAGAGATTCTGATGTAATTGGTATAGAATGCTGTTATAGCTATTGAAATTTCAGAAGTTCCCCCAGCAGTTTCTAAGGTACGACCAAAGTGGAAAAGTCTTGTTTAGAGGAAAGAACTGACCTGGGGTCAGAAGCCTTGGGTTTGGAGTCTCTCCTCTATCTCTTATTAGCTATGAAACCTTGGACAATTTACATAACCTCCCAAAACCTTTGTTTTCTAATCTTTAAAATGGGGTCAATAGCACCTACCTCACATGATTGTTTTAAGGATTAAGTGAAACAATGTAGGTTAAAATATGTTTCAAATTTAAATAACTATATAAAAATATTGAGAGCCCCCATATAAGAGGCTGGGGACTTCAAATATTTATTTACTTACATTATGTTCAGGAAAATACACATGTATAATAATGCTTCTTGAACTTTTTCGTAGAATTTTTAAAATAAATATAAGAAGAAAAACAT
The DNA here is from genome assembly GCF_000001405.40 of Homo sapiens. Classification (NCBI taxonomy): domain Eukaryota; kingdom Metazoa; phylum Chordata; class Mammalia; order Primates; family Hominidae; genus Homo; species Homo sapiens. Next base: position 43,174,392 of record NC_000015.10, on the reverse strand, counting down.
TCAGTAGGATGTGTACTGTACCTATTCAGTTAATCATGTTACTGTTTAATCATTACTACAATACTCCCCTTCTCTATCATCAGTCCTTAATCCCAGGGATTTCATCCAAATTAAGAAGGGATCAGGAAAATTTGATTCAACAAGTATTTATTGTCTATTATACACAAATTTGGTGCTGGGGGCTGTGGGAAACAGAAGAGAATTAGGAAGCAAGAGTTCCTGCATTGAAGACAGGCACAGTGGCTCAAGCCTGTAATCCCAGCACTTTGCGAGTCTGAGGTAGGCGGATCCACCTGAGGTCAGGAGTTTGAGACCAGCCTGGCCAACATGGTGAAACCCATCTCTACTAAAAAAAAAATACAAAAATTACCTGGGTGTGGTGGTGCATGTCTGTAGTCCCAGCTACTTGGGAGGCTGAGGCAAGAGAATTGCTTGAGAACCCATGTGGCAGAGATTGCAGTGAGCTGAGATCATACCACTGCACTCCAGCTTGGGGTTCACAGCGAGACTGTCTAAAAAAAAAAAAAAAAAAAAAAAGTTCCTGCATTGAGGAACTTATCTGGTTAAGGAGAAAATGTATATACATTCGAAGTGGTTATATAAAGCAAAGTGGCTGTCTAATTAAGTATAGAATTAATTGTGAGAAAGGACTATAGGGATTCAGATAAGCAAGAGCTCATTATGACCTGGAATGGCTGGAGAAAACAGTATGATAAAGGAGGTCTTCAGGTAAGCCTTACAGGAGGCTAAGATTTAGATAAGTTTAGAAAAATAACTTAAAGTAGGGATAATACTATGAGAAAAATACAGAAGCAGAAATGAGCATGGCACGTATAGGGAACAGTGAAAAAGTATCTAGGCTAAAATACAGGTAACTGGTTGAAGACATGGCTAGTTAAATAAGACTAGACTGTGGAAGATTTTTAGTGTCTTGCAGAGATGTCTGACCTTTATTCAGTGTGTTCTGGAAAGCCACTTAAGGCTTTTGCATACAGAAGTGATCTATGGATGAGATGCCATAAGAAGGATAATTGGCTAATAATGAAGAGGATGAATTAGATAGAGAGACTGGATATAAGAGCAGCAGTTAGGAGTCTATTCAGGAATCCAGAGAGGTGATACTGACATGGCATTGGTGACCTCTCAAAAGGAAAAGGAACATTTGAAGAAATAATTAATGGGTTGTTTTGTTTTTTTGAGATGGAGTCTCACTATTTTGCCCAGGCTGGAGTGCAGTGGCGCAGTCTTGGCTCACTGCAACCTCAGCCTCCTGAGTAGCTGGGATTACAGGTGCATGCCACCACACCCGGCTATTTTTTGTATTTTTAGTAGAGACAAGGTTTCACCATGTTGGCCACGGTGCTCTAGAACTCCTGACCTCAAGTGATCCATCCACCTTGGCCTCCCAAAGTACTGGGATTACAGGCATGAGCCACTGCACCTGGCCTGAATTAATGAGTTTTAATATGTTGCCATTAGGAGTGAAGACTGATGCTTACTGAAAAATGACTAGATTTTTAAGGTAAAAACTGTAGTAAGGTCTTCCTGTAAGGTCTTTATTTTTGATAGTCTATATGTTTTTATTTTTTTAATATCAGTATATGTATATATTTTTCTATCAAAATATAGTGATTTCAAATGCCTGAAAGTTCATGTGACTTAAGTAAATCTTTCATAAAATACCTGATTTTAAATTTGTTGATAAAAACAGAAATGTCTTCAGAATTGTCAGCATACATTTTTTGCCTGGGTTTACTGATCAGATAGTTTTGCATTTCTCTGTGCTAGATGTTTTAAGCAGGATTTGACCAAAAGGTCACAAAACTATATATCCAGCCTAAAATCAGAATGATCTTTGTGTAACTCTTTGATAAGTAAAACTAATTTAATATAGTTGATTTAATGAAGATAGCTGTTTTCAGTTTTTGGCAAAATATTTATATAATTAGCTTTAAGATTTCTACTTAGGTGAACACCCGAAATTCACATGCTGTAAAACTGATTAACAGAAAGATACCTTGACATAATGACTAACTCTATCTAATATCTTAGTTTTCATAAGTAATCTATGTGTAGTTAAAAAATAAGTTAGATGAATGTAAATGGGATAAATTTATAAATGAACTTTTCATGTGATTTTAAATCCTAAAGTTACATTATATTAAATTAAGTAATAGATACTCATGAAATGTCTGAGTCATTTCTAAGTAAGATAAAATACTGAAACATAAATTGCTAAACATTAGTATAAGTTGGTTCTTGGTTTCTTAAATTGCATAGAAAGACAAAACATACTTGGGTCTATTAGTAAATAGTAAACTCCACATTCAAAAATTGTTCCATAAAAAATTTTTTTTAGAGATTATAAACTATATATTCATGAGATGTTAATATATAACAGTTCAAAATTACTTACTTCCAGAGTAACCTAAAGCTTAAGGTTACTAAAAATTAAGTTTTTATTAAGGCTGGGCACAGTGGCTCATGCCTGTAATCCCAGCACTTTGGGAGGCTGAGGCGGGTGGATCATGATGTTAGGAGATTGAGACCAAGCTGGCTAACATGGTGAAACCCTGTCTCTACTAAAAATGCAAAAAATTAGCCAGGCGTGGTGGTGGGCGCCTGTAGTCCCATCTACTTGGGAGGCTGAGGCAGGAGAATGGCATGAACCCAGGAGGCAGAGCTTGCAGTGAGCTGAGATTGCGCCACTGCACTCCAGCCTGGGGGACAGAGCGAAATTCCAGGTCACACACACACAAAAAAAAAAAAAAAAAAAAAGTTTTTATTAATATGAAACTGTTTTTATATGAGAAAGAATTTTATGTGGTCTCAATATAAAGGAATAAAAAAATTTTAAGTAATTTTTTTGTCTTATGGTAAAATAATTAGTTATTCCAATATAAAAGTGGGGAAAATACAGGACAAAGACTAGGAGTTTAGGAGAATAATGGAAGGTCTAAGCAAGTTGTGGAAGGTTTATGAAGGATGGGTCCTGTAATGGAAGTTTTATATCATCAGGATGGTTGGAATTTGAAGGGAACTTTTTTTTTTTTTTTAAGGACAGAGTCTCGCTCTGTTGCCCAAGCTGGAGTGCAGTGACATGATCTCGGCTCACTGCAACCTCTGCCTCCCAAGTTCAAGCAATTCTCATGCCTCAGCCTCCCGAGTAGCTAGGACTACAGGTGTGTGCCACCATGCCTGGCTAATTTTTGTATTTTTAGTGGAGATGAGGTTTCACCATGTCGGCCAGGCTGGTCTTGAACTCCTGATCTCAGGTGATCTGCCCGTCTCGGCCTCCCACAATGCTGAGATTACAGGCGTGAGCCACTGTGCCCAACCATAAGAGGTTTTGACTTAATTCTAAAATCTGTTTCTTTAAAATTTAATTTTCAAGCATCTTCTGAACTGCAGCTTTAGAGTTTATAGGCCAGTGTTTTCCTCCGATATAACTTGATTCTGTACTCTTGGCTTTTCTTGATGTTTCTGAATTGCCCATATAACCAGGAAATTTCCCATGCTTTTTCTAAGAGCGCTGTATTCCCCTGCTCAAGGTACTAGTTTTCTTGTTTATGTCCCTCTATAATATAGTGTGTACATATAACCTTGGATGCATGCTCTTCCTATGTCTGATTATATTTAAGTATCTTTCCATCAGGTTTCACTTCCAGGTTATCTAAACAGGCTTCCCATAAGGAGGAGCAATCACACTTCAGGAAGGTTTTTTTCTTTACTTTTTTGGGAACTGACCTAAGAAACAAAGATTTTACATATTATCAAGATAATTTCCTATGTTTCATATTATCCTTATTAGTTTTTTTTTAATTTCTTAGGAAAACTGAGCTTTGAAAGGTTTTTGTTTACAGCCACAGAACTTTCTGCATTGTTTATGAAGTCTTTTAATTGTCTCTCTGTTTAAGTGAGTGACTATTACTTCACAATGACATCTATTCCTATTCTGACCAAGTGTTTTAAACCTTTTGACATCTTTGGCATGCCTCCCAAGGATCAAGTTATAAATTAAATCTTTTTTGACCTTGAACTAATTTTGGGATATCTCTTGGCCAAGGGGACCCCAAAGAAACCTTAAAAATTGAGTTCTCAGCCACGATGGAAAGGGAGGTCAGACACACCTTGTCATACTCCCTCCCTTTTAGAGTTTGGGCACAACAACAGACCATCATTAATGTTAAAATAGAGATCATAAGACTGACAAAACAGACTCTGTCACAATAAGATACCAAATTATAAACAAGATATAATGCCTGCAGGACATCAATCTTCCTAAACAGGTCATTTTTCACCCAGTATATTGTGGCTGACCTAGCATCCTTATCTTAACGTAAACATTCCTTTCTGCTGACAAGTTTTAGACAGAGCCTCAGTCCTTTAACCAATTGCAAATTAAAGAATCTCTGAATCCCCGTAAAACCTGTAAGCCCCCACTTCAAGATATCCCAACTTTTGGGGCCGAAGCAATGCATACCTTCCATGTATTGCTTTATGTCTTTTCCTATAACCCCTGCCTCCATAAAATGTATAAATCCCAACTGTAATCCAACTGCCTCAGGACCATTTACTCAAGGCTTCTTGAGTTTGTGTTTTCCCTGGGCCATGGTCATTCATATTGGCTTAGAATAAACCTCTTTAAAATATTTTACGGAGTTTGGTTTTTTCCATGAACAAGGCTTATAGGAATAAAAGGAACCATAACTAACCTTTAAGCTCTGGGTATCCTCGATATCTAAAAATAATGAGAATGGTGAGCTGGCTCAGCACAATCAGCACAAAAAGGACCCGGGCCTGCAGGGAAATAGATGTTAACGTGAAATAGATACATGGGTACACTTTCAGTTAAGATTTTTAAAGTAGCCTTATTAACAAAAATGGAAATGGCATCTGTGATACTGTGATATAAGAAATACATATTTTGGTCTTTGTCCCCACTGGTCAGAGCTCCTAAAATCCTTGTAATTTTCTAAGTGATAACAAGGATAGGAGCATATTGTTATAACATTTGGATTTTGTCTCTGGCTCCTAAAACAGCTCTAGAGTGATAAAGTAAAAGGAATACCTATTGTTATTCATAACAAGCCCCTTTTGGAGGAGGTAAAGCAAGATGGCCAAATAGAACCTTCCAGCAATCATCCACCCCTTTCCCCTCAGAACACCAAATTGAACAACTATCCCCACAAGAAAGCACTTTCATAAGAACCAAAAATCAGATGAGTGATCACAGTACCTGGTTTTAACATCATATCAAGGAAAGAGGCACTAAAAAGCGTAGACAACACAGTACTTCATTGCCTACACCACCCTTCCCCCATTCTGTGGCAGAGATAATCTGTGCACTTGTGGGAGAGAGCAAAATGACTGTGAGACTTTGCGTTGGAACTCAGTGCTGTCACAGGGGAACACAACACAGGGCAGAATTCTGCCAGCACCCACAGAGGGAGCATTTAAGCTGGCCCTTGCCAGAGGGCAATCCTCTGCCCCAGTGGTAGGAACCTGAGTTCCAGCTAGCTCCAGCACCAGCTGACTAAACAAGTGCCCTAGGGTCCTGAATAAACTTGAAAGGCAGTCAAGCCACAAGGACTGCAGTCCTTGGGCAAATCTGGGTACTATGTTGGGCTCAGAGCCAGTGGAAATGGAGTGCACAAGACCCAGTGAGACACCAGTTGTGGTGGCCAGGGGAGTACTTGTGTCACCCATCCCCCAACTCTCCAGGCAGTGCAGCTCAAAGAGAGACTCCTTCCTCTTGTGGAAACAAGAGAGAAAAGTAAAGAGGACTTTGTTTTGCCACCTGGGTACCAGCTCAGCCACAGTAAAAATAAAGCACCAAGCAGATTCCTGAAGCCTCTGAGCCCAGGCCCTCACTCCTGGATGGCATTTCTAGACTCAGCCTGGGCCAGAAGAAAACCTGCTGTGTTGAAGAGAAAGACCATGTCCTGGCAAGATTCACCATCTGCTGACTAAAGAGCCCCTGGGCCTTGAATAAACATCAGCAGTAGCCAAGCAGTAGTCACCACAGAACTTGGACAAGACCCAGTACTATGGTGAATTCAGGTGTGACCCAGAACGGTACAAACTGTGGTCACCTCTCCCACATATCCAGGCAGGCCAGCAAAGAGAGAGGCTCCTTCTGCTTGGGGAAAAGTGAGGAAAGAAAACAAAAGACCCCTCTCCCTCTCCCTCTCCCTCTCCCTCTCCCTCTCCGTCTCCGTCTCCCTCTCCCTCTCCCTCTCCCTCTCTCTCCCCACGGTCTCCCTCTCCCTCTCTTTCCACAGTCTCCCTCTGATGCCGAGCCGAAGCTGGACTGTACCGCTGCCATCTCGGCTCACTGCAACCTCCCGGCCTGAGTCTCCTGCCTCAGCCTGCCGAGTGCCTGCGATTGCAGGCGTGCGCCGCCACGCCTGACTGGTTTTCGTATTTTTTTGGTGGAGACGGGGTTTCGCTGTGTTGGCCGGGCTGGTCTCCAGCTCCTAACCATGAGTGATCCGCCAGCCTCGGCCTCCCGAGGTGCCGGGATTGCAGACGGAGTCTCGTTCACTCAGTGCTCAATGGTGCCCAGGCTGGAGTGCAGTGGCGTGATCTCGGCTCGCTACAACCTCGACCTCCCAGCAGCCTGCCTTGGCCTCCCAAAGTGCCGAGATTGCAGCCTCTACCCGGCCGCCACCCCGTCTGGGAAGTGAGGAGCGTCTCTGCCTGGCCGCCCATCGTCTGGGATGTGAGGAGCCCCTCTGCCTGGCTGCCCAGTCTGGAAAGTGAGGAGCGTCTCTGCCTGGCCGCCATCACATCTAGAAAGTGAGGAGCGCCTCTTCCCGGCCGCCATCCCATCTAGGAAGTGAGGAGCGTCTCTGCCCGGCTGCCCATCGTCTGAGATGTGGGGAGCGCCTCTGCCCTGCCGCCCCGTCCGGGATGTGAGGAGCGTCTCTGCCGGGCCGCCCCGTCTGAGAAGTGAGGAGACCCTCTGCCTGGCAACCGCCCCGTCTGAGAAGTGAGGTGCCCCTCAGCCCAGCAGCCGCCCCGTCTGAGAAGTGAGGAGCCCCTCCGCCCGGCAGCCACCCCGTCTGGGAAGTGAGGAGCGTCTCCGCCCGGCAGCCACCCCGTCCGGGAGGGAGGTGGGGGGGTCAGCCCCCCGCTCGGCCAGCCGCCCCATCCGGGAGGGAGGTGGGGGGTCAGCCCCCCGCCCGGCCAGCCGACCCGTCCGGGAGGGAGGTGGGGGGGTCAGCCCCCCGCCTGGCCAGCCGCCCAGTCCGGGAGGTGAGGGGCGCCTCTGCCCAGCCGCCCCTACTGGGAAGTGAGGAGCCCCTCTGCCCGGCCACCACCCCGTCTGGGAGGTGTACCCAACAGCTCATTGAGAACGGGCCATGATGACAATGGCGGTTTTGTGGAATAGAAAGGGGGGAAGGTGGGGAAAAGATTGAGAAATCGGATGGTTGCCGTGTCTGTGTAGAAAGAGGTAGACATGGGAGACTTTTCATTTTGTTCTGTACTAAGAAAAATTATTCTGCCTTGGGATCCTGTTGATCTGTGACCTTACCCCCAACCCTGTGCTCTCTGAAACATGTGGTGTATCCACTCAGGGTTGAATGGATTAAGGGCGGTGCAAGATGTGCTTTGTTAAACAGATGCTTGAAGGCATCACCACTCCCTAATCTCAAGTACCCAGGGACACAAAAACTGCGGAAGGCCGCAGGGTCCTCTGCCTAGGAAAACCAGAGACCTTTGTTCACTTGTTTATCTGCTGACCTTCCCTCCACTATTGTCCTGTGATCCTGCCAAATCCCCCTCTGCGAGAAACACCCAAGAATGATCAATAAAAAAAAAAAAAAAAAGAAAAACCTCAAGGAGAACAAGTTGGTGAAATATCTCTCCATCATTTCAGGAATAATTGATTTGCACTCTGACACAAACCAGTCCTGTATTTAACATATTAGAAACATGGCAATCCTCAGATATTCTGTTTAAAAGAAAAGATGCAATCTAATATGGGCAATGGATACATAGGTGTTTGCTGTATGATTCCCTCTACTTTGGTATGTTAGAGATTTGGGGTTATGGTTCTTGTTAAAACGAAGTAAGCACAGTCTACTCTGTCTCTGCCACCAAAACAAATAAAATCTCTGGAAAGAAAAAAAAGAAAAGAAAACAAAAGACTCTGCCTGGTAATCAAGAGAATTCTCCCAGTTCTTACCCAAGCCCACCAAGCCCACGTAAGGCTGCAAGAGTTGCAGTATTACTGGGCTTGGGGCACCCCCTTGTACAGATATGGCTGCAGTGACCAAAGACTTAGATCACAACCCTCAATTCTTTGAATACCTGGAAAGCCTCCTCAAGGAGGATGAGTACAAACAAGCCCAGACTACAAAGATTAGAATAAATACCTAACTCTTCAAGGCCCAGACACTGACAAACATCCACAAGCCTCAAGAACATCCAGGAAAACATGACCTCACCAAATGAACTAAATAAGGCACCAGAGACCATTCCTGGAGTGACAGAGTTATGTGAACTTTCAGACAGAGAATTCAAAATAGCTGTTTTGAGGAAGCTCAATGAACTTCTTGAAAACACAGAAAAGGAATTCAAATTCCTATCACAGAAATTTATTTATTTATTTATTTATTTATTTTTTATTTAATTTATTTTATTTTTTTTTTGAGACGGAGTCTTGCTCTGTTACCCAGGCTGGAGTGCAGTGGCGCAATCTTGGCTCACTACAAGCTCCGCCTCCTGGGTTCATGCCATTCTCCTGCCTCAGCCTCCCGAGTAGCTGAGACTACAGGTGCCCGCCACCACACCGGGCTAATTTTTTGTATTTTTAGTAGAGATGGGGTTTCACTGTGTTAGCCAGGATGTTCTCTATCTCCCGACCTTGTGATCCGCCCACCTCGGCCTCCCAAAGTGCCGGGATTACAGGCGTGAGCCACCGCACCCAGCCTCCTATCACAGAAATTTAATGAAGACATTACAATAATTTTAAAAAATCAAAGCAGAAATTCTGAAGCTGAAAGATTAAATTGACAAACTGACAAATGCATCAGAATTTCTCAAGGGCAGAACTCATCAAATAGAAGAAAGAATTAGTGAGCTTAAAGACCATCTATATGAAAATACACAGAGGAGAAAAAAAGGAAAAAAAAAAAGAATGAAGCACACCTACAAGATCTAGAAAACAGCCTCAACAGGACAAATCTAAGAGTTATTGGCCTTAAAGAGGAGGTACAGAGAGAGATCAGAGTAGGAAGTTTATTCAAAAAATAATAATAGAGAACTTTTTTAACCTAAAGAAATATATCAATATTCAGGTACAAGAAGGTCATAGAACACCAAGAAGTTTTAACCCAAATAAGACTACCTAACGGCATTTATTAACCAAATTCCCAAAGGGCAATGATAAGGAAAGGATCTTAAAAGCAACAAGAGAGAAGAAACAAATAACATGCAAAGGAGCTCCAATATGTCTGGCAGCAGACTTCTCAGTGGAAACCTTAAGGCTAGGAGAAAGTGGCATGACATATTCAGAAGGAAAATAATTTTATCTTAGAATATTATGTTCAGCAAAAATATCCTTCAAACATGAAGGAGAAATAAAGACTTTCCCAAACAAACAAAGCTGACTTTCCCAAACAAACAAAGCTGAGGGATTTCATCAACACCAGACCTGTCCTATAAGAAATGTTAAAGGAAGTTCTTCAGTCTGAAAGAAAAGGATGTTAATGAGCAATGAGAAGTCTAGGCACAGTGATTCACGCCTGTAATTCCAACATTTTGGGAGGCCGAGGCAGGAGGATTGCTTGAAGCCAGGAGTTCAAGACCAGTCTAGGCAACAAAGTGAGACCCCGTCTCTACAAAAAAAAAGTAAAAATTAGCTGGTTGTATTGGCATGTGCCTGTAGTCTCAGCTACTTGGGAGGACCCCATCTCAAAAAAAAAAAAAAAGAAAAGAAAAAAGAAATCATCTGAAGGTATAAAACTCACTGGCAACAGTAAATATACAGCCTAATATAGAATACTCTGACACTGTAATTGTGGTACATAAACCACTCACATCTTGAGTAAGAAGACTAAAAGATAAACCTATCAAAAATAATAACCACAACATCAGTTTTTTTAAGAGATGGACTCTTTAAGTCTTTTCTTTTTAAGAGATGGAGCCTTTAAGAGATGGAATCAAACATCTGATCCACCAATAAAGAAAATTATAAATTGCTTCAGCATTGCTCTTTCTGAATTTAGATACTTAGACCAATATTGAAGCTAAGTAATTTTATACAATTATATTAAGCAATCAAATTAAAATAGTCCACTTTCATTGTACTGGGAGAAGGATACTTTGTTTTGTTTTAAAGTTCTATAAGAATAAAAAAACAGTATAGACTACACTGCAGGCTGAGTGAACATAGACTGTTTTCTTTTGCTTTCTTCTCAAGAAGTCATTCACCTGGAGATGAATTCACAATAGTGACATATGACCTAGGTGCTTGTTTCTCAAAGTAAGATCCTGGACCGTCACTGGAATCCACTAAAGCCTGTTAGGAATGCAGAATCTCAGTCCCCTTCTCAGAATTGCTAAACCACAACCTGTTTTTTTGTTTTTTGTTTTTTTTTTGAGACGGAGTCTCGCTCTGTCACCCAGGCTGAAGTGCAGTGGCATGATCTTGGCTCACTGCAAGCTCCGCCTCCCGGGTTCACGCCATTCTCCTGCCTCAGCCTCCCAAGTAGCTGGGACTACAGGTGCCCACCTCCATGCCCAGCTAATTTTTTGTATTTTTAGTAGAGACGGGGTTTCACCATGTTAGCCAGGATGGTCTCGATCTCCTGACCTCGTGATCCGCCCGCCTCAGCCTCCCAAAGTGCTGGGATTACAGGCTTGAGCCACCGAGCCCGGCCCCAGAACCGTATTTTAATAACATCCAGGTTATTCATTTGAATATCAAAATTCCCCAAGCCTAATTTAGGTGACTGTTAAAAATCCACAAAAGAAAAAATAACAAATGATTTAAAAATTTTGTAGTAATGAGATGCAAATGCTTATTAATAATATGTCTGAAAAAATCATACAAGTAACAAAAGTAAATTAAAATAATAATGATCTCACATTTTAAGTCCGTGAGAATATACACTAAACCTATCTCTGGGAGGTGAAATTAAGGAAGGTTTAAGTTTTCTTCTGAAAATTTTAGTGTATTTCTTTTTTTTTATTTTTATTTTATGCTAACACCCAGGATAAATGAGATCTGAGGGAACTACAGTATAAATTACCATAGCTTCTCTAAAAGACAATTTAACAGTGTATATTAAAAACTAAAAAAATACCCATTTACTCATTTAAGAAATATTTATTGAGGGCCTACTATGTGCCAAGCATACCAAAATATAAGCCCTCATGGGGCTTATATTTTAATGAGCGAGGATAGGAAAAAAAAATGATGGTTATAAATAATAAATAATTTATGTAATTATGTATATAAATAGTAAAGTATATAAAATAGTGTGCCCACCCTTTGATCCAGAAATTCACTTCTAGAAATTGATCCCAAGAAACTATATTAGAGAGATATCTAAAAACTTAGTTACAAGCATTATTTATACAGTAGAGGGGCAAATTAGAAACAACTTAAATGTCCAACAATAGAGAAGTGATTAAAAAAATTAAGGCAGCCAGGTGCGGTGGCTTACCGCTGTAATCCCAACACTTTGGGAGGCTGAGGTGGGTGGATCACCTGAGGTCAGGAGTTCAAGACCAGCCTGACCAACATGGCGAAACCCCGTCTCTACTAAAAATACAAAAATTAGCCGGGCATGGTGGTGGGCGCCGGTAATCCTGGCTACTCAGGAGACTGAGGTAAGAGAATCACTTGAACCCAGGAGGCAGAAGTTGCAGTGAGCCGGGATCGTGCCATTGCACTCCAGCCTGGGAGACAGAGCGAGACTCCAGCTCAACAAAAAAAAAAAAAGGGCCAGGGGCAGTGGCTCACGCCTGTAGTCCCAGCACTTTGGGAGGCGGGTGGATCACTTGAGGTCAGGAGTTCGAGACCAGCCTGGCCAATATGGCAAAACCCCGACTCTACTGAAAAAAAAAAAAAAAAGCTGGACGTGGTCGGGGACACCTGTAGTCCCAGCTACTTGGGAGGCTGAAACAGGAGAATCACTTGAATCCAGGAGGCGGAGGTTGCAGTGAGCCAAGATCGCACTGCTGTACTCCAGCCTGGGTGACAGAGCAAGACTCTGTCTCAAAAAAAATAAAATAAAATAAAAATTAAGGCATATCTATGGCAATATAATGCAGCTAATATGTTATAATATAAATTGATAAGAGAAAATAGTCAAGACAAATTCCTCAGTGGAAAAAAATCAGACAGCAAAAGAGAATAAAGGTATAATAGTATTTATGTTAAAAATACATATACAAAAAAAAATACATATACAAGCTGGGCATGGTGGCTCATGCCTGTAATCCCAGCACTTTGGGAGGCTGAGGCGGGTGGATTGCCTGAGGTCAGGAGTTCGAGACCAGCCTGGCCAACAGTGAAACTCCGTCTCTACTAAAAAAATACAAAAAATTAGCTGGGCGTGGTGGCAGGCACCTGTAATCCCAGCTACTCAGGAGGCTGAGGCAGGAGAATCACTTGAACCCAGGAGGTGGAGGTTGCAGTGAGCCGAGATGGCACTATTGCACTCCAGCCTGGGAAACAAGAGCAAAACTCTGATTCCAGAAAAAACAAAAAACAAACAAGCAAACAAACAAAATACATATATACACACACACATATATATATACACATGTGTATATAAGAGAGAAAAATTAGAGTATCATAATGACAAATACAATGGTTATAATGGATAGTGTGATAAAAGAAAGATGTGTGGCTGATTTAACTTTATTTCTAAATTTTCCAAGTTTTCTACACTGAGCATATATTATTGATGTGGAAAGAAATATTCTTTAAAAAGCCTTAACCCAAGTTGGCATAGTCCCTATAATTCCCTTAGTTATCCTGTTTTTATAGCATCCTTAGTTATAATTCCCTTCGATATGATAACTAATATCCTTTGTTATAATTCCCTTAGTTATCCTGGATTTATAGCATCCCAAATGACTCATCCATGCCTCTGCTTCTTTTAATTCAAATCAACTTAAAAGCATTTTATTCTTCTAGACAAATAACTAACCTTTAATTTTATAAGATTCAACTTTCTTGTCATATGTTTACAATAGTCCCCCTTTATCCACAGGGGACACATTCCAAGTCCCCCCCAGTGGATGCCTGAAAACACAGATAGTACCGAACCCTATATATATTATGTTTTTTCCTATAAATACATACCTATGATAAAGTTTAATTTATAAATTAGGCACAGCAGATCGACAACAATAATAATAAAATAGAACAATTATAACAATATACTATAATAAAGTTACAAGACTATGGTCTCTGTCTCTCAAAATATCTTATTATATATAATATTTTCAGACCATGGATGACCTTCGGTAACTGAAACCATGGAAAGTGAAATCATGGATAAGGGAGGACTACTGTATATTATTTAGGACTCTGCATTTAACATATGTAATATTTAATTGAATTCACTTACCATGATGTAGTGATCAGTACGGAGAATAAATGATGCCAGGGGATCAAAACTGAGATGATTATTCTCTTGAACAGAAAATATGTGGTGAACACTCTTACTTCTTCCAGCAGAATCCTAGTAATAACCACAGAAGAAAAGTAACTTTCATGTACATGGAAATATTTATAATGTTCTAAATTAAAATAAGAATAGGTTTCTAATAACTACACTTTGTTGTTGTTGTTATTGTTGTTGTTGTTGTTGTTGTTGTTTTTCAAGGTTTCTCTCTGTTGTCCAGGCTGGCGTGCAGTGGTGCAATCATAGCTAGCTCACTGCAGCTTTCATCTTCTGTGGTCAAGTGATCTTCCTGATACAGCTGCAGGACTATAGGCACACACCACTACGCCTGGCTAATATTTAAATTTATTTTAGAGATGGGGTCTTGCTATGTTGCCCAAGCTGGTCTTGAACTCCTGGCCTCAAGCAGTCTTCCTGCATTGGCCTCCCAAAGTGCTGGCCTTATAAGTACTTTTAATAATATTTCTTAGGCCAGGCAAGGTGGCTCACACCTGTAATCCCAGCACTTTGGGAGGCCAAGGCAGGTGGATCACTTGAGGCCAGGCGTTCAAGACCACCCTGGCCAACATAGTGAAACCCCATCTCTACTAAAAATACAAAAATTAGCCAGGCATGGTGATACGCACCTGTAATCCTAGCTACTCAGGGGCCTGAGGCAGGAGAATTGTTTGAACCCAGGAAGAAGAGCTTGCAGTGAGCCGAGATCACGCCACTGCACTCCAGCCTGGGTGACAGAGTGAGACTCTGTCAAAAAAACAAAAAAAGAGATTAAAACCTATAATTCTACATTTAAAGAGTAAATATTAGCATGCACTCACGTGTATTTTCCCTTTAAAAAAAATTTTTTTATTTCCCTCTGTTCCCTAAAAAGGCCTAGAAATAACAACAAAGCTAACAGTAATGAGCTACCTAGGCTGGTGCCCAGGTTGCGGTCTCAAAATAGTATTTCTCACTACAAGAAACCAGTGCTCTTTAGGGAAACAGCTCATTCCAGTTCTTGAATAGGAAGTGCACAAGAAGAGATATCTGCACTCCCATGTTTGTTGCAGCACTGCTCACAATAAGATTTGGAAGCAACCTAAGTGTCCATCAACAGATGAATGGATAAAGAAAATGAGGTATATATACATAATAGAGTACTATTCAGCCATCAAAAAAGAATAAGATCCTATCATTTGCAACAACATGGATGGAACTGGAGACCACTATGTTAAGTAAAATAAGCCAGGGACAGAAAGACAAACATCACTTGTTCTCACTTACTTGTTGGATCCAAATATCAAAACAATTGAACTCATGGATACAGAGAGTAGAAGAATGGTTACCAGAGGCTAGAAAGGGTAGTAAGGGGGCATTGGGAGGGAGGTGGGGATGGTTAATCAGTACAAAAAGCATAAAAAGAATGAATAAGACCTACTATTTGATAGCACAACAGAGTGACTAGAGTCAATAATAATTGTACTTTTAAAAATAACTAAAAGAGTGTAATTGGACTGTTTGTAAAACAAGGACAAATGCTTGAGAGGGTGGATACTCCATTTTCCATGATGTGATTATTACGCATTGCATGCCTGTATCAAAACACCTCATGTAACCCACAGATATACACACCTACTATGTACTCACAAAAAGTAAAACTTTAAAAAAAATTTTTTTAAAGAAAAAAATGCATAAGAAAAGCTTGGAATATCTTGTCAAATCAGAAAGTAAGAAAACGAACAAAGACTACTGGGATTGTGTCAAAGGGCTTAGTAGTCAACATGAAGAGGCTCCCACTAGCCAAAGGTGGAACAATTTGAGCATGGAAAATAATAAATGCAATGGACTGAAATACATCAAGTATTTTTTATACATCAATATATTTTTTAAACTTTGAATTTATAATACTACTAAATGTAAAAGACTCAGTCACCTTTGGCAGATACTAAAGAACCAA
Source organism: Homo sapiens (assembly GCF_000001405.40). Taxonomy (NCBI): domain Eukaryota; kingdom Metazoa; phylum Chordata; class Mammalia; order Primates; family Hominidae; genus Homo; species Homo sapiens. The sequence goes on along the minus strand of NC_000015.10, from coordinate 43,158,801 downwards.
CTCATTATTCTGAAAACTGCTTTAGTAAAGGGGCAATGGGGAAAGAAGAATTTATCTTGCATTTTGTGTGTGAACTTTATATCTGGGTACCAAATAGATAAGATAATTTTTTTCTTCATAGGACTGTTCTAATTAATATTCCTATAATAAGGAAAGAAAATGTGAATATCACCATTTTATAACTCTAATAAAAAATGGATTTAGGTAAGTATCATCAATGGCTGCTAAAAACCCTTAGGTGAAAAGATAATGGAGGGATGAGCCAGCAGTGTGCTGGAGCTGGCTTGACTGCTCATAAGAGCCAAATGTTAAGTTTTCAGCAATTTTGCAGGCCACTTAGCATGGCGTTGGTAGCTTAAAACCAGCCATGGTAGAAATATTTATATTATGGGGATTGGTACAAATCAGGGAAATGCTACAAATCAGGATCCCCTCTCCTTGACCCCTGTAACTTGCCCCAAGCTGGTTACTAAATATTTACCAGCACATCAGTGGATAAGGCTACCAACAGCTGAATACACTGATCCATCTTAACATTATAGAAAGAGAGACAACCAAATATTATGGGCATCCTGTTAAAAGCATAAAAAACCAGATAAAGTACTCTTGCCAAAAAACAAACAGATGTAAATCTGATGAAACCTCTAAATCTAACTACCAATTATAGAACCTAAAGGGGACAGGGACAGAGGAACATGTTAAATGATACCCCAGGGATGTAAACAGCAAAAATCCAGAAAACAGGGAACTCCACAGGACCAAAGATTCAGTTTCCAAAACAAATAAATTTTAAGGGTACAAAAAAGAGGGGGGAGGTAAGGGATGCAATCTGTACAGTAAAAGAGATGAAAGAGACAAGTCGGTTAAATAGAATGTAAGAGCCTTGATTGAATTCCGATTTGAACCAACCAAATGAAAATATACATATCTATTTATCTATCTATCTGCCTATCTATCTATGTAACATATTGGGATAACCGAACATTAAATGGGTAGTTCGATATTACGGAACTACTGTTAGTCTTCCAGGTATGATATGGTATCATGGTTAAGTTTTTAAAAAACAGTCCTTATATTTTACTGATAAATATTGACATATTTACAGATGAAAGACATCATGGTGCAGGGAGGGGAGATAGGGATAAAGAAGGAACAAGATTGATCATGAGTTGATAATTGTTGAGACTGGCTGATGGATACATGGGAGTTCATTATAATATTATCTCTTTTGTATATTTAAAATTTTCCCATTATAAAAAAAACTTTAAAAATAACAATAAGAACTTACAGTTGTGTTTTTTAAGCTTTTATTGCTCAAAATGTGCTTATATTAAACTATGTTATTGTTTTAAAGCAGGAATCTAGATTTTTCTAATGTTTGAGATTAGACCTTTCTAGGGTCTACTCTTTAAATTGGCAAAGTAGGCACAATAATCTTAAACTACAGATACTCATACTTTAGTGGACATCAGAATCACCTGGAGAGATTGTTAAACTAGATTGCTAGGTCCTATCTCCAAAGTTTCTGATTCAGTAGATTTCAGATGGGACCTGAGAATTTCCATTTCTAACAAGTTCCCAGGTGATACTGATGCCACTAGCCCAGGACCCACATTGAAAATTGATCTAAAGGTCTAGTTGCTACTAGACTGTGGGGAACCTATAGATATTCAATAAATACAATGAGTAGGTAAAATATTAGATAATAAGTGTCTTCTCCCACGGATTTTGAGTTTCAAATCTGACTTATCTACAGTTTACTGTACTTAAAAGGACAGAACTTTCCCATGAATGAATGAAGGGACCAGGTTCCCTATTTAATACTCAGTAGGTTGTTTAAAGTTATACATATAAGAAAACAGAAAACAGATCAGTCCTTGCCTGAGAATGAGGATGTAAGGAAAACAGATTGCAAAGGATACAAGAAAACTTTTGAGGGAAATGTATCATATTGTTTGTAGGCGATGACTTCAAGGATGTATACATATGTCAAAACTCACCAAATTGTATACTTTAAATATACAGGGTTTATTATGTTATTATGTATAAATTATACCTTGATACCATTGTAAGAAATGTTAAACATACAAAAAGTATGTGATTTTACATTTTTACTAAGGATTCAACTAAGCAGCCAGAAATGTTTCAAGGAATATAAGCTATGGTTTTTTTTTCTTCATAAAACTACAGAAGTTGTATGTATATCTTATTAAGAAAATAATACACTGGGGTTCTGAGGCACTCCAGACTGTAGTGACTGTGAAGACAGGGAATAATTTATTCTAGGTGCACATGAACCTTCAAGTCTCTTTAAAATGATCCACCTTCTTCTAATATGAAAGACCTTAAGGGTTCATCCCCAGCTATCTCTCCTTCTACTTCTGCTGTAAGTTTTTTCTTCCTTCTACACAGAACATTTTAAAGATGGATGGCATAGCAGAGTGTCTTCTTTTGTGCAGATGTACAAGTTTCTCCATTTACAAACCAAGGGTAAAACTACCCCCAACAAAGGATTGTTTTGTGGATTAAGTAAAAAATTCTAAGTGCCTAGCATCTCCTTAGAGGGAGCTCAGTAAATAGTTTCTTCCTACTCAACCTGTCTCTGTAGGGGGGATAAAAAAGATAATGAAAATAACTACATATGTTTTCTGAAAAATTATTTAGTGTTTCAAATTAAGTCTTAATATTAGAAGATTAAATAGTTAACAACTGTCATCAAATCATAAAGTTGCAGAAATTGACAGGTGTGTGTGTGTGTGTGTGTGTTTAAGAAACTAATTTCTGAGCACAGCTTATCGCCTTAAGAGTTTAATGAAACTGCTCTATTTTGGTAATGATTATTATTTTCTACTCTGGCAGGTGCTAATAAATTAAATGCCCTAAATTGAATCAGAATAAGAAAAGGCAAACTGGTACTGCATATGCTAACAATGCTTATTCCTCTAACAAAAAAGTGCTTCTGATGCACTGAAAATTCTGTGTCCTGAAGCTTTCAAATAATGACACAATTGTCCTACAATTAGAGACAGCAATCAAAGACATGGATACATAATACATGTTTTCTGACTTATTCTATTACCTTTGGGTATACTGGGGAATTTGCCCCTATTATGAAAAGATTCTGGGCAAAGTTGGAAGAAAACACAAGAATGATTTCCTGGGGCTAAAAAAAGGGAGTCTATGGCCACTCCTCTTCTCCTCTGCCTAGTTTTTAATCTAATATTAGAATTATTCCAAGTGCCCATTTTCAGAATATACTAAATACAGTGTATTCAATTTATTTTTATTTTTATTTATTTATTTTTTGAGATAGGGTCTCGCTTTGTTACTCAGGCTAGAGTGCACTGGCACAATCAGAGCTCACTATAACCTTGAACTCCTGGGCTCAAGCGATCCTTCCATCTCAGCCTCCCAAGTAGCTAGGACTACAGATGCACGCCACCATGCCCAGCTAACTTTTATTTTTTTGTTGAGATGCGGTCTCACTATGTTGCCCTGGCTGGTCTCAAACTACTGGCCTCAAGCGATCCTCCAGCCTCAGCCCCAATTTTTTCACTTTTTTTGTTTATTTTGAGACAGGGTCTGGCTCTGTTGCCCAGGCTGGAGTGCAGTGGTGCAATCTCAGCTCACTGCAACCTCTACCTCCTGGGCTCAAGTGGATTCTCCTGCCTCAGCCTCCTGAGTAGCTGGGACTACAGGCACATGCCACTGTGCCCAGCCAATTTTTGTATTTTTTTGTAAAGACAGGGTTTCACTGTTTTGCCCAGGCTGGTCTCGAACTCCTATGCTTAGGTGATCTGCCTGCCTTGGCCTCCCAAAGTGCTGGGATTACAGGCGTGAGCCACCATGCCCGGCCCCCAGTTTTTTTTTAAACATGGTTTCATTACCAATTGACTAAAAAATTCCAAACCAGAATTCATTGTGGCTACAGCTTAATCATTTACATAGTAAATATAAATTACTAACTTACCTGGACGATTACTTCTATGTTATGTGTCCCACTACTGTAGTTTCTAGGATTCCACTTCAGTACGAAAATGGGACCAGACACATGAACAGCCTGGCCTAAATGAACTCCATCAATCTTAACTGTGACAGAAGTAATGGAGGATAAGGAAAAGGCCAAGACTCTAAAATGAGAGCATATATAAAACACATGGTTTGAGGTTTGTCATTGTTTTTGCAAAGGAGAATAACCTTATTGTAACTTGCAGATATACACGTATAGGCAGAACCATCATATTGTACAACAGCAGGAGCCACTATTGATATGATCTGGTTTCTTTCCGAATGGTGGCTTCTGGAGTTGGACAATTAGCAAAACTGAACTGGTAAGAAATTCGGAACTATTCTTTTACTTTTTAGAAAGAAAAATCAATTTTCTTTTGACAAATCTAGGTAAGGTAGATTCAAAGTTCTTTCTGAAGAAACTCCAGAAGTACTGATTTTTCTCTTAGGAAAATAATATAGGGTGGAAATCTCATTTTGTTAATCTAATGTCAAGCCTACCATCTACTCATTTGGTACCAGGGTGTCTGTCCCAAAGAAACAGGGTTATAACCAGAACTAGGCTACCAAGCCCTTTCAGAGAGTATGACACCTAAACCTGATATCCAGCTCCCACCAAAAAACCTGACTGACACATGTGTGTTCCATTTCATTAGTGATGAAAACAATAAATGTAAACATCTTGGTACCATTTTTTACAAGTTAATTAGTAAATACTTTTTAAAGCATAATATCCAATAATAATAAGAGTATTGTGAATTTGGCATTCATATTGCTTGGTAATATGATAAATTAGCATCTGTTGTTGAAAGTAATTGGATACCTGATACACTGCTGGTGGGAATGTAAAATGGTGCAGCCACCATGGAAAACAGTATGGCAGCTCCTTAAAAAATTAAACAGATAATTACCATATGATCCAGCAATTCCACTTCTGGATATATATCTAAAAGAAGTGACAGCAGGGACTTGAACCGTTATCTGTACACTCATATTCATAGAAGCGTTATTCAATATAGCCAAAAGTTAGAAGCAACCCAAGTGTCCATTGAACACATAAACAAAATGTGGTATGTGTGTATGTGTGTATACATATGTGTGTATATACACACACACACACACACACACACACACAATGTACAATGGAACATTATTCAGCCTTTAAAAGGAAGGAAATTCTGACATATGCCACAACATGTATAAACCTTGAAGACATCATGTTAAATGAAAATAAGCCAGTCACAAAAGTATAAATATTGAATGGTTCCACTTATATGAGTTAGCTAGAGTAGTCAAATTCATAGAGACAGAAAGTAGATTGGTGGTTGCCAGGGGCTGTGGGAGAGGGAAGAACAGGAAGTTATTGTTTAATGGGTAAAAGTTTCAGTTTTAGAAAATGATAAATGTTCTGGAAATGGATAATGGTGATGGTTGCAAAACAATGTAAACTTGAAGCAAACTTAATGCTACTGAACTGTACACTTGAAAATGGTTAAAATGGTACATTTTATGCCATGTGTACTTTGTTTAATCATGCTTACCATGATTAAAAATAGTGATTTTAGCTCCAAAAAAAAAGGGATTGAGCAATTTTTATCAACAGTCATAAAAGAATTCAAATTCTTTCACCTAGAATCCCACTTCTAGAACTCTTTCTTAAAGAAATTATTCAAGTGAAGGAAGAATATATATGTACCAGATATTCATCCACAAATAAGAAAAACCTTAAAAGTTCACCAATGAGATATGAAAATGGTTAGAAAAACTGTGGTACATTCTTTGTGCTGAAAGAAAACAAATCAGGAATTAGAATAGACTGTGCCTTATGATTATAATTATATAAAAACATCTTAAGAGAGAATGCCTGAGAAGAAATACTCAGAAGTGCTAATAATAGTTCTATTAGAAGTGGAGAAAAACATACTTAAAATCCCATTACCCTATTTTCCAAAGGTTGTTCTATTGTATTACTTTTCAAAATAAATTGTAAAAGTATATTTTAAAAAGTGCTCTTACATTTGAAACAAGTTATATATCTCTTTGCAAAAAGAATGTTAATGTCCCATTTGGATTCTATTAATCTATATAATCAAATTCATGGCCAGGCATGGTGGTTCAAGCCTGTAATCCCAGCACTTGGGGAGGCGTAGGAGGGCGGATCCCTTGAGGTCAGGAGTTCGAGACCAGCCTGGCCAACGCGGTGAAACCCTCTCTCTACTAAAAATACAAAAATTAGCCAGGCGTGGTGGCACACATCTGTAATCTCAGCTACTCCAGAGGCTGAGGCATGAGAAAAGCTTGAACTCGGGAGGCAGTGGTTGCAGTGAGCCAAGATCAGGCCACTGCACTCCAGCCCGGGCAACAAAGCAAGACTCTGTCGAAAATCAAAACAAAACAAAACAAAACAAATTCATTTGCCAACTGAATTTTCAATTCCATAAGGATTATATATATAGCTTTTGCTTTCTTAGAAGGCTACATAACAAATGAAAAAAAATTTGATATATAATGCAAATTTTAAAAAGTAGACTATAAAGGAATATGTACATTATGCTTATAGCAATGTAAAAGCGTCCAAATAAAAAGGCTGGAATAAAATAAAACAAAAATAATAATGGTAGAATTATAGATTTCTGAATGGTTTTTAAAATTTCATCAGCTTAAAAAAATGATATGCTTTTTAACTTAATGGAAACAAAACAGTAAGCAATCTATCTTTATATAATGTTTAGGTTGTTGAGAAAACTAAAATGGGGCATCTCATAGCTTTCACATGGGAATGCAATCACAATGACTTATTCTCCTTCATTATCAAACTGAAAGTAAATTCTAAAAAATTGCTACATACCTGATGTGTGTTGAGTGAAGAAGTCTTTCTAGTGGTTCATGTTCACCACAACTATAAAGGAGTGATTTAGGATTGGTGATAAGAACCACAGGCCACTTCCCAAAGATCAAATCTGCAAAGCTAAAGAGGTCGTGATCAAAAGCAAAAATCCGGTACCTAAAGACCAGATAATGATAAGGTAATTTAGTCACTTCACATTGTAAGAGGTCATGAAGGTAATATACAGAACAAATATAAAAATACATAACTAGGACTTTTTTACATGATTAATTTGAATACAGATTAAGTAATATTTTCTTTCTTTCTTCCCTTACCCCATCACTTTATCCTTCACATTTGTCACATAACTGCCTCTGACTGGGCAATGGATTCAACTGTGCTCTTGAACAACACCTGGTACACGGCATGTACTCTTTAATTTTTAAATAAATACTTGTTGAAGTAACTCATCTTATCCCTGTACTTTAAGACAATTTTGAACCTAAAATATTTATTATAACCCTAATACTTGACATTCTTCATCCCATCAACAATGCTACATAAAATATTAAAATGGTTGATATGAACAAAATTAGAAATCTTTCATGCTTCTTTTAAACCTTTCTTTCTTTTTTTTTTTTTTTTTTCTTATTTTTGAGATGGAGTCTCACTCCGTCACCCAGGCTGGAGTGCAGTGGCGCAGTCTTGGCTCACTGCAACCTCTGCCTCAGCCTCCCAAGTAGCTGGGATTACAGGTGCCCGCCACCACACCTGGCTATTTTTAGCAGAGATAGGGTTTCACCATGTTGGCCAGGCTGGTCTCGAACTCCTGACCGCAGGTGATCCCCCTCACCTTGGCTTCCCAAAGTGCTGGGATTATAGGCGTAAGCCACCATGCCTAGCATTAAACATTTATTTCTATAATTTCAAAGAAATTAAAGTTGTTTTCATTTTCCAAATGCAATAACAAAAGGTATAAAATATTCATTAAAGAATAACCAAAGTTTTATATTTTCTAACTTTTAGAACTAAAAAAAGAAATGATTCACTATGGCAGAAACAATAGTGCTCACGAAATTCTCTACACATTCCCCTGAATTTCCCAGTCTCCTGGTATCAGGTTGGGACCATGTGACTAGTTTTGGCCAATGGGCTGTGAAGAGAAGTGACACATATCATGCCTGTGGTCCAAAGTACTTAAGAGTGGGTGTGAGTTCTCCTTGCTCTCTTCCCTGCCCTGGAATCGACATGTCGAAATAGGAATTTTAAGATGGAGGAAGTCTGAATTACTGACTCATCCCATGGATAAGAGTTGTTCTGACTCATATTGAATTTATACAAATGAAAAACATTTGTGTTAAGCCACTGATATTTCTGGATTTATCTGCATCTACAACAAGGCCTAGCCTAATATTTCCAATATACTGTTTTTAAAAATTATTCTATTGTAACTAACACAATTTAAGTGTTTATAAGGGCAGGTAAAGTTTAGGTCCTTTTATCTGGAGTACGCTCCAAATAAAACCCCAGGGTTGGACACAGGAAAACTGGTGGAGAGAGAAAGGAAATGCCTTCATAATTAACATCACAACTTGTAACTAGAGCACTTAGAAGAAATAAAGAAGCTGGTCAAGGCTTAGTAAGACTATCTCACAAAAGGCAATCATAGCCCAGCCCACAGCCTCACAGCCATGAACAGACAACTCTTAGCTCAAAGTAATTATAGTTGCCAAATAATTACACGTTTCAAGCATAACTCACACAGTTTTTAAAAAGTCAACCAAAATGAGAAAGTACCTTCCAAGATGTAAAGTTCCTTTTTAATTAATGGAAGTAGTTAAAAATAAAAAGATAACATATTCAGCTCAACAAACCTTTGCTGAGTACCTATTATCTGAGAGCACAGGGTTTGTGTAAATTAAATAACTGTAATAGTTAAACAATAAGATGATACTCCTCAAAACTTGATAAACTATTTCACTTAAATACTTCTTTTTAAAAAAGAAAAAACCATATATTTAACTACACTACATGCTTTTGATAAACATATTTTCTCTTAGAGAGACTTTAACCTTAAAAAAGCCAACTATCATCTATTTGAAGAAGTTAAATCACTACCATCTTGTAACAATAACCAGTATGGTAGATACAAAATTCAGGAGGAAAAACATGACACTTCTAGTCCTAGTATTTCTCAAATTGTCATGCATAGACCACCCAGAGGGCTTTTAAAAAAGGCAGTTTGGGCCAGGCGCCATGGCTCACGCCTGTAATCCTAGTACTTTGGGAGGCCGAGGCGGGTGGATCACCTGAGGTCAAGAGTTCAAGACCAGCCTGGCAAACATGGTGAAACCCCATCTCTACTAAAATACAAAAATTAGCTGAGCATGATGGTGGGTGCCTGTAATCTCAGCTACTCTGGGCAGCTGAACGTGACTCTGTCTCAAAAAAAAAAAAAAATGTAATTTGTTGGACCCTAATCCAGACCAACACAATCAAAATCTCTAGAGGCAGCGCCTGAAAATTTTTATTTTTCATAAGCTCCTCCATAATTCTTGTGCACACTAGAGTTTGAGTCCAATTCCTAATGGACATATCTTGAAAATCCAATGTAACATAGTGATAGTAAACATCCCTGCTATGACAAGGTTTCCGCAAAATGACAAAGATTTCAGAGACATATATTACTTTAAAAAAACAGAAATATCACAAGTTTTTCTTTAACTGTGATCACCCATGATATCAGTAAGAAAACTATCATTGCTTTGGCAAAACTTATGTGTATAAGTTTTCTTCTATGGGGAGGTTCCCTTACCTCCTATTATCCTTCCAGTCTCCCACCTCAAGTTCCAAAGTGCCCTGGAAGTGACGAGTGTGCAAAACAGGCATCAGTCCACCAAGTGTATGGAGATGTCCACACAAATAAGCTATAGCCGAACTAACCAATGAAAAATAAATGAAATAAATGAACAAAGATAACGCGTGAGGCCAAACTAATAAAAATGTCTTGCCAGAAAAGCAGAATAGGTAACAGCAAAATAAAAAAACTAAAAACAAATTAATTCTGATTTTGGAAGCTTGTCTCACCTCATTATTGACCGGATTCCTGGTGATGGAGAAAGAATAGTGGATGTTGTAAAGTGTCCAAACCAAATTGTATGGTTGCTCCGACTGCTTTCCTTGGCCAGTAATAAGAGCTCCTCCATCTTTTTCTGAGATGGGAGAAAAATGGAAGGATCTTAAATTAGGGCTCAGGCTAAAATCTAATGTCAACAGATTAGAAAACTCCTCTGAAGATTTATAATAATTATTATATGTGTCTAGGCCTTAAACCTTACTAGTTAATGACCTCTATGGACCTCTGTAAGTTTCAAATTGTTTTCACATACATTATATTTCATTTGATACTAAAAATAACTCTGCAATAGGTAGGGTAGGTATTATCCTCTTTTAATAGATAAGGAAACTGCGAAATGAAGTCATCACTAATCTTTACAGCTTTGTATAACACTTTACGATTAATAAAGAGGATACAGAAACTAAACTTCTAAAATAATATCATGGAAAGACTTCTACCTAAATGTTTATAACAGCTCTGATAATAGCCAAAAACTAGAAACCATCAACAAGTTGTAATACATCCACACGATGGAACAGCACTCAGCAACAGAAAGGAAAGAACTACTGATACACACAATCATACGGATGGATCTCAGAAACATTATACTGAGCAAAAGAAGCCAGACCCAAGAGTACATACTGTATGATTTCATTTATACAAAATTTTAGAACAAACAAAATGAATCTATACTGATAGAAAACCAATCAGTAATTCCCTAGGAAGTGAAGACAGACTGTACAAGGATGACAAGACTTTAGGATGATGGAAATGTTCTATGTCTTAACTGTGGTGACAGTTATACCAATATATACATTTGTCAAAACTCTTCAAACATTTAAAATGAGGGTATTTTATAGTACTCAAATCATACCTCAAAAGTTGATTTCAAAAAATAACTGGTACCTATGTAAATATGCATTAATATTATATGTAAGGTGCTTACAGCAATACATTTCTGGGATCTACCCTCAGGGTTTTTAATTTGATAAGTCTGGGGCAAGGCAAGGGAATCTGTATTTTGTAACACTCCAGTTGGTTTTCATGTACATGATCCTTGAATTCTACCTTTAAAAAACACTATACTAAGGAATGGGATTTAATATAAGTTCATCAACCCTGACTAAAGACACTTGATAGATAAGAAACAAAATAGAACCTAATTAAATAAAATGCCTAAAGTAACACAATGCATTTGACAATATTCTGTTCACTTGATTTCACATTCTTTCGAACTCTCGTATAACTCTGAACCTCTTACTTCTAATTTAGCAAATTCTGCTCTTTATTATATTTATTTCTATACTGGTCTTATACCTCACCACTAGATTAAATACTCTAAGAGTCTAAGAACTTGATCTTATCACTTTTGTATTCTTTCATATGAGCACATATGTCTTACTTAGGGGCATATGCTTATTAAATAATGAGTTGGCATTTACTGTACCAAGAAATAATAAGAGGTTCTCAAATGAGACTTTCCACACAGTTTAAATCCAGCAATCACCTAGCCTTGTCAAAATACTTGAAAATAAACTTATTGATTTCAATAGTCATCCTTCTCTTCTTTAAAAAAATACAGACCAGCTGGGCACAGTGGCTCATGCCTGTAATCCCAGCACTTTGGGAGGCTGAGGCAGGTGGATCACTTGAGATCAGGAGTTCGAGACCACCCTGGCCAACATGGCGAAACCCCCTTTCTACTAAAAATGCAAAAATTAGCTGGGCATGGTGGCACGTGCCTGTAATCTTAGCTATTTGGGAGGCTGAGGCACAAGAATTGCTTGAGCCTGGGATGTGGAGGTTGCAGTGAGCTGAAATCACACCACTGCACTCCAGCCTGGCCGACAGAGCAAAACTCCGTCTCAAAAAATAAACACTAGTTAGAACTGGCAATTGTGGGAACTTAGGAATATACCACACAAAGCTGTATGTCCTGTAACTTGCAAAGTGCATCCTGTACTCAGTACCTATTTAATAAATGTTTACTCCATAAAGTGTGAGGTACTTCTTTCTCAGATTTTGGGACAAGAAAAAGGATAGCAAAAATAGTGCTGAAATAGCCAGTAACTTCTAGCCATACCTGTAACCAAGTTAAATTTCTCCAAAGCATTCCTAGATAACAACTAGTTTACTTTTGATAACTTTAAGTGATCCACACGTATCCATGAAAAAATAAGTAAGCTACAAAGGGAAGTAAGATTTTTACTGCACCTTATCTAAAATTCCAAAGAAATTATAGGGTCTCTTAGGCCCTGGATTTACAGTGGCATCTACACAGATGAACGAATAGTTGCCAAAGGGAGTACTGTGGACATAATGGAAAGAGCCATCTCTACGTACAGCAGAATATTTCCTAAAAAATAGAAGACAGGAGGGTGTTAGTGTAATAAAAAGACAATGCTTTAAAATTCCTTCCCTAATACGCTAGATTTTACCTTCCTTTGAAAACGAGATTTGCTGATCTGACAGAAATATACTAAACTAGATCCACAATGGATAAACTGATGAAATTTCAAAGTTTTTCTCCCATTGTCCCCAAAGACTCATGCAAACTCATTCAATAACCAAATACAAGTTCACCAAGTTCAGAAGTAAGACGGCTCTTTTAGGGAGTCCATTAAATGTTCAAAAAGAAATCAAAATCCAGTGGAACAGTATTTATCAATCATTTGCAGATTTAGTGAGGGCATACTAAGTACCTAGAATTCTTGGTGTAGTGAGATAAAAAAGCTGTCTACTTCTTGAAACAGGACTACAGAGGCTTAATTCACAAGAAAGACTTGCAAAGATGAAGTCTTCAAGCAAGGAGAAAAAATATTAGTCTAGGTCTGGGTTGTTAAATCTTTTTCAGTTCCTAAAGATATATTGATAACATACACAGGGTCTATATCCACTAATGAAAGTTTACCACCTTAAGCGTCAACAGTGTTCAGGTGTCCATAAAACTGCAGAGTGAAGACCAGGAAGAAAGGATGAGTAACACAGTACAGGGCAGGCACTCATTAAGTATGTGTTGAATAAATAAGAAGGAAAGTATAGATTTTATTGGAGGGCATACCTATATTATTCAAATGTCAGAACATTATAAGAAAAGTTGGTATTATCATTTATCTAAGTGTCTTACATGATTTTTACCTAACAGCATATATTTAAAAATACAAATAAACTCCTGAAATTTAATATGCTAGTGGGCCACAACAACCATCAAATATAATGTAACCCGAGTAAATATATGATATAGACATTACAACTAATACTCAGAAATTAGTCAAACCCAATTTAAACAATGTCAATTAGTTCTACTGCCTTTCTTCTTGGTATTTTTTAAATTTCCATTTCAGGGCCAGGCGCGGTGGCTCCCGCCTGTAATCCCAGCACTTTGGAAGGCCGAGGTAGGCGGATCACGAGGTCAGGAGATCGAGACCATCCTGGCTAACATGGTGAAACCCCATCTCTACTAAAAATACAAAAAAATTAGCCGGGCGTGCTGGCGGGCGCCTGTAGTCCCAGCTACTCCAGAGGCTGAGGCAGGACAATGGCTTGAACCCGGGAGGCGGAGCTTGCAGTGAGTGGAGATCGTGCCACTGCACTCCAGCCTAGATGACAGAATGAGACTCTGTCTCAAAAAAAAAAAAAAAAAAATTCTATTTCAGGGTTTTATTCTAAATTAAAATTTTTACTTATATTTTTTCTTGCTTATTTTATGTTCAGTTATTCCTCAGAATCTTTTTTTTTTTTTTTTGAGACGGAGTCTCACTCTGTCGCCCAGGCTGGAGTGCAGTGACGCGATCTTGGCTCACTGCAAGCTCTGCCTCCTCTCTGGGACATTTTTAAGATCAAGATTTAACTTTAATTTTTTTTCTTCAGATTGGTATTTCTGTAATATTTATATTTTTAGTAAAATGCCATTTATTAAATTCAGATAAAGTTTAGGTGGCTAAAAACAAAAATACAAAGGTAAGAAACTTTAAAGTGACTATTCACTTTACTTTCCCAATAACCACTCAGCCCCAAGTCCTGTTAATTACTTTTGAACATGTCTCCTAACTCCCCACAGTCACCATGAAAGATACAAACAGTTAACAGGAAGTGAAAGATTTTCATCTCTGTCCTCTTCCTTTCTCACATTAACAAAAGAGAACAACCTCCTCTTCCAATGTATGGTGACTCTAATCATACAAACTCAGTTAACCAGTGCTTTTTGACCTATCATCCTCAAATTGATGTCACCATCTCCATATCCAAGAACTTAGTTCAGATGGGTATGACTTTTCATTATCATGACTAGACTATTGCAGGACCCTCCTATTTAGTCCACATAACTCCAATATCTCTTTTTTCCTTTTTATCCCATCTTTTTCCTTTTTTATTGTGGGATTGCCATTTATAAAACACTATTTTAATTATGTTACTTGCCTCCTTAAGAACCTATGCTGAATTATGAACTATTACCCATCACATCTCAACTTCTATGCTTGTTACTTAAGACCTCCATAAATTAGCCCTAGGCTGCCTATCCAGTGTCATACTAGTCCTCAGTATGAATGTTAATTCTGGTGACACCAGTTTTCTTACTGCCCCTGCAAAGTTCAGTTTTTGGTTTCCCAGTCTGTAGCTTTTAAAGATCTCTTCATACCTATCTTTTTGCCTAAAATATCCTCCTTGGCATGTCTTACTTCTTCAAATGCTACTCATCTTTTAAGATTGGACACACTTTTTGCTTCTTTTATAAAGTCTTCTCTATGTCCACCCCCATGCTTTTCTAATTTCTCATAGTGATTATCATGTGTACCAAATAATCTAGCATTTCCTCGGCCATTTCTTCATGTTATTTTCTAATTGTTTCCTAAATAATTCTGATGTCCCTTAACTACACTATCAGTTCCTTGAAGGCAAAAGCCAAATTTTTAACATTAACTCATGTATCTCTCACACTATCCAACTAGGGATGGATTCTCAATAAATATTTGCTACATGATTGATTGACAATGCAGAACAAAGCTACTGAATACCCTGAGGCTGAAAAGTGCACTGCAACCAAAAGAGGAATCTAAACATAATGAAACTAGACAATTGGTTTCTAATTCAGAGATCCCTTGCCTTTTCACATTTGTGACAAATAAAGATTATTTTAATATTTGTATGACACAGGATGAAAAGATAAAGCAGCCAGGTGACTAACTGGGCTCTCCAGCCACCACAGAGGCCAGGAGAATCAGTATCTCAGGATTCTGAAAACCCAGTGACCTCAGTAGTGTGGCTGACAAGCTCTGATATAAATGACTTTTCCTATGTATCAATGACTTAAACAATTTTTTAAGCCCGTGTGGAATATTAAAAGTACCATTAGCCAAAACAAAGCATTAAACTGCATGCATATTTCAGAGATATTGTGGTTCCTGACACCACAATAAAGCAAATATTGCAAAAAAGCGAGTCACATGAATTTTTTGGTTTCCCAGTGTGTATGAAAGTTATGTTTACGGCTGGGCGTAGTGGCTTATGCCTGTAATCTCAGCACTTTTGGAGGCCAAGGCAGGCAGATCACTTGAGGTCAGGAGTTTGAGACCAGCCTGGCCAACATGGCAAAACTCTGTCTCTACTAAAAATACAAAAATTATCCAGGCATGGTGGCACATGCCTGTAGTCCCAGCTACTCAGGAGGCTGAGCCAGGAGACTCGCTTGAACCAGGGAGGTGGAGGTTGCAGTGAGCCAAGATGGTGCCACTGCACTCCAGCCTGGGCAACAGAGCAAGATCCTGTCTCAAAAGAAAAAAAAAAAGTTATGTTTACACCATACTATAGTCTATTTAGTGTGCAATTGCATCATGTCTAGAAAAACAATGCACATACCTTAATTTATAAATACTTCTACTGACTGGGCATGGTGGCTCACGCCTGTTACCCTAGCACTTTGGGAGGCCGAGGTGAGTGGATCACTTGAGCCCAGGAGTTCAAGACTAGCCTGGGCAACATTTAGAAACCCTGTCTCTATAAAAAACACAGTAATTAGCCAGGCATGGTGGCTCACGCCTGTGGTCCCAGCTACCCGAGAGGCTGAGGTGGGAGGATCACTTTGAGCCTGGAAGGTGGAGATTGCAGTGAGCTGAGATCGCGCCATTGCACTCCAGCCTGGGTGACAGAGAGACCCTGTCTCAAAAAAAAAACCAAAAAAACAAAAAAAAACCTTACTGCTAAAAATGCTAATGATCATCTGAGCCTTCAGCGAGTCAAAATCTTTTTACTGGTGGAGGGTCTTGTTTTGACGTTGGTGGCTGCTGACTGATCAGGGTGGTGGTTGGGGTGGCTGTGGTAATTTCTTAAAATAAGGTAACCATGAAGTTTGCTACATCAATTGACTTTTCCTTTCACAAGAATTTCTTGGCCGGGCGCGGTGGCTCACCCCTGTAATCCCAGCACTTTGGGAGGCCGAGGTGGGCAGATCACGAGGTCAGGAGTTCAAGACCAGCCTGGCCAATATGGTGAAACCCTGTCTCTACTAAAATATAAAAATTAGCGGGTCATGGTGGCAGGCGCCTGTAGTCCCAGCTACTTAGGAGGCTGAGGCAGGAGAATTGCTTGAACCCGGGAGGCGGAGGTTGCAGTGAGCCAAGATCGCACCACTGCACCCCAGCCTGGGTGACAGAGCAAGCCTCCATCTCAAAAAAAAAAAAAAAAAAAGAATTTCTCTATAGCATGCAATGCTGCTTGATAGCATTTTACCCAAAGAAATCCAATCCTCTCCAACACTGTTATTGCTTTATCAACTAAGTTTATGTATAATTCTAAATCCTTTGTTGTCATTTCAAAAATGTTCACACCATATTTAGAAGGAGTAGATTCCTTCTCAAGAAACCACTTTTTCTGCTCATCCATAAGAAGCAACTTGTCATCTGTTCAAGTTTTATCATAAGATTGCAGCAATTTAGTCACCTCTTCAGGCTCCACTTCTAATTCTAGTTCTCTTGCTATTTCCACATTTACAGTTCTTCCTCCACTGAAGTCTTGAACCCCTCAAAGTCATCCATGAGGGTTGGAATCAACTTCTTCCCTCCTGTTCATGTTGTTATTTTAACCTCCTCCCATTAATTGCAACTGTTCTTAATGGCATCTAGAATGGTGAATCCTTTCCATAAATTTTTCAATTGACTGCCCACATCCATCAGAGGAATCATAATCTAAGGCAGCTATAGTCTTATGAAATGTGTTTCTTAAATAGTAAGAGTTGAAAGTTGAAATTACTCCTTGATCCATTGGCTATAGAATGAATACTGCGCTAGCAGGCATGAAAATAACATTCATCTCCTTGTACATCTTCCTCAGAGCTCTTGCGTGACCAGGTGCATTGTCAATGACCATTGATATTTTGAAGGGAATATTTTTTTCTGAGCAGTAGTTCTCAATAGTGGACTTAAAATATTCAGTAAACCATGCTGTAAAGAGATGTGCTATTATTATCCAGGCTTTGTTGTTCCATATATAGAACACAGGCAGAGTAGATTTAGCATAACGCTTAAGCACCCAAGGATTTTCAGAATGGTAAGTGGGCATTGGCTCCACTTAAAGTCATCAGCTATGGAGCAGGAACCCACATCCAGGAACAGAGCCCTTTGCTCCTCCCTCAGAATGAATGGAGACCAGAAATCAGACATTTCTGTCCAAGAAAAGCAGGATTTCATTCAGTGCTTCTCCCAGATTGTTAGGGTGCTGACTGAGGATGAGATGGGGCACCCAGAGACAGGAGATGCTATCACCCAGCTCACGGAGGTCCTGTAGTACAATGCCATTGGAGGCAAGTATCACTGGGCTTTGATGGTGCTAGTAGCATTCTGGGAGCTGGTGGAGCCGAGGAAACAGGATACTGAGAGTCTCCAGCGGGCCCTGACTATGGGCTCGTGTGTGGAACTGCTGCAAGCTTTCTTCCTGGTGGCAAATGACATCATGGATTCATCCCTCACCCACTGGGGACAGATCTGCTGATATCAGAAGCCGGGCGCGGGTTTGGATGCCATCAATGTTGCTATGCTTCTGGAAGGGAAGCATGTATGTACCGCCTGCTGAAGCTCTATTGCCATGAGCAGCCCTATTACCTGAACCTGATCCAGCTCTTCCGGCAGAGTTTCTATCAGACTGAGATTGGGCAGACCCTGGATCTCATCATAGCCCCCCAGGGCAATGTGGATCTTGGCAGATTCACTGAAAAGAGGTACAAATCTAGTGTCACGTACAAGGCAGTTTCTACTCCTTCTACCTTCCTGTAGCTGCAGCCATGTATATGCAGGTATTGATAGAGAGAAGGAGAATACCAATGCCAAGAAGATCCTGCTGGAGATGGGAGAGGGAGAGTTCTTTCAGATCAGGATGATTACCCTCACCTCTTTGGGGACCCCAATGTGACCGCCAAAGTTGGCACTGACATCCAGGACAACAAATGCAGCTGGCTGGTGGTTCAGTGTCTGCAACGGGCCACTCCAGAACAGTACCAGATTCTGAAGGAGAATTTTGGGCAGAAGGAGGCCGAGAAGGTGGCCCCGGTGAAGGCAGTATATGAGGAGCTGGATCTGCCGGCCATGTTCTTGCAATAATAGGAAGACAGTTACAGCCACGTTATGGGTCTCATTGAACAGTACGCAGCTCCCCTGCCCCCAGTCATCTTTCTGGGGTTGGCGCGCAAAATCTACAAGCGGAAAAAGTGACCTAGAGACTGCAAGGGTGGGGAGAGGAGGCCCTAAATAAATTATTGTGCAACTTTCTCAACAACAACAAAAAAAAATCAGCTGCATGGACCTCTAGCAATAGTCAGCCCATCCTTTGAAGCCAGGGATTGACTTTTCTCTAGCTATAAAAGTCCTAGATGGCATCTTCTTCCAAAAGAAGGCTGTTTCATTTACATGGAAAATCTGTTGTTTAGCGCAGCCACCTTCATCAATTATCTTAGCTAGATCTTCTGGGTCACTTGCTGCAGCTTCTCCATCAATCAGCACTTGCTGCGTCACACTGCATATTTATGTTATGGAGTTAACTTCTTTCCTTAAACCTCATGAACCAAACTCTGCCAGCTTCCAACTTTTCTTCTGCTGCTTCCTTACCTCTCTCAGCCTTCATAGAATTGAAGGGAGTTAGGATCTTGCTCTGGATTAGGCTTTGGCTTAAGTGAATGTTGTAGGTGGTTTGATTGTCTATCCAGAACACGAAAACGTTCTCCACATCAGCAGTAGGACTGTTTCACTTTCTAATCATTCATCTGTTCACTGGAGGAGCACTTTTAATTTCCTTCAAGAACTTTTCCTTTGCCTTCACAACTTGGCTCACTGCTCCAGCTCAAGAGGCCTAGCTTTCAGCCTATCTGAAAGCCTTTCAACAGCCTTCCTCACCAAGCTTCATCATTTCTACCTTTTGATTTAAAGTGAGAGATGTTGGGCCCTTCCTTTCACTTGAACACTTAGAGGCCATTGTAGGGTTATTAACTGGCCTAATTTTAATATTGTTGTGTCTCAGGGAATGGGGAGGCTGGAGGAGAGGGAGAGAGATGGGAGAACAGCTGATTGGTGCAGCACTCAGAACACATACAGCACTTATTGATTAAGTTCCTGGACTTATATGGGCAAGGTTTGTAGCACCCCAAAACAATTACAATAGTAACATCAAAGGTCACTGATCACAGATCACCATAAAAGATATAATGAAAAAGTTTGAAATATTGTGAGAATTACCAAAATGAGACACAGAGACAGGAAGTGAGCACATGCTGTTGGAAAAATGGCTCCCATAGACTTGCTCAAGGCAGGCTTGCCACAAACTCTCAATTTGAAAAAATGCAACATCTGCAAAGTGCAATAAGGCGAAGCATAATAAAACGAGGTATGCCTGTATATGAAACAGAAAGAATTAAAGGAAAGAAAAACTCTAAACAAAAAGAAATGCATCTGTCACAAAAAGACAAAAAGGCTCATTTTTTAAATTACTAGAGATTCTTTATAGAAAAATTTTACCTGTTAAAAAATGTTTTCAGCTAGGCACAGTAGCATGTGCCTGCAGCCCCAGCTACACAGGAGTCTGAGGCAGGAGGATCGTTTGAGCTCAGTTCAGAGCTAGCCTGGGCAAAATAGCGAGACCCCTGCCTCTTAAAATGTTTTTTTAAAGTTTTCTCTCATTCATTGAGTTGACCACACCCTCCTTATAACACTGACTCTACATAGTGGTCTGTCTTCTGTTTATTACAGTACCTGTAATAATTCTTGATGCTGTCCAGACTTGGAATATTGAATGCATCTAATTTAAAAAAAAAAAAAAAGCAAACATTCATCCACATTAAAAAAAGAATACAAACATTTTCTTTAATGACTAAGGGAAAATAATTCTTTCTATAACAATTCTTCCACACACACCCCCAGGGTAGAGCCGTTCCATTTATTATTCAGCAAACAGTGGGAGGACTAGGAGAGGGGCACATCCTGGACAACCTCCCATTATTGCCATGGGTTTCAGTTTGCTTCCCCCACCTAGAAGTGCTTAGCCTAAGGAAAGGGTAGACTCAGCCCCTGACTCAGAACAGAGTCCAGATGGCCCTGGCCCTACCAGCAATTCATGAACTCCCACCATGGCCCATCTCTCTAGGGCCACTGAGCCTCTCCTAGAACCAGTATGGCTAGACTCAGGGTTGCTGAGTCCAATCCAAGCAGGTTAGGCTCCAAGTTCTAGACCCTAGTCTGGCTAAAACCCTGGAATCTTGATTCCAGGATGTGGGTGGGATGGACTTAGGTCCCAAGCTCCAGGCTAAGCCAGGGGCCTTCAGGGCTGCAGCAGGTAGCTGCCTTCATGGCTAGGTTTCTTGGGCAGTGGTACCTTTTCAGGATAGGGGCCAGGGCTGGAGTTGGGACTAAATCTGTAGAGACAGTCAATATTGGCATAGCAAGAGTGTAGGCCCGGCAGAGAATGACTCGGAGCAGAAGCAGCAAGAAGCCTATGAGGCGTTGCAGATGACGGCAATGAACACCCCCTGGGAA
The DNA here is from genome assembly GCF_000001405.40 of Homo sapiens. Taxonomy (NCBI): domain Eukaryota; kingdom Metazoa; phylum Chordata; class Mammalia; order Primates; family Hominidae; genus Homo; species Homo sapiens. Next base: position 43,137,839 of record NC_000015.10, on the reverse strand, counting down.
ATGGCTGCCCCCATGACAGGCAGCCCACCCTCAGACCAGCACAGACAGTAGAGCTGCCTCAATGGCAAGGCCTGTGCCAAGGTGGGACTCTGGTATGACCAGCCTTCCATGGAGGCTGTCCTGTCTACACACTCCATGATTCCCGGGCAGTGGAGATGTCCACCTGCAGTCTTAAGCCAAAGTACAGCCCGGTGCACATCTGTGGGAGGGTTGGGACAGTGGGATGTTCAGATTTAACTGAGGCTCCAGCAGGGGCAACTGGCCCACCGCAAGCTCTCTGCCTCTGCTGGCACAGACTTAGCTAGGCATGGCGTGACTGTAGCAGCCTCTGTCATCTTTCTATAACACTTTTAATGGCAGAATGCCAATCAATTAGATTGATACTTTAAAATTTTGATATCTTAACAAAATTCAGATTATCTAGAAACTTATTTAAGGCACTTAGTATACTAGAGAAAAACAGGTACTTTGAATTCTATACCACTCAGAATAAATAACTTTGAAATTATAAGATTGAACTGTAGTTGCTCTTGTCTTAATCATGTGATTCTAAAAGCCAGCAAGAAGTGGATTCATGCCTGATCTACTGATCAGATAAAGTAGACAAATGAAGTACTTAGCTAATAAAAAAGTCAACCTTTATAAATCAAACAAATACACTACCATCAGGACTCTTTTGGAGAAGAGTTCATTTCCTTACCAACACAATGATAATCTTAAAAAGGGAAAGGATTATCCATTTCCCTGTTCATGCCTATGGAGATTTGTTTGCAATTTAAACTTTTTAAGCTAGGTGCAGTGACTCACACCTGTAATCCCAGCACTTTGGGAGAATGAGGTAGGAGGATCACTTGAGCCCAGGAGTTTGAGATCAGCCTAAGCAACATAGCAAGAACCCAACTCCACAAAAAAAAACTTCAAAAATTAGCAGGGTATGGTGATGCATGCTTGTAGTCCCAGCTACTTGTGGGGCTGAGGTGGGAGGATCATTTAAGCTCAGGTCAAGGCTGCAATGAGCTATACTCACACCACTGCACTCCAGGCTGAGTGACAGAGCAAGACCCTGTCAAAAAAATAATAATAAGCCAGGCGTGGTGGCTCACGCCTGTAATCCCACCACTTTAGAAGGCTGAGCAGGGGCAGATCATTTGAGGTCAGGAGTTCGAGATCAGCCTGGCCAATGTGGTGAAACCCCACCTCTTCTAAAAATACCAAAAAAAAAAAAAAATTAACTGGGCAGGGTGGTACCTGTCTGTAATCCCAGCTACTCAGGAGGTTGAGGCAGGGGAATCGCTTGAACTCGGGAGACGAAGGTTGCAGTGAGCTGAGATTGCACTACTGCACTCCAGCCTGGGTGATAGAGTGAGACTCTGTCTCACAAAATAATAATAATAATACTAGTAAATTTTAAAAAGAAAAAATAAAAGCTAAGTTTTTAAAATTTGCACACAGTAAAATTCATCCTTTGTGACTTACAGTTCTATGGATTTTGACAAATATATAGTGAACCTGAAGTCTACCACCACAATCAAAATACAGACTAGTTCCATCACCACCAAAAATTCTCCATGATGCTTGTTTGCAGTTAATCTCTCTCCCAATCCCTATCCTCTGGTAACTACAATCTGTTCTCTGTCTATTGTTTTGCCTTTCCTGAATGTCATATAAATGAAATCATACAGTATGCAGACTTACGGGTTTGCCTTCTTTCACTTAGCAAAATGTATATTTATTAAAACATCTGTCTGCATGAGTTTTGCTAAAACTCATATTTTTTCCATGTACAGAAAAAAGGACTGGGGGATGGGGGCAGGGGGAGGGATAGCATTAGGAGAAATACCTAATGTAGATGACAGGTTGATGGGTGCAGCAAACCACCATGGCACATATATACCTATGTAACAAACCTGCACATTCTGCACATGTATCCCAGAACTTAAAGTATAATAATAATAATAAAAAAAGAAGCAGCATATGTCACAAAAAAAGGACCATACCAATTGTCATCTCAAAGGCTAACAATGACATTTGAAGTTTTAAAACCACATTATATAGTTGTATTTCAGAGATGTGACCTTTAGTATATGTAAATGTCCCACTTTATAATTTTACAATCTAAGTTGGAAAATCTAGGTTCCTGAAGGGGGAAAAAAACTCTTGTCTTTATTGTATCTGGCTCTTGGCTCTTACCATGATTTCCTTTGATATCCAGCCACTTGGTTTTTTCCATGACTCTTGTCTTCTTCAGAATACCCTGGTAGGTTTGCCATTCTACCTCATGCTGCCTGGATCCCAACTGTTCCTTTGTTTTGGCATCTGTCAGGTCTCCTGTAGGTTTACACAAGAATTGAATCACAATGCAAAATAAACTACTGGGGGTTCCATTTTTTTTAGATATGTACACTGAAGGAACAAGGATACTTAAAGCACTCAACGTGTATAAGCATAACTGCTCACGAGACCACCAATGTCCAAATCGAGCCATCTAAACTAACAAGATTTTCTCAGCAAGGACTTTGTTTCTTATAGGTTAGCAAATGCCTGTTCAATCTCCTGTGATATTCGAAATGGGTTGTTAAAAAAATCTTTAAAGAGAACAGTACAAAATGCATCAATAGACTCTGATAAAATGAAAATGATTTATAAGAAATTCCAGTACTCTGAGTGGCTGCCTAATATCTATGGCAACCATATTTTCCAAACCACAAAATCAGAATATGTGATTTGACCAAGTATTATTTTTACAGCAAGAAGCAATGTGGCAGGTGGAATTGGACAACAAAATACCAAAATTTATAGAGAACTAAACAGAAAACTTTTTATGGAGGCTCATCCATTAAATCAGAACTGATACCCTTTCATGTCAGCAGAGATGCTTCAATAAGGTGGATGAGTGATGAATTCCCCAGTAAGCAAGATAGATAGATGCTCCTTTAGCTTCTTCTCCCCATTACAGTTTGAAAGCAAATAAAGTGTTTGAAGAGTCTAGAAAACTTAAGTCATAAAACTATCAAAGGATGAAGAAAAAGTGCCCTGGGTCACCGGAAGCCTCAAACAACTGAAAATATAAGATTAATAATGTAAAGAAAATAGAAAAGTTAGCAAAAGAAGAGAACTTCTGATTCGTGGTTACAGGCTTTTCCCTAATTCTCACAACCAGAACTGTAACAACAACAAGAACAAAAACCAGATACAAATATATCAGACAACAGACTGACATGAGAACCAGGAGCCTTGCTTCTACTGCTTTGACAAAACCTTGCTACGTCAAATCATTTTGCCTGGATCTTGACTCATTCAGTTATCCATAGGCAAAGGGGTTAGAATGTCCAATCTCTTCCACCTCACAGAGCTCACCTGGGGCTGTGGCTATACTGCTCCCAACGTCCCCAAAATGAAAAGCCACAGCCCTGGCTAGAGTTCTACCATGCGGACCACAGACCACCACCACAGCACGGCAAGCCTCCCTACCTGTTGCTAGGACGAGAGCTGGTTGAATGATGTCAATAGTTTCAGAACAGAATTTCTCTAAGTCTACCGCTCTGCCTGGATCTCGAAACCTGCTCAGGTGAATGTCGGATATCTGCCGAAAACAGGTATTGAACAGAGAGATCTGAGCCAGGAAGAGGCAGCATGGGGAGGGGCGGCTCAGCGGCTCTCTCGGGCAGAAGGAAAAGGCAAAGAGGCAATGCATAACGAACCCCCCAGGTAAGGACAGGGCCAGCACTAGACAGAGCCTCGAGTTACAATCTGACTGAGGTCCCCAGCCTGGAGCGTGGGGCCCAACACCCGCAAGGGTCCCACCGCACGGTGCCCGATCTGCACCTGCCTCCCGGCCCGGCTTCCCGCCGCGTCACCTGCAGGCCCCAGAAGATGTTGCTGTCTCCGGGCCCTGGCGCAGGGTGCGGCCTCCTGGGGGGCGCGGGGCGCGGCAGCGGCGAGGGCTGGCCCGCCAGGCCGTAGTGCTCCAAGAGCATGGCCACCAGCGCTGCGGCCGCCAACCCCGCGACCACCCTGAGAGCCAGCACTGCAGCCATGCCGCCCGCCCGCCGGGGCGCGGCCCTCGCTGATCCCGCGCAGGACCGCGCGGCGCTCCCGGGAGCCGCTTTGCCTGCACTTCCGGACTCTATTGTCGCAGGGCCAGAGCTGGATGCGGGGCCGGCGCCGGATGCGGGGCTGGAGCCAGACACTGGGCCTAGGGTGCTGCGCCCGTCAGCCGCCGCCCAGCACCTGCCCCTCTCTGGCCGCGCAAGTGACTGGGCTCGTTTTGCATAAGTAATACGATCACAGAAAAGAGAACCGAAACTCTGAACACCAATGACGGTGGCCGAGTGGTGGCGGGGAAGGAGACCGGGACCAGTGGCCGGGAGGCGGGGGCTAGAGTCCTGGCTCCGCCTTGGTCAGTCACTCCTGACCTCAGTGGGTCGATCTCCTTACCTGTAAAACGGAGTTAATAACACCTTCCGTGCGCACTTTGCAGGGTTGTTGTATCAAAGTGAGAATGTATGAGAACGCCTTTTAAATTGTCTCACAAATGTGTCAGGTGGCTTCCTCTGGCCCCTTCTGATTATTAACGTACCTCCATAGGTTTTCTTTTCTTTCTCTTCCCCTTCCCTCTACCATTCCCCTTTCCTTCACTTCTCAGACAGGGTCTCTATCCCCCAGGCAGGAATGCAGTGGCGCGATCATGGCTCACTGCAGCCTCGACCTCCCTGACCTTAAGTAGCTGGAATTACAGGCTCGCACCACCACGCCCAGCTAATTTTTTAAATATAGTTTTTGTAGAGACTGGGATCTGTCTGTGTTGCCCGGGCTGGCCTCGGAACTCCTAGGTTCAAGCGATCCTCCCGCCTCCGCCTCCCAAAGTGCTGGGACTACAGGCTGAGCCACCGCGCCCGGCAGCATAGGTTTTCTATAGATGTAATTCCTATGTTTTGTGAAAGTTATTTTTCCCTTAAACTGATTTCACATGCACCTGAGTAAATAATATTGCAACACGGTAGTATACCATTCATTTAATAAGTATTAAATACTTCCTATGGGCCAGACCCAGGAGAATTAGATTCAGCCCTACCTTAATTTATCTAACAACTCCCTTATTGTTGATTTTTTAATTGTTTATTATATATTGCTGTTCTGAGTAATTTTTTTCACGTCTTCCCTTTATTGAAAAAAATTTTAGAAAATGGCAGTTAATAAAAGGCACAAACAAATCAACAGGGATATACTAGTGGAAAACACAATATAAAACTAACATGTCATTGGCTTCTTTAATTGGTTAAGAGCACAAAATGTAACAGGCAAAAGGTCTGTTTCAAACAAATTAAAAAGCTATGTGTTTTTTAAATTCTCCCCAAATCAGATATATACACACCCACAAAAATAGTGTGTGAAGGAAAACTGTCATACACAAGAAGTCGTATCCTGAATTCTTCAAGGAAATACATGTGGAAATAGGAATTAACAGAGTCAGCAACAGATTAATTTTTTATTAATTGAGTCTTAAAATGCTACATAGCCCAAAGCTATACTATATAAAGTACTACTAGGTACAAAGGAAAGTCTGTACAGCTTTTAGCAAAACTGCTTTCCCAGAAAAGCAAATTAAAATAATGCAATCAGCAGACCCAGGAGACTACAGCTAGACATCAGAGCTACAACTTCTCATATCTCTCTCAGAAAATCCTATTTATCCAGAACAGACTAAAATTTCAGGACAAAACAGGGATTTTTAAACTTTTTTTACTTTATCCATTTTAAATTCTTTTTATCTCCCCCACCCCACAAACCAGTAATTCAGCAAGATCCAACAGAAAGAGGGCTACTTTTAGAATTGGCTATTTTATTTTTCTTTTTTTTTTTTTTTTTTTTTGAGACGGAGTCTCGCTCTGTCGCCCAGGCTGGAGCGCAGTGGCACGATCTCGACTCACTGCAAGCTCCACCTCCCAGGTTCAGGCCATTCTCCTGCCTCAGCCTCCCCAGTAGCTGGGACTATAGGCACGTGCCACCATACCTGGATAATTTTTTGTATTTTTTAGTAGAGACGGGGTTTCACCGTGTTAGCCAGGATGGTCTTGATCTCCTGACCTTGTGATCTGCCCGCCTCGGCCTCCCAAAGTGCTGGGATTATAGGCGTGAACTACCGCACCCGGCCTTATTTTTCTTTCTACGGCGAGACTGTCATGGAGCTTGGATATTTCAGGCTCATGTGCATCCATGACCAGTGTCCCACTGTGGTCAAAAAACTTAGCAATGGACTTGGTGAATTCGGCTTCCCGCTGCTGCTTTGTTCTCCCACTGATGAAGGTCAGCTTAGAGGTGTATTTGTCATCAAACCTTTTAAGACTGGAGGACAGTTGCCAAATATCATCAGGATCCATTCCTATAGGATCTTTCCTGTGGGCCACAAGAAAGATGCTCCTCTCCTTATATGAGGTATAAATGGTCAAAATCCCCATCATCATAAAATAGGATATGACGCACAAAGCCAAAATGGGTTTGGACTATGGAAAGGGGTGCATATAATCCCAAATCAAAGCCACTATGGCAAAGAAACAGGAGATTGTACAGATGGTAAGGCGACCATCAATGAGACCAAAATTCTCCACATATTTGTATTTTTCCAGAAGTAACTTTTTGGCAGAATCATCCAAAGAGTTTTTCACAGCTAATCCATCCCACTTGTCAATTTTTACAGGCTTATCATCTGTCTTCCACTTATCCAACAAGCTGCTATGGCCACTGCCTGTGCCGCACCTGGAACCACCGCCAGCCCCACTACTGCCTCCACTACCACTGGTTCTCCCACCCTGATCAGCTGCTTGCTGCTGCCATCTTATCCGCTTCTGCCTGTTCTGAGTAAATGTATACACGTGTGTGTGTGTGTATATATATATATATATATATATGTTGTTTTTTTTTTTTTTTTTTTTTTTTTTGAGACAGAGTCTCGCTCTGCCACCCAGGCCAGAGTGCAGTGGCGCCATCTCTGCTCACTGCAAGCTCCACCTCCCGGGTTCATGCCATTCTCCTGCCTCAGCCTCCTGAGTAGCTGGGACTACAGGCACCCGCCACCATGCCCGGCTAATTTTTTGTATTTTTAGTAGAGACGGGTTTTCACCATGTTAGCCAGGATGGTCTCAATCTCCTGACCTCGTGATCCACCCGCCTTGGCCTCCCAAAGTGCTGGGATTACAGGCATAAGCCACTGCGCCTGGCTGAGTGAATATTTTTACACAAGTAGTGCTCTTTAAAAAAAACTCCCTTTGAGTTTTTTCCTTGGGGCATGTTGTCAGTATTGGATTTATGCCAATTTCAATTAAATTGAATTTTCAATTTAAAATTTTCAATTAAATTTTGGAGTACCTTTGGAATAGAATACATTGATCTAATCAGAAAACATAAAGAAACATAAAGGTAAGTAGGCAAAGAGCTATAGTTCATTATCTTAAGAGCTTATGTAGGAGAGAGACATACATAAGTAAGTTTAATATATGAAGAATATGCTTTTTGCCACAAGAGATGACCAGATATAAAAGGCAGGGGGAAGGTTAAAACTAGGAGAGAGAAGCTGGGCACGGTGGCTCACGTCTGTAATCCCAGCACTTTGGGAGGCTGAGGCGTGCAGATCACCAGGTCAGGAGATCCAGACCATCCTGGCTAACACGGTGAAAGCCCGTCTCTAATAAAAATACAAAAAAATTAGCCAGGCATGGTGGCACGTGCTTGTAGTCCCAGCTACTCGGGAGGCTGAGGCAGGAGAATCACTTGAACCCATTAGGTGGAGGTTGCAGTGAGCTGAGATTGGACCACTGCACTCCAGACTGAGTGACAGAGCAAGATACTGTCTCAAACACCACCACCAACAACAACAAAAGCAACAACAAACTAGGAGACAGTACATCTTTGGAAAGAATCAAGAAAAGTTTAATTATGGAGGCCACATATAAAGGATGGGTAATATTTCTTGACTGGCAGAGATTGAGGTTGGGGTGGGTAAAAGCACTTTGCACTAAGACCTAACAACACGAACCAAAGCATTAAGATGAGAAAATGCAGGGCATGTTGCAGGGACAGTGAGTGTTTCAGTTTGGCTAGGCTATGCCAAGAGGAATAATGGTAATTAGACCAGACCCTTGGCTTGAGGCACATTGAGGAAGGCCTTTGTAAATGCCAAGAGTGAAGACAACAGAGTTCTGCTTTGGCAAGATGGATCTGGCAACGGCATAGAGAACTGGCTGTCCAGAGGATAGGTGTGAGAGAGAATCCTGTTGGAAGGAGATTGCAATAATCCAGGTAGTGGGGTAATTACAAAGACCTGAAGAAGAAAGATGGGAGAATACAACATTGAGATTAGAAAGGAATAATCAGATATAACAATAATTTTAAAAATAAAAACTATAGAACATGGCACCTGATTGGATATTCAAGGGAAGAAAATAAAAGTTTTGTTTTTTTTTTTAATAGTGCCAAAATGTGGAACCTAGTGACTGAGGGACCAGGGCTGTAATGTATGAATGGAGAGCATTACCCATATCAATAAAATAAAATTTTGGTTTTGGTTTTATCTAATACTACACCACTAGAAAACATGTGGAAGGATATTTTAAAACCAAATTTGGGAGACATGATTGAGATGATCTAATTTAAAACCCAAGGAATGTGGCATATGTAAAATGCATTTGCAAAAACCTTAGAGTATGGGGAACCCGCCCCCGATATTTCAACATAGGTTCTTTCTATTTTCCATAAGTGTCAGCTGGCTGAGAAATAAAGAGAAAGAGCACAAAGAGAGGAATTTTACAGCTGGGCCACCGGGGGTGACATCACATATCGGGAGGACCATGATGCCCACCTGAGCTTCAAACCGGCAAGTTTTTTATTAAGGGTTTCAAAAGGGGAGGGAGTGTAAGGACAGGGAGTAGGTACAAAGATCACATGCTTCAAAGGGCAAAAAGCAGAACTACTAATAAGGGTCCAACAAAGATCACAATGCAAAGGGCAAAAGCAGAACTACTGATAAGGGTCTATGTTCATCGGTGCACGTATTGTCTTGATAAACATCTTAAATAACAGAAAACAGGGTTTGAGAGCAGAGAACTGGTCTGACCACTAATTTACCAGGGCAGTTTTTCCCCACCCTAGTAAGCCTGAGGGTACTGCAGGAGACCAGAGCGTATCTCAGTCCTTATCTCAACCACATGAGACAGACACTCCCAGAGCCTCCGTTTATAGACCGCCCCCCAGGAATGCATTCCTTTCCCAGGATATTAATATTAATATTTCTTGCTAGGAAAAGAATTTAGTGATATCGCTCCTACTTGCACATCCATTTACAGGCTCTCTGCAAGAAGAAAAATATGGCTCTTTTTGCCCGACCCCACAGGCAGTCAGACCTTATGGTTGTCTTCCCTTGTTGCCTAATCATCGCTGTTATTCTGTTCTGTTTCAAGGTGCACTGATTTCATATTTTTCAAACACACATGTTTTACAATCAATTTGTGCAGTTAACACAATTATCACAGTGGTCCTGAGGTGACGTATATCCTTAGCTTATGAAGATAACAGGATTAAGAGATTAAAGTAAAAACAGGCATAAGAAATTATAAAAGTATTATTTGGGAACTGATAAATGTCCATGAAATCTTTACAGTTTATGTTCCTCTGCCACGGCTCCAGCCGGTCCCTCCGTTTAGGGTCCCTGACTTCCCGTAACATTAGAGAAACCTCAAAGATACAGGAAATCATTTTCTAGAAATGGGGCACAACAAGAGGAAGAATCATGCTGTTAAAGTATTTGGACAAGGTCCAAAGTCACAAAAGCCAGCAGTCTCAATTTCAGACACTGTACTCCAACCAAGCCACTTCACTCATGGTGTTCAAAGTGAATAGGAACAGGATATTATTTATTTAATGATGGTTAATGATTCTCCAGGGAAATACTGGTTTGACCAGCTAATCACTTCAATTCAGCATAAAAGGTGTCTCAGTTCCTGACAGTCAAAGCAGAAAGGTAAATAGAGTTCTTCTTATAAAGAAAGCAGGCAGCAATTCACCATGAAAGCAAACTTACCTAGAACCAAAGTCAAGGGAGAATGTATCACTCAGACATTTTACAGTACAACGTACATTGTCACCAACAGCCATATATTGAATTAAGTGACTCTCATAAACATAAGATGCAGAAATTGTCTTTTTTTGGGCGAGGGGGGGTGGTCGGGGGGCGGAGGATAAAGTTTTGCTCTTGTTGCCCAGGCTGGAGTACAATTATGGGATCTTGGCTCACTGCAACTTCCACCTCCTGGGTTCAAGTGATTCTGCTTCAGCCTCCCAAGTAGCTGGGATTACAGGAGCCCGCCACCATGCCTGACTAATTTTTAAAAATATTTTTAGTAGAGACAGGGTTTCTTCATGTTGGCTAGGCTGGTTTCAAACTCCTGACCTCAAGTGATCCACCTGCCTTGGCCTCCCAAATTGCTAGCATCACAGGCGTGAGCCACTACACCCAGCCATAATTGTCTTCAAATCACTATCTTACTGACTTTGTTAAAAATACAAAAATATAGTATTAAATCGTTTTGTGAAGTCATTTATATAGAGAGCTAAAGTAATGTAATTAAAATAGGTTGCATATATATAAAGTTTGTTTGTTTGTTTGTTTGTTTGTTTTTTGAAACAGAGTCTAGGTCTGTCTGTCGTCCAGGCTGGAGTGCAGTGGTACAATATTGGCTCCCTGCAACCTCCGCCTCCTGGGTTCCAGCAATTCTTATGCCTCAGCCTCCCAAGTAGCTGGGATTACAGACGTGGGCCACGACGTACGGCTAATTTTTGTATTTTTTAGTAGAGACGGGGTTTCACCATGTTGGCCAGGCTCGCCTCAAACTCCTGGCCTCAAGTAATCTGCCCGCCTCGGCCTCCCAAAGTGCTGGGATTAAGATTATTTTTAATTATTTTTTTAAACTGTGGTAAAATAGGCTGAGCACAGTGGCTCACCCCTGTAATCCCAACACTTTGGGAGGCCAAGGCAGGCAGATTGCTTGAGCCCAGGAGATTGAGACCAGCCTGCACAACATGGCAAAACCCTGTCTCTACTAAAAATACAAAAAATTAGCAGGGTGTGGTGGGCGCATGCCTGTAGTCTCAGCTACCTGGGAGGCTGAGGTGGGAGGATCACCTAAACCCCGGTGATCAAGGCTGCAGTGAGCCGAAATTTTGCGCCACTGCACTCCAGCCCAAGCAATAGAGTGAGACGTTGTGTAATTCAGTGCAATTAAGTACATCCATATTGTTATGCAACCATCAGCCCTTAACATAATGGCTTCAAGGTTCATCCATGTTGTAGCATGTGCCACAATTTCCTTCCGTTTAAGGCTGAATAATATTGCATTGTATGTATAGACCACATTTTGTTTATCCATTCATCTGTTGATGGATACCTGAGTTGTTTTCCTCTTTTGGCTATTGTGTATGATGCTACAATGAACACTGGTGTGTACTAGACATTTTTAAAGCTTTTTTTTTTAACTTTAATTTTAGGTTTAGGGGTACAGGTGCAGGATTGTTATTCAGGTAAACTGCATGTCACAGGGGTTTGGTGTACAGATTATTTAGTCACCCAGATAATAAGCACAGTACCCAACAGGTTATTTTTTTTTCTGATCCTCTCCCTCCTCCTACCCTCCACCCTCAAGTAGGTCCGTGTGTGTCATTTCCCTCTTTGTGTCTATGTGTTCTCGTTGTTTAGCTCGCACTTTTAAGTGAGAACATATGGTATTTGGTTTTCTGTTCCTGCATTAGTTTGCTTAGGATAATGGTCCCCAGATCCATCCATGTTGCGGCAAAGGACATAATCTCATTCTTTTTTATGGCTGTGTAGTATTACATGGTGTATGTGTACCACATTTCCATTATCCTGTCTACAATTGATGGGCATTTAGGTTGATTCCATGTCTTTGCTATTGTGAATAGTGCTGCAGTAAATATTTGCATGCATGTGTTTTTATGGTAGGATGAACTATTTTACTTTAGGTATATACGCTTTTTAAGCTTTTGAGGGAGCACTCCTTTTATTCCTTAACAAAACAGAAATTTGGGAAGAATTTCATCTAGGTAATCAATGCTCTTTACAAGAAACCTGAAACACCTGCAAAAGTAAAAAAATCACAGATCAAGGAATTTCTGACTTATTACAACATGGATCAACCTTAAGGACATTATACTAAGTGAAATAAGCCAGTCACAAAAAGATAAACACTGTGTGATTCCACTTATATAAGGTACCTAGAGTAGTCAAATTCACAGAGACAGAAAGTGGAATGGTGGTTTGCAGAGACTGGGAGGAAGTGGGGATGGGGAGTTAATGTTTAATAGGAACACTGTTTCAGTTTTGCAAGATGAAAAAAGTCTGGAGATGGATAGTAGTGATGGTTTTACAGTATGGATGTACAATCGGCCCTCCATATCCATGGGTTCTGCATCTGTGGATTCAACCAACTGTGGATCAAAAATATTCAGGAAGGCTGGGTGTAATGGCTCGTGCCTGTAATCTGAGCACTTTGGGAGGCTGAGGTGGGCGGATCATTTGAGGTCAGGAATTCAAGGCTAGCCTGGCCAACTTGGTGAAACCCTTAGTCTCTAATAAAAATACAAAAAATTAGCTGGGCCTGGTGGTGCACACCTGTAATCCCAGATATTCAGGAGGCTGAGGCAGAAGAATAACTTGAACCCAGGGGGTGGAGGTTGCAGTGAGACAAGACTGTGCCACTGCACTCCAGGCTGGGTGACAGAGTGAGACTTTGTCTCAAAAAAAAAAAAAAATTCAGGAAAAGGCTAGACTCAGTGGCTCACACCTATAATCCCAGTGTTTTCAGAGGTCTAGGCAGGAGAATCCCTTGAGGTCAGGAATTTAAGACCAGCCTGGGCTGGTCTTAACAAAAAAATTAGCTGGCCATGGTGGTGCACCCCTGTAGTCCCAGCTACTTGAGAGGTTGAGGCAGGAGAATCACTTGAGCCCAGGAGGCGGAGGCTGTAGTGAGCCACCATCATGCCACTGCACTCCAGCCTGGGCAACAGAGCAAGACTGCATCTCAAAATAATAATAAATGTATACACTCTATTTCTCTATTTTTCTCCATTAAATGTTTATTTATTTTATTTATTTTTTTTTTTTTTGAGACAGAGTCTCGCTCTGTCGCCCAGGCTGGAGTGCGGTGGCACGATCTTGGCTCACTACAAGCTCTGCCTCCCGGTTTCATGCCATTCTCCTGCCTCAGCCTCCCGAGTAGCTGGGACTACAGGCGCCTGCCGCTGCACCTGGCTCATTTTTTTTGTATTTTTGGTAGAGACGGGGTTTCACCGTGTTAGCCAGGATGGTCTTGATCTCCTGACCTCGTGATCCGCCCGCCTCAGCCTCCCAAAGTGCTAGGATTACAGGCATGAGCCACCGCGCCCAGCCTGAAGTGTTTTAAAATGTACATTTCTTTGACCTGTTATTTGTACTTAGAATAACTTATCCTAAGGAAAGATGTGTGTGGAGAGATTTACCAATAGGCATGTTTATGAAGGCAAAGTTTATAATAGAAGAAAACCAGAAACAAACTACAGTAAAGGTTCCACAATAAGAGTCATAGAAAATAAAATGGCACATCCATACATGGGTGTAAAGGTGTTTCATGTTTACACCGGTGTTCCAATACTTCAAGATTCAAGTTGCTGCCATTTTAAAGTCATGCTCAAGGGTTCTCAATATCTACATTACCAGCAGTCCAAAGATTAAGCAAAATGAAAAACAGTCTTTAATCTTAAAAGGCCTGTAATCCCAGCTACTTGGGAGGCCAAGGCAAGAGAATCTCTTGAACCCAGGAGGTGGAGGTTGCAGTGAGCTGAGATCACGCCACTGCACTCCAGCCTGGGTGACAAGAGCGAAACTCCATCTCAAAAAAAAAAAAAAAAGGAAGGCAACGTTTCTACACAAGGGATATACCAGTCCCATTCGAGATAATCTGGGAACTCTAGTCAATGAGCAAGATGAATAAAAGGCTAAGAATGATCACCTTTGCAAATGAAAGAGTAACAGGAAGCTGGGATATGATTTTACTAGAAACTGTAAAAATAATTGGCAACTTTTACAAATGGAAACCTCCAATTCCAAATGCTTAATACCATATTTATAATATTTTTACCTTTATATTTATTAAAGTCCTACCTGCACATCATTTACATTTTCTCAATTTTCTGAAGTAGTCTTTAAACACACACACACACACACACACACACACACACACACACACACACACACACAATGTGTTTTCCCATAATCTAGGACAAATTCATTTTATCCAAGAACTTGGGACTTGATCATGATTCTCTTTAGAGGATAGTCAAGTAGTCAAGTCCTGACAGTCTATACTGTGGAGCCAGGAGATGCCTCTCATTAAGCAGGGGAAGACATCGGGGCCAGGAGAGTATGACCTACTCACAGGACCTCGCGAGTTCGTGCCCGTATAAGGACACGCCGCCCTGTTCACCAATTTGCCCTGCCTCCTCCTGGGCGAGCGCTTCTTAGCAAAAGCCCCAGAGCGTCGGTGACGTTCCCGGAGCCGGGCGGGGTATTCGAGAGGGGACCCACCCCTTCCCGCTGGCGACGCCCCCGGTCGGGGTTGGCGCGGTTTCCATGGGGACTCACTCTGCGTTAAGGTTTCTCTCCCGTCATTCCTGTCAGCCCATGATATGATGATACCTCCTAAACACTGAGTGTGAGGAGCCGATGCTGGTGAGCTGGAACTGGGTCCCAGGGAGGCGGCCAGGAAAACGAGAGGCAGAATACCACATTAAAGGAGCGCAAGTCAAATACCCGGGCGCCAAAAACTGGAAGGATTTACGTTTGGACTTCAATGCTTAGGGAAGTGGGTGGGAGGTGAGTAGGGCAGAGAGGGCAGAGCCAGGAACAGGGAGAAAACCACGGAACTAGGTGGGACTCAGTAGAAGCTGAACTGGTAAACCACGGAACTGGGTGGGACTCGGTAGAAGCTGAACTGAACTTCAATATTCAGGGATGAATCAGGCGCTCTGGATAAGTGGCAACCCTCTTTACTCAACCCAGGCACTGGAGGTATGTGAAGAGAGGTCTGGGCTCTCCTGTCAGGAGCACTGTCAGGGAGACAAGGCCATGCCGTGTGGGGGAACTAGTGGCTCTATTTCTCAATACTTTTGTTTTACTCAAACTATCCATACATTCAGTTTAAGGGGGCAAGTATTTCAACACATTTGCCGCTAAAAAGAAACCCATGTTGTTTACTACCAAGAAACGGTCTCAAGTGTTCCCCATTTACACCTTCCAGAGTAGTCTTTTTAATGCTGGAGCTCACTCTTGTTTTTGACCTCCTTATCTCTCTTGACCTGCCAATAGTGATGCTGTGGGCTTTCAGGATCAAATGATATCTACCGATTCCCACTAAGGAAGAGGTGAGACTAGCCCTCTCACAACGATCACAAGAAATGCTGCAAGGACCACTTTCATTCGTACTCCCAGACCCCATCGTTCCAAAACAATTTGTATCAGTTTTGGTTAGGTCAATATTCAGAGTTGACCTTAGTGTGACTGTAGAGTTTCTATTCAGAGTAGAGCTGAATTCTACCCTGAGTTCTCATTGTATAGCTAAATGATGATCATATTACAGGAAAAGGGGTAAGTAAACTTTTTCTGTAAATGGCCAGATAGTACGTGAGCCTTGTTACAAGTACTCAGCTCTGCTGTTGCACTGGGAGAGCAGCCATAGTAGTAGTATCTCAATAAAACTTTATGGACACTGAAATCCAAATTTTGAATAACTTTCTTGTGTCACAAAATGTTACTATTCTTTTGATTTTTTTCAACCATTAAAAAATGTAAAAACTATCCTTAGCTCAGGGAAGTAAAAAAAACGACCATAGTTGGACTAATCACAGTTTGTCAACATCTGGCATAAACTATTAGCAGGTTGTTGCCTAAAATCTCTTTATCTCATCAAATTACTGTGAAGAGTTGTAGGCAAATAGGTATATTTTATTATGTAGAGGTGATTATATTCAAAGATAAGTTATTTTGAACTTAAAATCTAGTATTTTAAGACCAAACTATTCAAACACAGCTAGAATTCACTAAGGAAAAGTTACAGTGAACATTGAAGAAAAAAATTAACACTTTAGTTTTTTTTGTTTGTTTAACACTACTCTTAATAGTTACTGAAAATTTTGGTATAACCAACCAACACACACACAAACACACACACATATGACCCCCTCACACCACCCCGATTTATGTTAATAAGACATGGCAGGGGGAGGGATAGCATTAGGAGAAATAACTAATGTAAATGATGAGTTCATGTGTGCAGCAAACCAACATGGCACATGTATACCTGTGTAACAAACCTGCACGTTGTGCACGGGTACCTAGAACTTAAAGTAAAATAAAAAAAAATTTTAAAAGACATGGCATAAGAGGATCACTTGAGCACAGGAGGTCTTGCTCAATCACCCAGGCTGGATTGCAGTGGCTCGAACATGGCTCACTGCAGCCTGGACCTCCTGGGCTCAAGCAATCCTCCCACCTCAGCCCCCTACATAGCTGGGACTACAGACACACACCATCACACCTAATTTTTTTTTTTTTTTTGGTAGAGAAAGGGTTTCACTATGTTGCCCAGGCTGGTGTTGAACTCCAGGGCTCAAGCGATCCGCCAGCCTCAGCTTCTCAAACTGTTGGGATTATAGGTGTGAGCCACCCCACTGGGACCAAAGAGACTTTCACACAAATTGTTGCTATGGTCTGAATGTTTTATGTTCCCCAAAATTCATATGTTGACACCCTAACCCCTATGGTAGATGGTATTAGGAGGTGAGCCTTTGGGAGGTGATTAGGTTCGTGAGGGTAAAGCCCTCATGAATGGGATTCATACCCTTATAAAACAGGCTCCAGAGAGGTGTCTTGCCCTTTCTACCATGTTGGAACACAGCTAGAAGGCGCCGTCCATAAGCCAGAAAGAAGACCCTCACCAGACACTGAATATCCCTTGATCTTGGATTTCCCAGCATTCAGAACAGTGATAAATAAATTTCTGTTGGTTATATGATACTCAATTTATGTTACTCTGTGATAGCAGCCTGAACAGACAAAGACAGTTGGTTCCTTGGGAAACGGGATGCCTAGGAAAAGATTATATAGTTGAACCTTGAACAACAGGTTTGAACTGCATGGGTCCACTTATATGCAGATTTTTTTCAACCAAATGAAGATCAAAAATACAATATTCAGGCCAGGCGTGGTGGCTCACACCTGTAATCCAGCACTTTGGGAGGCCGAGGCAGGCGGATCACCTGAGGTCAGGAGTTTGAGACCAGCCTGGCCAACATGGTAAAACCCCGTCTCTACTAAAAATACAAAAAGTAGGCAGGTGTGGTCGCACATGTGTGTAATCCCAGCTGCTCAGGAGGCTGAGGCAGGAGAATCGCTTGAACCTGGGAGGCAGAGGTTGCAGTGAGCCGAGATTGGGCCACTGCACTCCAGCCCAGGCGACAGAGCCAGACTCCGTCTCAAAAAAATAAAAAAATAATAAAAATAAAATACAAAAATTAGCCAGGTGTGGTGGTGCATGCCTGTAATCACAGTTACTTGGGAGGCTGAGGCATGTGAATCACTTGAACCTGAGAGGCAGAGGCTGCAGTGAGCTGAGATTGTGTCACTGCACTCCAGCCTGGGTGATGGGGTGAGACTTTGTCTCAAATAATAATAATAAGTTAATTAAATAAAATAAAATACACTATTCAGGGGAAACCTGAGTATAGAGAGGGCTGACTTTTTGTACATGCGGGTTTTGCAGGGCTGACTGTGAGACGTGAGTATGCACGGGTTTTTATATACTCTGGGGGTCCTGGACCCAATCCCTGGCATTTACCAAGGGACAACTGTATATTTAAGTGACATGGCATAAAATAAGTTATAATATCTCTGCTTTGTTACTATAGGTTCTGGTGCAAAGTAGTTCCTGGGACTAAGCTGTCACTCAACTTATGCCACTCAACTTAGTTTTGCTGCCTTTTTATTAATGTGACAAAAAGGTGTGTGTGTGTGTGTTTATTTATGACAGGAACATGACCATTTAAATAAATTTACCTAATTGTGTCTTCATTTAAACTGTCTGAAACTAATGAATGAATGTCATGTTCCTTTTCTCTTCTTTCCTCCTCACATTGAGGCTTATCTTTCTATTTCCAATAATTTCCCCTTCTCCCCTTCTTCCCTTCACTCTTTTCTAGTCATTTCCCTTCTTACTTTGTCTCCTGCCTGGAAGGATGTTAGACTCTTCTATAATAACTCCATTTGCCCTTCCATAGAGATCACAAGTCCTTGCTTTCTTCACTCACTTCTTTTGTTCTTTTCTCCTCTTCCAAAATTACAATAAGATGAGAACAATTAACTATGTTCTCATCTTTCTCATTCTTGACCCTCAGTTGTGGCATTAATGAAATGATAGGGCAGTTCTGGAAATTTTAGGTAAAGGTAGCACATCCATTTAAATCTTACTCAGTCTTTTCTAGGTCTCCCTGTTTCTTTATCCATATGATTAACCCCACCTAGCCAGATCCTTTGGGTCACTGTCTTTCATTACTTTATTCTTAGAGTTATTTTTCTACCACCCTTCCTTCGTCATTATCTCTCCGCTAGGAATACTCCCTTAGTTTCAGGTTGAAACCAGGCTCTTCAGGCAGTGTGGCTAAGAACTTCAGACTAACCTGGATTGAAACCAGTTCTGAAACTTACTGTGTGACCAGGCAAATCTTTAACTCCTATGACTCACTATTATCTTACCTCTAAAATGGCAACTATAGTGGTCTCTCTTCCACAATGTTGTTTTAAGGGGTAAATGAGATAATGCTTTTGGGGCTAATGATTTTCTTATGGGATGACTGCCTAAGCCCTTTCCATCTCCATCAGCTTATTATCTGCTTAGATCTGCCATTCCCTCCATCTCTCAAATCCTCTGTACCTTTGTCCTCTGTCTTCCTCCTCCTGAGTTCCTAAACTTCCTTCTGTTGTGAGACCACTAGTTCCCACATGCAGACCTTCATGTTTTGTTTAGGCCATCAATTATTTATCTCCTTGGAAGACGTTAACACAGACTAGCTCAAGTATAATTCAATTACATTAAAATACCTCTGACCCAACACAATACTACTGCATCATAAGCATCTCTCAGGAACGAGTTTATTTTATCTAAATAAAAGTAAAAAGCATGTTAGAATAGGCATGTTGGTAGCATCTTGGATCACTGGAGCATACCCAGCAAGAGCTAAAGAGGAAATAACACAAAGGAGTACTGTTCAGTGATGCTTTACACAAAGCAGTCATAACAGATCTGGAGAACTGTATTTCATCCTTGCCTTGGCTTCAGCCAACCAGATAGCAGTTTTACTATCCCTGTCACTACTAGCTTTAATCAATAAATCAACTATTTATAGCAACACCATACATTTGTATGGCATTTGATAATTGAAAAAGTAATTTCATATACATTTTCTTGTGTAATTCTTATAACCTCCTTATCAGATAAATTTTATCATCACAGTTACAGATGAGAAAATTGAGGTTCAGGGATTGTGACTTGACTTTGTAAGGAAATAGTGAAATCAGCATTCAAATCCAACCTCTCGAGTGTAGACCAAACTCAAGAAGATAAGATTTGTCTTTGGCTTTTGTTTGTTTGTTTTTTGTTTTTTTGTTTTTTAGATGGAGTCTCACTCTGTCGCCAGGCTGGAGTACAGTGGCGCTATCTCGGCTCGCTGCAACCTCCACCTCCCGGGTTCAAGCAATTCTTCTGCCTCAGCCTTCCAAGTAGCTGGGACTACAGGCGCGTGCCACCACACCCAGCTAATTTTTTTTGTATTTTTAGTAGAGACGGGGTTTCACCATGTTAGCCAGGATAGTCTCGATTTCCTGACTTCGTGATCCACCCACCTCAGCCTCCCAAAGTGCTGAGATTACAGTTGTGAGCCACCACGCTCAGCATGCCTGGCTAATTTTTCACCATGTTGGCCAGGATGGTCTCAGTCTCTTGACCTCGTGATCCACCCACCTTGGCCTCGCAAAGTGCTGGCTCCCAAAGTGCTGGGATTACAGGCGTGAGCCACCATGCCCGGCCTGTCTTTGGCTCTTTTAGCTGACTTTTTTTTTTAGCCTTTTGCTTTCTCACCATTCCCATATGTAATGGAAACTGTAATGTGCCACCCAGATCCTCCTTCAGGAATGAAGGACTTACTCCCCCAGCTGCTTAGAGTGCTGGCAGTGAGAAGCCATCAGAGACTGCCTCTGCTGAAGAGGGCTGGCTTGCTCAAGTTGACCCCTTTTGCCAGGGCTGCCCACATCTAATGACTGATCAACATTAAGAATATGAAAACATTCCCTCCTACTCCCAACTAGGGCCAACTCTGAAAAAAGGTTATTCCAGCTTCAGGATTCCCCAGAGAGTTGTTCAGATTGCATGGCAGCTCATTTTCTCCCTCAGCCCAATCATGTTTCCTTCCTTTTCCTTCCCTTCCATGGTTGTTGATCCCAAGAATACTCCCCAATATACCCCCTGCAAGCTAATCTGTTTCAGTTTCAGCTTCTTGTGAAACCTAACCTTCAACCTATGATATGCACAATTCCAAAGAACTTGGATTTCGGGATCTCTTAAACTAATACCTACTTAAAGGTAATCTGATAAGAGGTTATCATCCCAAACATACCTGCATATTAATAAGGTCTTGGGTTGACAATGCCAGGACCCCTAGGAAAGAGCCTCTAATGATGAAATAAATGTGACAAGTGCTAGCCTCTAATCTGGCTTTGGAAATTTTTGTGGGACCAATGCACATTTTGTGAGTTGATTTTTAAGATGCTATTTTAACTCTGGGAGGCCAAGTGGGAGGGTAACTTGAGGCTAGAGTGGACAACATAGTGAGACTCTGCTCCATTAAAAAAAAAATTAATGAGCTGGGTGTGATGCTGTGCCTGTGGTCCCAGCTACTTGGGAGGCTGAGTGGGGAGGTTCATTTGAGCCCAGGAGTAAAAAGCTGCAGTGAGCTATGATTGTGCCACTGCACTCCAGCCTGGATGACATGGCAACCCGTTTCAAAAAAAAAAATAAGATTTTATACCAGACAGGAGGAATACAGGTAGACACTACTGTCATCTCGCACAAGAAGAAAGATGGGAGAAGGGCATGTGAATGGAATCCCCCAGGGCTTCTCAATTTTGATTGCTCAGTAGGTTCACTTGGGAGAGGTCTAAAAAGACAAAAACTAGCCTTTTGGCTCTCTGACCAGCACCATGGCGGTTGGCAAGAACAAGAGCCTTACGAAAGGCGGCAAAAAGGGAGCCAAGAAGAAAGTGGTTGATCCGTTTTCTAAGAAAAATTGGTATGATACGAAAGCACCTGCTATGTTCAATATATGAAATATTGGAAAGATGCTGGTCACCAGGACCCAAGGAACCAAAATTGCATCTGATGATCTCAAGGGTCATGTGTTTGAAGTGAGTCTTGCTGATTTGCAGAATGATGAAGTTGCATTTAGAAAATTCAAGCTGATTACTGAAGATGTTCAGGGTAAAAACTGCCTGACTAACTTCCATGGCATGGATCTTACCCGTGACAAAACGTGTTCCATGGTCAAAAAATGGCAGACAATGATTGAAGCTCATGTTGATGTCAAGACTACCGATGGTTACTTGCTTCATCTGTTCTGTGTTGGTTTTAATAAAAAACGCAACAATCAGATATGGAAGACCTCTTATGCTCAGCACCAACAGGTCCGCCAAATCCGGAAGAAGATGATGGAAATCACGACCCGAGAGGTGCAGACTAATGACTTGAAAGAAGTGGTCAATAAATTGATTCCAGACAGCATTGGAAAAGACATAGAAAAGGCTTGCCAATCTATTTATCCTCTCCGTGATGTCTTCGTTAGAAAAGTAAAAATGCTGAAGAAGCCCAAGTTTGAATTGGGAAGGCTCATGGAGCTTCATGGTGAAGGCAGTAGTTCTGGAAAAGCCACTGGGGATGAGACAGGTGCTAAAGTTGGACGAGCTGATGGATATGAACCACCAGTCCAAGAATCTGTTTAAAGTTCAGACTTCAAATAGTGGCAAATAAAAAGTGCTATTTGTGAAAAAAAAAAAAAAAAAAAAAAAAAGACAAAAACTAATACTCAGGTCCTTCCCCTTTCTATTTTCTCTCTTTTTTCTTTTTCTTTTCTTTCTTTCTTTCTTTTTTTTTGAGACAACATCTTCCTCTGTCACCCAGGCTGGAGGGCAATGGCGTGATCTCGGCTCACAGCAAACGCCACCTCCTGGGTTCAAGCAATTCTCCCACCTCACCCTCCCGAGTAGCTGGGATTGCAGGCACCAGCAATCATACCCAGCTAATTTTTGTATTTTTGTAGAGATGGGATTTCACCATGTTAGCCAGGCTAGTCTTGAACTCCTGACCACAGGCGATCTCCTACCTCAGCCTCCCAAAGTGCTGGGATTACAGGTGTCAGGCACCATGCCCAACCAGGTCCTACCCCTTTCTTTTTTCTTTCTTTTTTCTTTCTTTTTTTTTTTGAGACGGAGTCTCGCTCTGTCGCCCAGGCTGGAGTGCAGTGGTGCAATCTCGGCTTACTACAAGCTCCGCCTCCCGGGTTCACGCCATTCTCCTGCCTCAGCTTCCCGAGTAGCTGGGACTACAGGTCCCCTCCACCGCACTCGGCTAATTTTTTGTATTTTTAGTAGTTTTTTAGTTTCACCATGTTAGCCAGGATGGTCTCGATCTCCTGACTTCGTGATCCACCCGCCTGGGCCTCCCAAAGTGCTGGGATTACAGGCATGAGCCTGGCCACCCCTTTCTAATTAAATCAGATTCATTAGAATGCGGCCTGGCATTGGAATTT
Source organism: Homo sapiens (assembly GCF_000001405.40). Taxonomy (NCBI): domain Eukaryota; kingdom Metazoa; phylum Chordata; class Mammalia; order Primates; family Hominidae; genus Homo; species Homo sapiens. The sequence goes on along the minus strand of NC_000015.10, from coordinate 43,114,892 downwards.
TTTAAAAGATCCCAGGTAATCCTAATGTATAGCAAAAAATTGAAAGCCTCCAGCATATTCCATAAATAAGGATTTTTAAGGAAAACTGTTCTAAGCATGGTTGTCCCAACTAACTGTGTTATCCTGGGGTGTCAGGAAAGCTAACTAATGTATATTAGTTGTTGATAATGTGTCAAACAGTAAAATGGAACCTACAGAAGACCTTATAGCTTGTTTACTCACAAAGCTACTGTAAACTGAAGGCAAATGAAAAAAGAAGTACATCTTTGCGTATGAATCAAAGAAATTCATAATACTGGTGGCGCATGCCTGTAATCCCAGTTACTCAGGAGGCTGAGGCAGGAGAATCACTTGAATCCCAGCTACTCGGGAGGAGGAGGTTGCAGTGAGCCGAGATCACGCCACCGCACTCCAGCCTGCGGGACAGAGTGAGACTCCGTCTCAAAAAAACTAACAAACAAAAAGAAAATATAAGTTAAAACTGAGAAAATGTTAAAATATTTATCAATTATTTTGAAAGAATAAACCCAATATATGTTTAACAAAAACAGTATTTTAAAATAAAAATTAACTGCTTTCCAAAATACAAAAAAATATTGAAAAGTGTGGTAATCTTTTATATTTTCGCAAATCTCTTAACGTCTGGCTTAACAGAAGGCAGCTAGGTTCTTTTTTTTTTTTTTTTTTTTTTTTTTTTTTTGAGACGGAGTCTTGCCCTGTCGCCCAGGCTGGAGTGCAGTGGCGTGATCTGTGCTCACTGCAAGCTCCGCCTCCCGGGTTCACGCCATTCTCCTGCCTCAGCCTCCAGAGTAGCTGGGACTGCAGGCGCCCGCCACCACGCCTGGCTAATTTTTTGTATTTTTAGTAGAAACGGGGTTTCACCGTGTTAGCCAGGATGGTGTCCATCTCCTGACCTCGTGATCCGCCCACCTTGGCCTCCCAAAGTGCTGGGATTACAGGCGTGAGCCACCGGGCCCGGCCTGGCAGCTAGGTTCTTATAACTGCTTTTGTATTCGATATATTGTGATATATTGTTTTGGTTGAAGTGTACGAAGAAAATCTGGCCTTACACAGATACATAACTGGAAAGGGGAAGAGCATTTTTTTTATTTATTTGTTTATTTTATTATTTATTGAGATGGAGTTTTGCTTTTGTTGCCCAGGCTGGAGTGCAGTGGCGGGATCTTGGCTCACTACAACCTCTACCTCCCGGATTCAAGAGACTCTCCTGCCTCAGCCTCCCGAGTAGCTGGGACTACAGGCGTGCACTAACTGGGACTACACGCGTGCGCCACCACGCCCGGCTAATTTTTGTATTTTTAATAAAGACGGGGTTTCACCATGTTGGCCAGACTGGTCTTGAACTCCTGACCTCGTGATCCACCCACCTCGGCCTCCCAAAGTGCTGGGATTACAGGCGTGAGCCACCGCGCCTACCCTGTTTTTTTTTTGTTTTTGTTTTTCGTTTTGTTTTGTTTTTTTGAGACTGAGTCTCGCTCTGTCGCCCAGGCTGGAGTGCGATCTCGGCTCACTGCAACCTCCGCCTCCCGGATTCAAGCGATTCTCCTGCCTCAGCCTTCCGAGTAGCTGGGACTACAGACGCGTGCCACCACGCCCGGCTAATTTTTTTTTTTTTGAGACAGAGTCTCGCTCTGTCCCCCAGGCTGGAGTGCAGTGGCGCCATCTCGGCTCACTGCAAGCTCCGCCTCCCAGGTTCATGCCATTCTCCTGCCTCAGCCTCCGAGTAGCTGGGACTACAGGCACCCGCCACCACGCCACGCTAATTTTTTGTATTTTTAGTAGAGACGGGGTTTCACTGTGTTAGCCAGGATAGTCTCAATCTCCTGACTTCGTGATCCACCTACCTCAGCCTCCCAAAGTGCTGAGATTACAGTCGTGAGCCACCGCGCGGCTCGGCATACCTGGCTAATTTTTTGTATTTTTAGTAGATATGGGGTTTCACCATGTTGGTCAGGCTGGTCTTGAACTACTGACCTCGTGATCCACCCGCCTCGGCCTCCCAAAGTGCTGGGATTACAGGCATGAGCCACTGCGCCTGGCCAATAAATAGTAGTTTCTTAAGACTCAATTCAGTGTGGAATCTGAAACCATATCAATGAAATTCTTGTACTCCACAGCATTCAATTCCATTGTTCTATTTAGCATTTTGGATGGTTCTTTTACCCACCTTTTTTTTTTTTTTAGATGGAGTCTAACGCCCAGCTAATTTTTGTACTTTTGTTTTTAGTAGAGACGGGGTTTCACCATCTTGGCCAGGTTGGTCTCGAACTCGACCTCGTGATCCACCCGCCTCTGCCTCCCAAAGTGCTGGTGTGAGCCACCGCGCCCAACCCATGCTGGATTTTTAACACCTCATTTGTCATCTGGAAAATACTGATTGAGTTATACCAATCTTCTACATGTTGACACGTCATTATAATTTATCAAAAAATCACATTAATATCACCACTGATCCTGAGGACTTTGTCAAGCTCACAGTGGCAGATATGACTTTTCCACAATTCTAATTTTTCATTTGAAAGCTCAAATTTGTCATAGACAACAAAAACTGACAGTTGTTTTCCTTGAAGAAAAAGTCTTGTTCATATTTGAGAAAATGCCTGCCAAATAGTCAAGTCTGAATAATCATAGTTACAGTTGTCAGTTGTTCTTTTAAGTAAAAAGGGTGTTCTGTGATTAAAAAAGTGGCTGGTTGAGCTAGCAACTCAATGCAGAAGTGCTTCTTCTCAAGTCAGTCATCATACTTTGTACATGGCAGAAAAACTTTGTGCGCTTCCTATTTCATCATACAGAATATTTAAAAGGCTCATGGGTTGAGATTTAATAAAATTAATGTTTACTTCATCAAGGGTATTCTTAACGGAAAGACTTTTCTCCCCCCTCCCTTTTTTTTTTTTTTTTTTTTAACTGCAAGTGCATGGTGGTGAAGAAACTACTACTTCACTTTGATGACTAGTCCAGTTTGGTGTCGCTGCCTTGATTTTGTGCTAAGAGGCCAGTAGTTTCAGCTACCAAGCTTTTGCACTCATCAGTGCAAATGCCAACATGGTGTTGTTGTTGTTTTTTTAAATAAAAGGCAAATAACTCTTTGTTTTTTGTTTTGTTGTTGTTGTTTTTTGTTTGTTTTTCTTGAACCATGGCCTGGCTCTGTCACCCAGGTTGGAGTGCAATGGCCTGATCTTGGCTCACTGCAACCTCCACCTCCTGGGCTCAAGCCATCCTCCCACCTCAGCCTCCCAACTAGCTGGGACTACCGGCCAAGGCCACCACACCCAGCTAATTACTTTTTGTGTTACTATAAAAACAGTTTTCCCCTCACAGACTTCCTGAGTCTCAAGAACTCTCATTGCGTCTGTGGACATTTTTTATGGCTGCAGAGTATTATATTATATGGGAAAACAGTTTATTTAGCCAGTGTCCTTTATTGTTGGGCATCTGAGTTGTTCTTTACTTTTCTACGTTACCAATAATTATGTAGTTAAGATTTGGCTGACACCCTGAATTATTTTTCCAGTATAAAGTGTTAAAAATGGAATCACTGGTCAAATAGTATGCCTTTTTTTTTTTTTTTTTTTTTTTTGAGATGCAGTTTCGCTCTGTCACCCAGGCTGGAGTGCAGTGGCGCGATCTTGGCTCACTGCAACCTCCACCTCCCGGGTTCCAGCAATTCTCTGCCTCAGCCTCCCAAGTAGCTGGGATTACAGGCACCCACCACCATGCCCAGCTAATGTTTTGTATTTTTAGTAGAGACGGGTTTTCACCAACTTGGCCAGGCTGATCTTGAACTCCTGACTTCGTGATCCACCCGCCCTGGCCTCCCAAAGTGCTGGGATTACAGGCGTGAGCCACCGTGCCTGGTCCAAATAGTATACATTTTTTAAAAAAGGCTTCTGAATATTGCCACACCACCTTCCAAGAGGTTTACCAATTTACATTTGCATTTTACTTAATAATATGGTTGTCCTTCCAGCTTCTTACCAACACTGATTATCTTCCAAAAAAAAAAAAAAAACCTTGCCAAATTTACGGACAATAAATCATATCCAATTTTTACTTATTTTGCATTTATTTGCTTACTAGTTAGGTCTTTTTCACAAATTAATAAAAATTAGTAAGTTGCACATTTATGTCTTTCATCCATTTTTCTTTTGGAATAGTCGTCTTTAGGATTTTTTTTTTTGTTTTTTTTGAGACAGGATCTCACTCTGTTGCTGAGGCTGGAGTGCAGTGGCCTGATCTTGGCTCACTGCAACCTCTGCCTTCTGGGCACCAGTTATCCTCCCATCTCAGCCTCCTGAGTAGCTGGGACTATAGGCACATGCCACCACGCCCAGCTAATTTTTGTATTTTTTGCAGAGACAGGGTTTTGCCATGTTGCCCAGGCTGGTCTGGAACTCTTGGGCTCAAGTGATTCACCCTCCTCGGCCTCCCAAAGTATTGGGATTACAAGCATGTGCCATGGTGCCTGGCCACTTTGGGATTTTATCCTTTGATCTGCCATGTCTACTGCAGACATTTTTCCCTAGTTTTTGTTTACCTTTTAAATTTTATGTCATTTATTTTTATGTTTTTAATTTTAATAAAATTACATATAAGTATTTTTATGTTTATATTTTTTGCCTTTAGCAACATGCTTAAAAAAGACTTCTCCAATGCAATATTAAAAAAATATTTACTTTGGGCAGGGCTCAGTGGCTCATGCCTGTAATTCTAGCACTTTGGGAGGCAAAGGTGGGTGGATCACTTGAGCCCAAGAGTTCGAGATCAGCTTGGGCAACATGGAGAAACCCTGTCTCTACAAAAAAATACAAAAATTAGCCAGGCATGGTGGTGCATGCCAGTGGTCTCAGCTGCTTGGGAGGCTGAGGTGGGAGGATCGCTTGAGTCCTGGAGGTAGAGTTGAAGTGAGCCAAGACCATGCCACTGCACTCCAGCCTGAGTAACAAAGCAAGACCCTGTCTCCAAAAAAATAATAATAATTTTTACTTATTTACTCTTTTTAGCAGTTAACTCTTTAATCTGTTAATAATTATTCTGAGGGCCGGGCGCGGTGGCTCATGACTGTAATCCCAGCACTTTGGGAGGCCGAAGCAGGCGGATCACGAGGTCAGGAGATCGAGACCATCCTGGCTAACATGGTGAAACCCTGTCTCTACTAAAAATATAAAAAATTAGCCGGGCGTGGTGGCATGCACCTGTAATCCTAGCTACTCAGGAGGCTGAGGCAGGAGAATCACTTGAACCCGGGAGGCGGAGGTTGCAGTGAGCCGAGATTGCACCACTGCACTCCAGCCTGGGTGACAGAGCAACACTCCGTCTCAAAAAAAAAAAAAAAAAGAATTATTTTGGGGTATGATTTGAGGTAAGGATCTGACCATCTTTTCCCAGATGGTTACTTATTCTTTAAATGTTTCTTTTTTTTTTTTTGAGACAGAGTCTCGCACTGTCACCCAGGCTGGAGTGCAGTGGCGCGATCTCGGCTCAACACAACCTCCGCCTCCCGGATTCAAGCGATTCTCCTACCTCAGTTTCCCGAGTAGCTGGGATTACAGGCATGCACCACCATGCCCGGCTAATTTTTGTATTTTTAGTAGCGATGGGGTTTCACCATGTTGGCTAGCTTGGTTTCGAACTCCTGACCTCCAGTGATCCGCTGGCCTTGACCTCCCAAAGTGCTGGGATTACAGGCTTGAGCCACCACGCCCGGCCTCTTTAAATTTTTTTATTGTGGTAAAATATACGTAAAATTTACCATTTTAACCACTTTTAAGTATACCATTCAGTGGCATTAGATATATTCATATTGTTATGCAACCATTACCACTACACATCTCCAAAACTTTTTCATCTTTCCAAAATGAAACTCCGTATCCATTAAACTCGATTCTCTCCTCCTCTCAGACCCTGGAAACCACCATTCTACTTTCTGTGTCTATGAATTTGACTACTCTAGGTATGTATTATAAGTCAAATTACACAGTATTTGTCTTTTTGTGACTGGCTTCTTTTATTTAGCCTAATGTCTGTAAGGTTCATCCATGCTGTGGCATGTGTCACAGTTTCCTTCCCTTTAAAGGCTGAATAATATTCCATTGCATGTATATGCCACATTTTGTTTATCCACTCAGCTGTTGATGGACACTTGGGTTCCTGCCACCATTTGACTATACTGAATAATGCTTCAATGAACACAGGTATACAAACATCTGTTCAAGACCCTGCTTTCACTTCTTTTGGATATATACCCAGAAGTGGAATTGCTGGATCACATGGGAATTCTATGTCTAATTTTGTTTTTTGAGGAACTGCTACATAACCATCTGTTTTTGCACCACTTAATAAACAGTCCGGCTGGGCGTGGTGGCTCACACCTATAATCCCAGCACTTTGGGAGGCCGAGGCGGGCGGATTACCTGAGGTCGGGAGTTTGAGACCAGCCTGACCAACATGGAGAGACATCGTGTCTACTAAAAATACAAAATTAGCCAGGCATTGTGGTGCATGCCTGTAATCCCAGCTACTTGGGAGGCTGAAGCAGGGGAATTGCTTGAACCCGGGAGGCGGAGGTTGTGGTGAGCTGAGATCACGCCACTGCACTCCAGCCTGGGTAACAAGAGCGAAACTCCATCTGAAAAAATAAATAAATAAGCAGTTCATAATTTCCTTCTCACTTGAAATGCTGTTATCTTTCATGTGTAAAATACTTGAATTTGGTATAAAGTAATAAAGTGAAATGGATAAGAATAGGGCCTTGTGAGTCATTTGAACTGGATTTTATTTATTATTATTTTTTGGTAGAGGTGGGAGTCTTGCTATGTTGCCCATCTCAAACTCCTGGGCTCAAGTAATCCTCCCGCCTTGGCCTCCCAAAGTGCTAACATTACAGGGGTGAGCCATTGTGCTGGCTGAATATCTGCTGTGTCACTTGGAAGCTGCATGTCCCTAACCAAATTATGTAACTTCTCTAAACTTCAGTTTTCTCAGTTTCTCATGACAGTAAAATAGAAGTAGTAACATCTACCTAAAGGATTGTTATTAATATATAGCTAGTGTTATTAATATACTAGTGCTTTGATTACATTAAGATGTTGATAAGTGGCTATTATTTCTTTTTATTTTCTGTTTTTTCTTTTTCTTTTTTTTTTTTTTTGAGACAGAGTTTTGCTCTTGTAGCCCAGGCTGGAGTGCCAGTGGCATGATCTTGGCTCACTGCAAACTCTACCTCCTGGGTTCAAGCAATTTTCCTGCCTCAGCCTCCTGAGTAGCTGGGATTACAGGCACCTGCCACCACACCCAGCTAATTTTTGTATCTTTAATAGACATGGGGTTTCACTGTGTTGTCCAGGCTGGTCTCGAACTCCTGACCTCAGGTGATCCACTCACCTTGGCCTCCCAAAGTGCTGGGATTACAGGCGTGAGCCACTGCCCCGACCTATTTCTGAACGTTCTAGTCTATTTCATTTATCTAGGAATGAAAGAAGAAAAAGAGAAGAGCGTGGGGTAGCATAAGAGAACTACAGAAGTAAAAGCATAGAGACAGGAAGGGACAAGGTAACTTTTAGGGCAATTTTTATCAAAATGTGGGACAATACCTATTGTGGGTTATAGTATCACTTTAATAACTACAACCAGTATTTTGGCTTAAATGCATAAACATATTGCAATTGAATAGAAAATATGACATATTGGAAGTATTGTTTCAGAAAATTTAAGTTTCAGTATATATATACATATTCTATATATACCCATTTAATTTTGTATAGGTGTACCGTGATAAGATGTAAAATGTATTTATTGTGGTTGTTGGGCAAAAAAGGCTGGAAAAACAGTATTTTAGCACCCAGGAAGTAGTTCATTTGAGCAGAAACATTGTTTAGGCAGGAAAGTTCTATAAATCAAGGTGGACCACAGCATTTGGAAAGCCTCCTCTACTTTTCACATTGTTTGGAGCTTTATTTTCTTCCCTTTGTTAAAAATATACTTTAAAATTATTTGTTTTGTAAAAAATTTAAAATACAAATGAAGGTAAAGTAGCTCTTGACCACCTTCTTCCTCCAATCCGAATCCTGGCCCTCAGAGTTACTACTTTGCCCTTTCCCCTTTCAGACTTACTCCTTCACATTTAAATGCCTATGTGTGCAAATATATAGTTTGCAGCAACTTGGCTTTTTTTTCTCTCAATTTATCTTGATCTTTTCACGCAGATTTATCTTGCTCAAGAGCTGCACAGTATTTCAAAATGCGAATGTACCATAGTATATCTTGTCTTTCCTCTATCGATGAATGACTAGGTTTCCAATTTTTTGTTATTTCCCCCCGTGTCCCCCAATAAAGCTGGATCCCGAGCTTTTTTTGTACACATGTGCAAGTGCCCACGGGGTAGAATCCTAAAAATAGAAGATGTGTGAGTACTTTCTTTTTCATTTTGTAGGCTCTGGGGAACTACTGCAGGGAGGTTGGGATACAAAACATCCCCAGGCCAACAACCGGCCAGCTAGGACAGGTTCTTGCTTTAGCCCCCGACAAGTTTTCTTCCTTTCATAATGGACGCTGACTTTGTTTTTTTTACCTCGTAGATGCAACAGTTCCCAGCACCAAACCCAGATATACAACCATTCAGCTACCAAGAGCTACGCCTGATAAATTAGAGGGGAAAAAAAAAATCTCCAGTCCCTTCACGTCGTGACGCTTGCTTCCGGGAAGCGGGCCGGAAGCCACTCCTCGAGTCTGCGTCAAACCCGACTTCAGGGGCCGTCGTAAAAGTGTCGTCCCTGTCTCTCCGACCGGCCACAGGTTTCCGCTTGCCTCTGGCCGGGGGTCGGCAACTGCAGGCGTCAGTTTCCCTCAAGATGGCGGACGAGGAGGCTGGAGGTACTGAGAGGATGGAAATCAGCGCGGAGTTACCCCAGACCCCTCAGCGTCTGGCATCTGTAAGTCCCTATAGGCAAGTCTCTTTTGTCCTCCCCCCGGTCCCTCCCTACTGCGCTTAGGAGGATGTGGGGCTTCACCCCTTATGGCGGCTCTGGGGAGGGGGAGTTATCTGGATTGATCTGGAAGGAAGCCACCGAATAAAAAGTTAGTCGCAACCCACATTTCTGCCAGCCAAGTCTACGGAATATAATGACTTTGTTATGTATTATTCTTGATGATCTCAAGTGTGCATGTCTCTATTCTGAAGTAGAAAGAACCAGTGATGTTATTAGACGGTTTGATGTGGGGGCCGAGGCGGGGTTGGAGCAAGAGCCATTTTCGTATAGAAGCAGTACTAACCCTTTACTCTTGATGATGGGAACGCAGCACCTGGTATTTTATTGCATAGCCTGCTGGCCGGGACCTGATATTGGTAGGTAGTGCTGCTACTGTCAAGTCATGTCTAGATGTGAGGTGTAGTAATTGTCCTTGCGTATAGCATCTTGGGAACCCCAGGCCTAACCCTCAGTGGAGAAACCCATCATCTGTCGCTACTTTTTAAAGGTGAAGAAAGGACTCCCAAACATTTCAAGCCAGAGCAATACCATTAATTGATGTCGGAATCTATACTTTGCTCTTGCATTTTGAAAGAATGGGAAGGCACAGATAGTGAACAAATTTGAGTCACTAGCTACAGGGAGAAAGCTGCCGAGGAAGATAAGAGTAGGGGGCAATGTTAGGGAATGTTCTGGATGCCCAGGGCATCTAGTGTGGAGATATGTAGAAAATATTCAAATATCTGTCACCGCATGATGTTTTATTAGTTTGTCTTTCTAAATAGCAGCATTTAGAGATTTGGGATATACACATTTTTTCTGAAGTTTCTTTGGCTTGTAGTTTAATAAAAACATTATTTTATTTTATTTATTTTTTGAGGCAGAGTTTTGCTCTTGTTGCCCAGGCTGAAGTGCAGTGGTGTAATCTCGGCTCACTGCAACCTTCCGAGTTCAGGAATTGAACTGCAAATTCCCGAGTTCAGGAATTCTCCTGCCTCAGCCTCTTGAGTAGCTGGGATTACAGGTGCCTGCCACCATGCTTGCCTAATTTTTTTTATTTTTATTTTTATTAGAGACGGGGTTTCACCATGTTGGCCAGGCTGATCTCGAACTCCTGACCTCAGGTGATCCACCTGCCTCGGCATCCCAAAGTGCTGGGATTACAGATTAAAAGCATTCTTGAAGGTTTTTTGTTTTTTTTTTTAACCCTGCATACAATTGAACATTGTTTTATGCGAGAACAGAGGGAACTACAGAGGGAGCTACGGCATGAGTCAACTCCAGGGACTGAAGAGACTGTCTAGGAGGTAGGAACAAGGTAGGGAGGGAGTTGGAAAAAGGATTTGGCCACTGACTATGTCAGTGCTTGCCGTTTTCCTCCACCCCAAATAGCAGTTCAAATTCACTTCACTACTGTTCCTGAAGGAGGAAGCATCTTATTTGAGATGATAAGGAATGAGGAGGTAGGACAAATTTAAAAGCAACTGAAACATTTTAATGGTAGTTTGTGAGTTTTGCTTGTTAGAAGGAGTGGGGAAACTGCTGTGGTCAGAAGAATTGTTATAGTTTTGTATCTGAAGACTAATATTTATTTAAAGCTTTGATACATTAATTTTTTCCAGATAATACAATAAAACCCCATCATTCTGGACGTCACTAATTTGGAATTGGAGATAATGATACAGGAATTGAGCTAGAATTTATGTGGCAACTCTTTACCTCAGGAAATATTATTAGATTTTGTTGGGCAGGGCTTTGGGTTTTGCAAAGTAGTAGGTAGATTGTGTAATATAGCCTCAAGGAACTCACAGTCTGGTGACACAGGTAATATAAGGGCCCAAATAATTTTAATTCAAGGTAGAGTAATGTCAGTAAATGAAGTCCTGTGACTGTTAAGCTTTATAACCCCTTTTTTGGCTTGGATCTCTCTGTCTACTGAAGACCCTACAGATCATTCTACCTCTCTCTTTCTCTTTTTCTCTTTTAAAAGCTATTACTGTTTTTAATTTTATTCTAGCCATGGTATGACACTGGCTTCCAAGTTTACTACTTTGCTGTTAAGCAATACAAGCTCAGTTGTTCCCCCTACTCCTTATTGTTTATCTTTAGACAAAGTTAAATAGTATGGGACATTTATAGAGGTTTAAGCAATCGTACAATTTCCATTAGAGTCTAATCCCTGGTTATAGTCTCTGATTTCCTTAAACTTCCTTCTTAGTCTGCAGATCCTTTTTCATTCATATTGCTATTAGTAAGCGTGAAGGCTGTAGTATTCCTAACATTATCTCACATGCAATTCAAATAAAATAATACGTATGAATTAGTGGACATTGATAAAAGCCATTGCTTAAGAATTACCAGGGGAACTGATACTGTAGGTCTGAGGTGAGGTCCAAGAATCTGCATTTTCACAAGCATGTCCTGCTGATTCTGTAATAGTGGTGTATGGGCCACACTTTGAGTAACACTTAGCTAGGTATTTGGAAGTTATCAGTAAATTTATAGTTGAGGTTGTGGGAATGGATAACATCCTTTTTGTTTTGAGACAGGGTTTCGCTTTGTCACCCAGGTTGGAGTGCAGTGGCACAAACAACTCATTGCAGCCTCAATCTCTTGGGCTCAGATGATCTTCCCACCTCAACCTCCTGAGTAGCTGGGAATATAGGCATGTGCCACCATGCCGAGTTAATTTTTTGCATATTTTGTAGAGACAGGGTTTAATTTAATTTAATTTATTTAAGACAGAGTCCTACTCCATCACCCAGGCTGTGGTATAGTGGTGCCATCTTGGCTCACTATAACTTCCACCTCCCAGGTTCAAGCAATTCTTGTGCCTCAGCCTCCCAAGTAGCTGGAATTACAGGTGTGTTCCACCACACCTGGCTGATTTTTGTATTTTTAGTAGAGACAGGGTTTTGCCATATGGCCAGGCTGGTCTCGAACTCCTGACCTCAAGTGATCCATCTGCCTTGGCCTCCCAAAGTGGTGGGATTACAGGCGTGAGCCACTACGCCCAGCCCGGATAAGATCTTTGAGGAGGAAAATGTGTGCATATATATACACACACACAGAGGAAAAGAGAGTGAGACAGAGATGATGAGAAAGAGAGAACAGGAATGATTGAAACGGGTGGAAAATGGAAGAATGAGGTAAGAACGTGGAAACAATAGGCAAGCACGTAGGAGGTGAGAGTAGTGTGATGGCATGGGGTATTATTTTGAGAGGGTGGTTTATTGGGTCCATGATAATGAGGACTGAGAAAAATTGGGAATCAAGAGACTTGTGAGGTAGTCTGCCAGAACTTCTGCCTTCTGTCTTCCTCGACTAGATTTTCTTCCTTAAGTCAATTTCAGAAGATACCTCTTGGCATGATACTCAGCTCTTTTCTATTGCCTGTTTATAACCTCTACCTAGGGGATTTCATCTAGTTCTGTGACTTTAAATACCATTTGTATGTATTCAGTTCCCAAATTTATATCTCTGTGTCATCTCACTTCTGAACTCCAGAATCATAAATCCAACTGCCTACTTGACATCTTCACTTGGATGTCTGGTGTTTCAAACAGTGGGAGCAATTAAGAAGTTGCTGCTGTAACCCAAGCCATAGTTGATGGTAGCTTGCACTGGAAAGGTTATCCTTGGAGATAGAGTGAAGAGGATGAATGTGAGAAAGATTTTAGAAGGATGGAAGAAGCAAAAAGACTTGCTGATAGATTAGGCATGAGGCAAAAGGTAAGGAATAGATGATATCTGCATCCTCAGTTTTTGGTTTAAGCATTCATGGCAGCGGTTGTGTTGTTTCCAGCGGTATGATCTCGGCTCATTGCAACCTCTTTGTCCCAAGTTCAAGTGATTCTCTTGCCTCAGCCTCCCGAGTAGCTGGAATTACAGGCATGCACCACCATGCCTGGCTTTTTTTTTTTTTTTTTTTTTTTTTGTGAGCCAAGGTCTCTCTCTGTCGCCAAGGCTGGAGTGCGTGGCGAGATCTCGGCTCACTGAAACCTCTACCTCCCGGGTTCAAGCGATTCTCCTGCCTCAACCTTCCAAGTAGCTGGGATTACAGGTGCCTGCCACCACGCCTGGTTAATTTTTGTATTTTTAGTAAAGAGAGGGGTTTCACCATGTTGGCCAGGTTGGTCTTGAACTCCTGACCTCAGGCAAGCCGCCCACCTCAGCCTCCCAAATTGCTGGGATTATAGGCATGAGCCACCGTGCCCAGCCAGTTTTTTTGTATTTTTAGTAGAGGTGGGGTTTCACCATATTGGCCAGCCTGGTCTCGAACTCCCGACCTCAAGTGATCCACCCACCTCGGCCTCCCCAGTTGCTGGGATTACAGATGTGAGCCATCGCACCTGGCCTTGGTTGTGTCATATATTGAGAGGAAAGACAAGATTTTAGGAGAGGAAAGGAGAAAGGCAGATCAAGAGTTTTGTTGTCCCTGTCTCAGTAGACAGCACCTCCATCATAGCTCTTGAAGACAAATAATTCTGTCTCCACCCATGTAGTCCAAGTCACTCTCTGTTGTCTTGGCTACTGCAGTGACTTCCTAACTGGTCTGTTTGCTTCCACTGTTGCCCTCTTCCTGTCCATTCTGCACAGAACAACCAGAGTAATCTTTTAAAGATTAAATGAGATCATGTCAGTCTCCTACCTAAATCCTCAGTGGCTTTCTCTTATACTTATAAACTCATTACAAGCCTTCAAGACTTTGCCTGGTCCAGCCCCTGCATCTCCACCTCATTTCCTGTTACATTCTCCTCACTCATCCTGGCCTGTTAGTACAAGCCCAAGCTGTATTTTGCTTTAGGGTCTGTGCTGTTGCTTGCTGTTTGCTTTTCCTAGAGTGTTCTTCCTCTGCTTTTTCTTAATACACACTCTGTCTAAAAGATGGGTTCCTCTTATTCTCTGTCAAAGCAACCTGTTTATTTCTCCCATTTCAATTATTACAATCTGTAATTACTGTATTGTCTTTATTTACTTAGCAAAATGTCTGTTTCTTCCTCCAGAGGGAGAGGTAAGTTCCATGAAGGGAAGGATCATGTGTGACTTGTTCATTGATGCATCTTTTTTTTTGAGACGGAGTCTCGCTCTGTCGCCAGGCTGGAGTGCGTGGTGCGATCTCGGCTCACTGCAACCTCCGCCTCCCGGATTCAAGCGATTCTCCTGCCTCAGCCTCCTGAGTAGCTGGGACTACAGGGGCATGCCACCATGCCCAGCTAATTTTTGTGTTTTTAGTAGAGACGGGGTTTCACCATGTTGGCCAGGATGGTCTCGATCTCTTGACCTCATGATCCATCTGCCTCAGCCTCCCAAACTGCTGGGATTACAGGTATGAGCCACCATGCCTGGCCACATTGATGTATCTTGGTATGTGATTGATACAGAAGACACTTAAATATTTTTAAATGAATGAATAACTGAGGATCAACATTAATGATTTATTGTAGTAAGATTAGTAGTGATTGGTGGATGGAGGTTGTAGATAGAAAAAAGGGAATGAGCCGGCATGTTAGGGTAGTGGCTAACCTTCGAGTCCAGGCTGAACAGGGAGGTAATAAAAGCCAAAACAGGAAATCTGGAGGGAATTGGTGGGATTGAGGTGTTAAAGGGCATGAGGTTGACATAAGTGGGAGGACTGAACTTTGTGGTCAGAAAGGGGCATTTTAGAATTTGAGTACATGGGGGCACATCAAGTTTTTGTGATGGTAGAGCCAGGTTAAAGGCACCTCTTGGCCTGGTGCAGTGGCTCATGCCTGTAATCCCAGCACTTTGGGAGGCCGAGGTGGGTTTATTATGAGGTCAGGAGATCGAGACCGTCCTGGCTAACATGGTGAAACCCCTTCTCAACTAAAAATACAAAAAATTAGCCGGGCATGATGGCGGGCGCCTGTAGTCCCAGCTACTCAGGAGGCTGAGGCAGGAGAATGGCGTGAACCTGGGAGGCGGAGCTTGCAGTGAGCTGAGATCACACCACTGCACTCCAGTCTGGGCGACAGAGTGAGACTCCGTCTAAAAAAAAAAAAAAGAGGCACCTCTTGTGTGTTCCTATAGCACCCTTTCTATACTCCTGTTTTATGGTTTTATGTAGCGTGTCTCAGACTGTACTCTACGTTACCTGTTTACTATGTGTCTTTCCTTCTAGACAGTGAAGTTCTTGAAGGCCTGAACTGTTGCTTGTTCACAGCTGTATCTAGTTTCTAGCACATTGCTTCAAAGTTTTTATTGAATGTATGAATGAATGAATGAATGAGAAGACACTGAGGTAGAGAGGAAGTGGGGGTAATAGAAGCTGAGAATGTTAAGAGATATTAACATTATTGAGATATAATTTACATACAATAAAATGTACCCATTTAAGGCGTTTCTTGGATAAATTTTAACAAATGTATATACTTGTGTGACTACCACCAAATCAGGTTATAGAATATTTCTGTTATTTCCCAAAGTTGTCTCCTGCTGAAATGGGAGGATTTTTTAAAAGTTTAATATTGTTATGGTTACGCAATAATCATTATGGAAATCAAAGAAAAATGTACCCATAATCTCATATCTGTAGGGGAACTTTTTTTTTTTGTTTTTTTGGAGACGTCACCCAGGCTGGAGTGCAGTGGTGCAATCTTGGCTCTCTGAAACCTCTGCCTCCTGGGTTCAAGCAATTCTCTTGCCTCAGCCTCCCGAGTAGCTGGGATTACAGGTGCACACCACCATGCCCACCTAATTTTTGTATTTTTAGTAGAGACGGGATTTTGCCGTGTTGGCCGGGCTGGTCTCAAACTCCTGACCTCAGGTGATCCACCCGCCTCAGCCTCCCAAAGTGCTGGGATTACAGATGTGAGCCACCGTGCCTGGGCTATAGGGGATCTTTAAAATACAACATAATCTCTTGACTTCAATATAGAAGTGAGGAGTTATATGTGATTTTAATTGGAGATGATTTTCCTTAGAAATTTGAATCTATATTGTTTTAGGCCAGAGCACAGTTTTGTGTAGTAAGGACACACTCTGAGTGGGAAAACTGATGAAAATGTAGGTCTTTTGAGTCTAACTGAAGTACTTTGTCACCAGATCTTAGCAAGACCTAATGGCTTTTGTTTTTTCACCATCTCATAATTTCTATTTTGGGGAGTTAGGGAAATTTTGATTTTTTAATGCCAGATTCTATAGAATTAGATGTGAAATTGAGTTCTAAAACTCTAAGTCAAAATGACTGATTCAGCCCCACTAACTAAGAGTCTAGGGAAGGAACAGTAACTTAGTGTAGATGTGCTAGTGCTGGAAACTGACTTCTTATAATACCAAACATCCTGCAAATGAAAAGGTTTTTGTCCTCAGTACTGCACAAAGAGTGTGTCTGGATAGATACTTTTATAAATCAGTGATACAGATGAACCAGTGAAATACAGGCATACCTTATTTTATTGAGCTTTATTATTGTGCTTTGTAGATAATCAGTTCTTTACAAATTGAAAGTCTATGGCAACCCTGTCTCAAGGAAGCCTTTCAGTGCCATTTTTTCAACATTGTGTGCTCACTTCGTGTCATTGTGTCACATTTTGGTAATTCTCACAATACTTCAAACTTTTTCATTATTATATCTGTTATGATGATCTGTGATCAGTGACCTTTGATGTTACTATTGTAATTGTTTTGGGGTGCCATGAACCACATCCATAAAAGACAGCAAACATAATAAAAAAAGCTGTGTTTGTTCTGACTGCCCCACTGACCAGCTACTTATCCATCTCTCTCCGTCTCCTTGGGCATCCCTATACCCTAAGATGGGACAATACTAAAATTAAGCCAGTTAACCCTACAATGGCCTCTAAGTATTCTAGTGAAAAGGAAAGTTCAACATTTCTCACTTTAAATCAAAAGCTAGAAATGATGAAGCTTAGTGAGGAAGGCTGTTGAAAGCTGACATAGGCCAAGAGTTATGCCTCTTGTGCCAAGCAGTTAGCCAAGTTGTGAATGCAGAGGAAAAGTTCTTGAAGGAAATTAAAAGTGCTACTCTAGTGAACAGACAAATAATAAGAAAGTGAAACAGCCTTACTGATGATGTGGAAAAAGTTTTAGTGCTCTGGATAGAAGATTGAACCAGCCACAATATTCCCTTAAGGCAAAACCTAATCAAAGAGCAAGGCCCTCACTCTCTTCAGTTCTCCGAAGGCTGAGAGAAGTGAGGAAGCTGCAGAAGAAAAGTTGGAAGCTGGCAGAGGTTGGTTCGTGATGTTTAAGAAAAGAAACCATCTCCACAACATAAAAGTGCAGCGTGAAGCAGTAAGTGCTGATTGATGGAGAAGATGCAGCAAGTTATGCAGAAGATCTAGCTAAGATAATTGATGAAGGTGGCTACACTAAACAGATTTTCCATGTAAACGAAACAGCCTTCTGTTGGAAGAAGATGCCATCTAGAGCTTTCATAGCTAGAGAGAAGTCAATGCCTGGCTTCAAAGGACAGGCTGACTCTCTTGCTAGCGGCTAATGCAGCTGGTAATTTTAAGTTGAAGCCAATTTCCATTTACCATTCAGAAAATCCAAGAATACTTAAGAATTATGCTACTCTGCGTATGTTGAATAAATGGAACTAGAAAGCCTGGATGACAGTACATCTGTTATAACATGATTTACTGAATATTTTAAGTCCACTGTAGAGAACTGCTGAGAAAAAAAAAAGATTCTTTTCAAAATATACTGCTTATTGACAATACATTTGGTCACCCAAAAGCTCTGATGGAGATATACAAGGAGATAAATGTTATTTTCATGCCTGCTAACACAATATCCATTCTGTAGCCCATGGATCAAGGAGTAATTGCAACTCTCAACTCTTACTATTTAAGAAACACATTTCATAAAACTATAGCTTTCATAAATTACGATTCCTCTGATAGATGTGGGCAAAGTCAATTGAAAAACTTTTGGAAAGGATTCAGCATTCTAGATGCCATTAGGAACATTCATAGTTTGTGGGAGGAGGTCAAAATATCAACATGAACAGGAGTTTGGAAGAAGTTGATTCCAACCCTCCTGGATGACTTTGAGGGGTTCAAGACTTTAGTAGAGGAAGTAACTGCAGATGTGGTAGAAATAAGAGAACTAGAATTAGAAGTGGAGGTTGAAGTTATGACTGAATTGCTGTAAACACATGATAAAACTTAATGGATGAGGAATTGTTTCTTCTGGATGAGCAGAGAAAGTGGTTTCTTGAGATGGAATCTACTTTTGGTGAAGATGCTGTGAACATTGTTTAAATAAGAACAAATGATTTAGAATATTCCATAAACATAGTTGATAAAGCAGCCGCAGAGTTGGCAAGGATTGACTCCAGTTTTGAAAGAAGTTCTGCCATTGGTAACATGCTATCACATGCTACAGAGAAATCTTTTGTGAAAAGGTCAATCAATGTGGCAGACTTCATGGTTGTCTTATTTTAAGAAATTGCCTGGCCGGGCGCGTTGGCTCACGGCTGTAATCCCAGCACTTTGGGAGGCCGAGGTGGGCGGATTGCCTAAGGTCAGGAGTTTGAGACCAGCCTGACCAACATGGTGAAACCCCATCTCTACCAAAAATACAAAAATGAGCCAGGCGCCTGTAATCCCAGCTACTCGGGAGACTGAGGCAGGAGAATTGCTTCAATCCGGCAGGCGGAGATTGCAGTGAGCCCAGATCGTGCCACTGCACTCCAGTCTGAGGGATAGAGTGAGACTCTGTCTCAGAAAAAAAAAAAAAAAGAGAGAAATTGCCATAGCCACCCCCACGTTTAGCAATCACCAACCTAATCAGTCAGCCATTAATATTGAGGGAAGATCCCCCTATCAGCAAAAAGATGACAACTTTCTAAAGACTCAGATGATCATTAGCATTTTTTAGCAGTATTTTAACATTAAGTACATTTTTAAAGACTTCATACTATTGCACTCTTAGTATAGTGTAGTGTAAACATAACTTTCATATGCATTGGGAAACCAAAAAAATTTGTGTGACTCACTTTATGTTCACTCTATTGTGGTAGTCTTAAACTGAACCCGAAATGTCTCTGAGGTGTGCCTGTATCTTGCCCATCCTTTCTTTGGATGCTGACTTTGAGGGTTACCTCGGAGTTCCCTTGCTGCCACTTTATCCATTTCTGTAAAGGTATTAAGCATATGCTGTGCTCTGTGAAATAATTTTCCTTAAGCTTTTAACCCCTTGCCTCAGATGACCTAACACAAAATATTAAGACCTCTAATGCCAGGTGATTTACTATGACCGCCTACATGTTCTTTCAAGATATTTTCAGTTAACATGCCTCCTCTTGAATAAACCATAGTTGATGAGCTTAGTTTTTTTAAAGCATTTGATGCAGCCTTTTTTTTTTTTTTTTAATGTTGTCACACTCTAATTCTAATCTGAGTGCTTATGGAAATATGCTGTGGTAAGTAAACGTTACTGATAAGACTCCAGTAGAGTTAGTGCACTTTCCTAACTGCCCACTTGCTGCCCAGGAATGACACAGACCCTGTCCAGAATGGAGTCTACTGTTACTCACTTGAATATAATTCTCTTTCTAATAGTTTACTTAATGCCACTCTTCAGAACAAAGTCTGTTTGACTTGTTTAGAGGAGTGAAGCTGTAACTACTTAATGTCTTTATGGACCACCTTTTAAAATGCCTTTGAAGTTTTGGTATTTATGGGTAAGCCAGAAATGACTTTAGCCACTGGAGGGAAAGTCTGTTAATTTATCAATTTTTTAAAAATACACACATGTTCTGCCTTGTAATTTAAGAGAGGATTTTAGTTGGTTTGCAGATATATATTCCATACAGCAGAAAGAGAATATGAAATAGATACCTCAGAGTTTATGAAAGCAGATTTTACTTATCCAGATACTTCAAGGAAAGCCTAAAAAATTGGGGCATGACTTATGACAGAGATGAAAAAGAGAATACAACAAATAGGACAAAGAGAATTTGTCCCTTAGGAGGGACAAAATGTTTTCAAAAACCAAATTCTGACAGCATGCTTATACGTTATCTCAACAGGAAAGAAAAGAGAGTGGACTTGTCATGTGGCTCTATATTTGACTCTGGCTTATTTTATCAATGCCATAAAGGCATAGAAGACTTATCATATTTACAGACAGCACAAGGCTGGTAGGGATAACAAGTAAAGGATAAATCCCATATAGGCTGAATATTGTGTCAAAACTAACTTAATTGTGATGAAAGTAAAGCCTTATATCTAGGTTCATTTGGTATAGGACTAGGTCTCTTACATGTGATTGATCTAAGGGTTTTAGTTGTCTGCACTTTAACCAAGTCATGTGATGTAGCAGCCAAAGAATGCTTTGCTTGCAGGAGCTAGGAAAAAGAGGATTTAAAATATATATAAAAAAGAAAATAAAAAAGAAAAAGAAATAGAAAAAAATTTAAAAAGAAAAAAAGAATGTGAGAATGGATGTTTTTGTTGTTTGTTTGTTTGTTTGCTTTTTTTTTTGAGATGGAGTTTCACTCTGTCTTCCAGGCTGGAGTGTGGTGGCACGATCTCAGCTCACTGCAACCTCTGCCTCCCAGGTTCAAGCGATTCTCCTGCCTCAGCCTCCCGAGCTGGGACTACAGGCGTGCACCACCACACCCAGCTAATTTTTTTGTATTTTTAGTAGAGATGAGGTTTCATCATGTCGGCCAGGCTGGTCTCAAACTCCTGACCTCAAGTAATCCGCCCGCCTCAGCCTCCCAAAGTGTTGGGATTACAGCTGAGCCACCACGCCTTTTCAGAATGTGATCTTTTGAAGCAGTTTAGTGCTCAGGATAAGGAAGGTAATAAATAGTCCTATTCCTCTTTATGGAAGCATGCTGTGCAGTTTCATAAGGGTAATCAAGTTGGAGAGTGGTCAGGATACCATGTCTTTAGGGCTGGCCAAATTTCTTTATTCTCTTTTTTTCAGTTTAGCCATGAAATGAAGAGACTAGAAATGAGAGACGTAATAGTTATCTTCATTTATTTGAAAAGACTGATGAAAAAGCAGAGTGAATTATATTGGTTTATTTCAGTAACAGGATAAAAGTTACAGGAAAGTAGATTTTAGCTTAGTTATGAGCTTGCCTTTTTGGTTTTTTTTTTTTTTTTTTTTTGGAGACGGAGCCTCACTCTGTTCCCCAGGCTGAATGAAGTGCGGTGGCGCGATCAGGGCTTGCTGCAGCCTCAACCTCCTGGGCTCAGGTGATCCTCCCACTCAGGTACCCAGCCTGAGTACCTGGGACTACAGGCTCATGCTACCATGCCCAGCTAATTTTTGTGTTTTTTTGTAGAGATGGGGTTTTACCATGTTGCCTACGCTGGTCTTGAACTTCTGGGCTCCAGTGATCTGCCTGCCTTGGCCTCCCAAAGGGCTAGGGTTATAGGCATGAGCCATTGTGCCTGGTTGCTGTAAACCTTTGAGTCTGTAGAATAATATTAGAAGAAAACATTGTATAATCAAAGATTTTTGGTGCCTAGAGATGCTCTAATTATTACTAATCCATAGTGGCTGTGAAAAATGGTAGCGCCTCCAGGTTTTGTTACCACTTTAAAAAGAAGAATTAGAAAAACAATTACTGGGCTCTGAAGGCTCTGTAGATGTCTAGCAGTTGTTTAAGGAAGGTCAAATTGTGGTTTAAACAAAACTAATCTACTTAAGTAAGTTCCTTTTTCAGAATGATGTTCCCAAACAGGCATCTAAGCTGTTGGGTCAGAGTTGAAAACATATCTCTAGTCTCCTTGGGGATGAGGGAAATGTTTGGAATGTTTGGGAATTTTAATGTTGAGAACTTGTTAAGAACTTGTTTTTTACAGAATAGTCAATTAGGAAAGCTTTCCCTTAATTTCAAACAGTTATTTTTTTTTTCCTGGACTTGGTACTTAAAAATTCTTAATTTTATTCCTGTTGAAAATGGGGGAAAATTTTAAAAACAACCAACCAAAGGCAAAAAATCAAACCTATTTTAGTTGAAAAAAATTTTCCACAGTTTGGCAATAATGGAAAACATTTTTGTGAAGAGTGTAACTGAACTTTATTTCCCATAAAAATTCTAGGCTGGGCGCGGTGGCTCACGCCTGTAATCCCAGCACTTTGGGAGGCCAAGGCAGGCGGATCACAAGGTCAAGAGATTGAGACCATCCTGGCCAACATGGTGAAACCCCGTTTCTACTAAAAATACAAAAATTAGCTGGTTGGGGTGGCACGCGCCCGTAGTCCCAGCTACTTGGGAGGCTGAGGCAGGAGAATCGCTTGAACCCAGGGGGCAGAGGTTGCAGTGAGCCGAGATCGTGCCACTGCATTCCAGCCTGGTGACAGAGCAAGACTCTGTCTTAGAAAAAAAAAATTCTATACACAAAGTTATAGAAGGCTTAATGTTATCAAAATTTGCTTTGTTTTCTCTGGCAAGAAATGTGTAGCATTTAGCAATTAACTGATAACTTTTATTGTGTACTTGTGCTAGGCCTATAGGATACAGGGATTTGAAGAGCAAAGTTCCTCTCCTCAGGGAGCTTACATTCTAATTGAAGAGGCTAGATGTACACATTTAAAGGTAATTAATGATATCAGCCAGTGGTATAAGTACAGAATGAGTACTGCCTTCAAATACTGTATTAGAATTAACAGAAGAAAAATTTTCTTGGGCTGATCAGTGAAGGATTCGCTAAGGTTGGCCTTGAGCTGGGCCTTGAGGGATAAATAAGTTGGTGTGGGGGTGGAGGGACAGAGAGCTAGTAGTGAGACTGATGGAGAGGGTATTTAAGGCATCAGCACCCAGACATTCTGCCTAAATCAGCCAAGAGTATAATTTGTTTTGTTTTTTGAGATGGGGTCTCACTGTGTTGCCCAGGCTGGAGTGCAGTGGCATGATCTCCGCTCACTGACCTCTCCCTCTCTGACTCAAGCAATTCTCCCACCTCAGCCTCCCGAATAGCTGGGACCACAGGTATGTGCCACCGCATCTGGCTAATTTTTTTTTTTTTTTTTTTTTTTTTTTTTTGAGATGGTGTACAGTGGCATGATCTCAGCTCATTGCAACCTCCACCTCCCGGGTTCAAGTGATTCTCCTGCCTCAGCCTCCTGAGTAGCTGGGATTACAGATGCGCACCACCACACCTGGCTAATTTTTGTATTTTTAGTAGAGACGGGGTTTCACCATGTTGCCTAGGCTGGTCTCAAACTCCTGAGCTCAAGTGATCCACCCACCTCGGCCTCCCATAGTACTGGGATTACAGCCACCATGCCCAGCCATGATGTTTTAAAATATCAATTATTCATTATAAAGCATGTGATGACAGATATAATTTAAGAATATTTAGTAGCCTTCAGTAGTGTTCGGTAGTTGTTAGCTAAGAGGCTTCATTTGTAATTGTAATTACAAAGAAGGCAATAGTTAAAGCAAAAATTAAGAAGGCAAAACTTTATTGTTTTGTTTATTTTACCATTACTGGTTGAGTATCCCTTGTGTTTTGGAATTTGGATTTTTTCAGATTTTGGAATATTTGTATTGTACTGGTTGAACATTCCAAATCTGAAAATCTAAAATCCAAAATGTTACAATGAGCATTTCCTTTGAGTGTCTTGGTTTCTGATTTTTGGGTGTGGGATGCCCAACCTATAATGTGAAATTGAACAAGCCAGTAAAGGTAGATTTTAAAACTGTATATTTGGCCAGACACAGTGGCTCATGCCTGTAATCCCAGCACTTTGGGAGGCTGAGGTGGGCGGATCACCTGAGGTCGGGAGTTCAAGACCAGCCTCACCAACATGGAAAAACCCCGTCTCTACTAAAAATACAAAATTAGCCAGGCGTGGTGGCACGTTCCTGTAATCCTAGCTACTCGGGTGGCTGAGGCAGGAGAATTGCTTGAACCCGGGAGGCAGAGGTTGCATGGGCCGAGATCGTGCCATTGCACTCCAGCCTGGGCAAGAAGAGCAAAACTCCACCTCAAAAAAAATAAAAATAAATAAATAAATAAAATAAAAACTGTATATTTATGTTTGGTTTAGTAGAATGGGCACTGAACTTTAGGACTTAGGATACCTAGTTCTGTTCCTGACATTGATACCAACTGGTGATTTGATGATTTTGGACAAGTCAGTTTACTTCCCTGTGATTCAGCTTTCTCATCTATGAAATGTGAGGGGCTTGTACTCTTTTTTACTCTTAAATTTCTTCTAAACAAGACAAATTGAAAAGAGCTAGTTCTGTGCCTCTTATAATTAAGTAGAACAGTAAGATTTTTTGTTTGGTTTGTAGCGCTGAATATGCAAGTTTTTTTTTTTTCTTCATTTAGTGCTGTTGATGAAAAGAACCTTAGGTATAACATAGAACATTAGATATTATCTCTATGTTAGTTGTAGTTGTTGCCAGGTATGTAGAGAAAAGTTGTTTGTGTATGAGTACCCCAGAAAAGTTGGAGTAGGAATACTGGAAGGTATATTTATTTTTAAAAGGTATTAGTAAAATAAATTTTAATTTTAAAATTATAAAATTACTTCCAAAATATGGACTCACTGTAAGGATATTACTCATTCGATAAGCAGAGTAATGAATTCCATGAAAATATGCTAAAATCACACCACCCATTTCTGTTAATATTTTGTTAAATAGTCGTCATGATTTTTCTCTATGTAAATGTAAATATAATATTTAACCAAATTGAGATTTTATATATACTGCTTTGTAACCTACTTTACTGAACTGTTTGTTATTAATGCCTTTCCATATTAGTAAATAAACCTCTTCAGCATCATTTCTTGTTTTAATCTTAGACTATAAAAAATGTTGCATAAATTGTAGCACAGTTCTTTTACCTCCCTCTTTCTGTTTCCTGTAATGTTAACATTTTGCATAACCATAGTATAATTATCAAGGACAGGAAATTAATATAAATACTAACTACAGATCTGATTTGCATTTCATCAGTTTTCCCACAAATGTGCTTTTTCTGTTCTAGGATAACACCCAGGATCCCAGTTACATTTAGTTATCTCTCTCGTCTCCAGTCTGTAACAATGTCTTGATCTTTCCTTGTTTTCATGACCTTAACACTTTTAGAGTACTTTGCAGTTATTGTATGGAATGTCCCTCATTTTGGGTTTGTATGATATTTTCTCATGATTGGAATTAGATTATACATTTTGGGCAAAAATAACACAAAAATCAGCCAGGTGCTGTGGCATGAGCCTGTAGTCCCCGTCAGATCCATGTCCTTGGGAGGTGGGGAGGATCACTTGAGCCCAAGAGTTCAAGACCAACCTAGGTGAGACCCCTTCTCTATTAAAAAGAAAAAAAATAATACAATAATGTTGTGGTGTCTTTCTCTCTGTTACTGTCTTTCCCATTGGAGATACTTTGAGACCATTTGGCATCATTTTTTATTATTTATTTATTTATTTATTTTTGGTTGAGATGGACTCTCGCTCTGTCGCCCAGGCTGGAATGCAGTGGCGCAATCTCAGCTTACTGCAAGCTCCGCCTCCTGGGTTCACGACATTCTCCTGCCTCAGCCTCCCGAGTAGCTGGGACTACAGGCGCCTACCACCACGCCTGGCTAATTTTGTTTTGTATTTTTAGCAGAGATGGGGTTTCACCATGTTAGTGAGGATGGTCTTGATCTCCTGACCTCGTAATCCGCCCTTCTCGGCCTCCCAAAGTGCTGGGATTACAGGCATAAGCCACCTCACCCAGCCAGCATCATTTTTAAATGGGCGTATTATCTCATGTAGTTTTTTTTTTTTTGAAATGGAGTCTCACTCTGTCGCTCAGGCTGGAGTGCAGTGGCATGATCTCAGCTCACTGCAACTTCTGCCTCTCGGGTTCAAGCAATTCTCGTGCCTCAGACTCCTGAGTAGCTGGGATTACAGGTGCATGCCATCATGCCTGGCCAATTTTTGTATTTTTAGTAGAGACGGGGTTTCAGCATGTTAGGCAGGCTGGTCTCGAACTCCTAACCTCAAGTGATCCGCCCGCCTCGGCCTCCCAAAGTGCTGGGATTACAGGCATGAGCCACCATGTGCACCAGCCCTCATGTAGATTTTTTAAAAGTTTTTTTTTTTTTGTTAGTTGCAAAAGTATTGACACTTGTCTAACAAAGTCAAACAATGTAACATTGTTGAAAGTAAAAATGTGACAATCCCTAATTCTTTTCCCCAGCTCCTTCCCTCTGTGTAGCCATTATTAATAGTTTGTTGTTTCTCCTTCCAGACCCTTAGTCTATGTTTAGGGAAGCATAGGCAGAGATGTGCCTCCACATGTATTAAATTAGAAAACCCAGCTACTTGGGAGGCTGAGGCAGGAAAATCGCTTGAACCCAGGAAGTAGAGGTTACAGTAAGCTGAGATCCTGCCATGGCACTCCAGCCTGGATGACAAGAGCGAAATTTCATCTCAAAAAAAAAAAGAAAGAAAGAAAGCCCAAATGTGTTGAAATTTTAAAAGTATATATAATTTTTTACTTTTTACAAAAATGAAATTATGTTTAAAGCTTCTTTTTCCACTTAACAGTATTTATGACATTCTGACTGCATTGAGTGGTATGACTGTACCACAGTGGATATACCTTTATTGATAGACATTTAGGTGGACTTCATCTCTTCAGTTACAAGTGATGTTATAGTGCACATCTGGTGGATGTAAATATATATTTTCACACTTGGATGAGTATGGCTAAATGATAGATTATTACCCTGTCTTCACGGACATTCAGGTTTTTAATTTTTTGCTGTTATGAATAACTGTACATGAAATGTATAGGATTGAAAAAGTTTTTAAATGATTTCAAATAGATAATGTGTATATACAGTAAAAAATTAAAACAGTAAAAAAGTTAACACAGTGAACGCTAAGTTTTTCCCAGGCTCTTTCTACTGCTAACAGTTTATTTTGAATCCTTTCAGAGATTTTTGTATTCAAATATAAACATATACAGATACATCTCCTTCACCTCTTCTTTTTTCTTTTCCTCCCTTCTCCCAGTATAAATGGTAGCACATTATACTCACTGTTGTGTAACTTTTGCTTTATGTTCCATATCAGGACATAGATCTGTGCCCTCTCCTTTTTTATAATGTCCCATGATTTATTCAGCTCTTGTTTTGGGACATTTCGGTTGTTTCCAGTCTTTGACGATTAAAAATAGTCATGCTGCAAAAAAAAATACTTTCTTTTTACATGTTTATCAGAGGAATAAATTCCTAGAATGGGCATTTCTGGGTCAAAATATATGTAAATCTAAAATTTTAATAACTGTCTACAAATTGCCCTTTAGAGAATGGACTAATTTCTATAGTAATACCTAATCTAAACATATTTTCCATAAAGTTTTAATTGTGCATGGAATATTGAGGTTGAATTTATTTGTGAATGGAATATTGAGGTTCATTAGTACAAACTAAAAAAGCCTTATATGTAATCAAATATCTGTAACTTTCCTTAATGACCTGTTATGGAACCTTATCTAAAATCTTAATTCTAATTATTTTATTTTATTTTTTTTTTGAGTTGGAGTCTCACTCTGTCGCCCAGGCTGGAGTACAGTGGCGCATTCTCGGCTCACTGCAAGCTCCGCCTCCTGGGTTCACGCCATCCTCCTGCCTCAACCTCCTGAGTAGCTGGGACTACAGGCGCCCGCCAGCACGCCTGGCTAATTTTTTGTATTTTTAGTAGAGGCGGGGTTTCACTGTGTTAGCCAGGGTGGTCTCGATCTCCTGACCTCGTGATCCACCCACCTCGGCCTCCCAAAGTGCTGGGATTACAGGTGTGAGCCACCGCGCCCGGCCCGATTCTATTAGCTTGTAAAACTCCTTGGATAAGTTTTTGTTGTTGTTTTTAAATGATGTGCCTTGAGTCATATGTGTTTTGTTTTTGTTTTTGTCTTTTGTTTGTTTTTTAAGAGACAGGGTCTCCCTATGTGTTGTCGAGGCTGAAGTGCGGTGCCTATTCACAGGCACACGCTACAGCCTTGAACTCCTGGGCTCAAGCAGTCCTCCCACTTCAGCCTCCTGAGATGGGACTATAGGTGGGAAAGCACTTTTGGCCTAGTTAGCATTTGATATTGCCAGTTTTTTATTTTAGCCACTGTACTAGGTTGTACAGGGGTATCTCATTGTCATTTTAATTTGTGCTTCCCTAATGACTAATAATGTAAGCATGTTTTCACATGCAAATAAGCCATCTGTAACAGTTTCTTTTAAAGAGCAGAAGGTTTTACTTCTGATGAGGTCCATTTTATCTAGTTTTTTTCCTTTTATGGTTAGTGCTTTTTGTGTTTACAAAATTTTGGCCTATGTTCATTTCGATCTCTTGTTAAATACTCTGGTTTCCTAAAACAAAATTTTTGATGAATGCATTGTCTGTACAGCCTGTGACTGATAATAGAACCACCTTCACATAGCAGGAATTGGCCATTTCAGAAGGGAAGGATAATTCTTACTACAGCTACTCTTCTTTTTTTTTTTTTTTTTTTCAGATACTGGTGGTATGTGAGCAGTTGCTTATTTCCAAGCTTAATTTTTTTAATCACCCACTTTCCTTCTGTATTGGTGAAAGATGAAATATACTGTAAATTACTTTGAAATTGTAGAATTATGTCATTATTTGTGCCCCTAGATGATTAAGAAGGAACTTGTAAGTCAGTCTAATTTTCATCTTCTTTTCTTTTAGTGGTGGGATCAGCAAGTTGATTTTTATACTGCTTTCTTGCATCATTTGGCACAATTGGTGCCAGAAATTTACTTTGCTGAAATGGACCCAGACTTGGAAAAGCAGGAGGAAAGTGTACAAATGTCAATATTCACTCCACTGGAATGGTACTTATTTGGAGAAGATCCAGATATTTGCTTAGAGAAATTGAAGCACAGTGGAGCATTTCAGCTTTGTGGGAGGGTTTTCAAAAGTGGAGAGACAACCTATTCTTGCAGGTAAGAATTAGAAATTTACAGGATTGATTATAATTATTAAAATCCTTTTTTTTTTTTTTTTTTGAAACAGAGTCTTGCTGTGTGACCCAGGCTGGAGTGCAGTGGTGCGATCTCCGGTCACGTCACTGCAACCTCTGCCTCCCAGGTTCAAGCAATTCTCCTGCCTCAGCCGCCCAAGTAGCTAGGATTACGGGTGCCCGCCACCACGTCTGGCTGGGATTACAGGCACCCGCCACCATGCCTGGCTAATTTTCATATTTTTAGTAGAGACAAGGTTTCACCATGTTGGCTAGGCTGGTCTCAAACTCCTGGCCTCAAGTGATCCACATGCCTCAGCCTCACAAAGTGCTGGGATTACAGGCATGAGTCACTGCATCCTGGCCAAGTATTACAATCTTGGTATTTTGTATCTATTTCACGATGTACTTGTCTTGGTTTATTGCTATTTATAATACATTTAATCTTATTAATTTTCTTTTATTATACCGTTATAGTTTGGTTTTTGCTAGTATAGCTTGTTTCTGAATATATATGTCTTCCAGTTAAATAGTGCTCACTGTTTCTTCCTGTTCTCCAACGGAATGTCAGTGATAAATTTTTGCCTTGTTCATAATATATCCAGTACACTCTTACCTGAAACTCTTTGGGGCCATTTCAGAATTCTGAATACTTCCCCAGCAGAGTCAGGGCGGGACACTGTAATCAAACACAATCTTTCTTTAAGAAATCTGTGAATATTCATAACAAGTAGTATAAATCATGCCTGTAGTCGCATGTCATTTAAAGTAATTTTTTGCCACCAAGTGAGATTTATTGCCAAACCTACAATCCCAAAACCTTTCAGTTTTGGAGCTATTTGGATTTCAGAGTCTGGCATAAGGGATTTTGAACCTGTAGAAACAGTTGTAATTTAGTTGAATAGAAGAGGCCAGCGGCAGGGAAACTGAAAGCAACTTTAGGCTTTTTATTCTTTGTGAGAGCAGTGCCTTAAACTTCGTGACAGCACAGAGAATGTTTTTACTCCTTACCTCTGCCTGAAATTTGAAATTTAGTTTTCCTTCTTAGAGCTAGTTTAGGTTAGGAGTGTAAAGTTTTAAACTTTATAAATACAGAGAATTGTTTTTACTTCCTTATAATTCTAGGCCTAACTGGTTTATGTACAGTTAACAGTTGTTTAGAACATACTATCTTTCTTTATTCTGTTCTTTTCTCAGGGGAAAAAAAATAGCCTTGGCCAGGCGCTGTGGTCATGCCTGTAATCCCAGCACTTTGGGAGGCCGAGGCAGGTGGATCACGAGGTCAGGAGTTCAAGACCAGCCTGGCCAAGATGGGAAACCCCGTCTCTGCTAAAACTACAAAAATTAGCCAGGCATGGTGGTGGGCGCCTGTGATCCGAGCTACTCGGGAGGCTGAGGCAGAGAATTGCTTGAACCCGGGAGACAGAGGTTGTGGTGAGCCGAGATTGTGCCACTGCACTCCAGCCTGGGCAACAGAGCAAGACTCCATCTCAAAAACAAACGAAAAAATAGTCTTTGCATTTTGTGTACCATGTTGCTATATAGTATAGTAAGGGTCATTTATATTCTTACATATTTTTAGCTAAAGCCCAATCAGTTTCAACTAAAGCATGCTAGACATTTGCAGACCTCATGTCTCCAAAAGTTTCATGGAGATATTTTTAGTTGTTACAACTGGGGATGAAGGTACTGGCATCTAGTGTGTAGAGGCCAAGATTCCTGCTAAACATCCTAATGCACAGGACAGTCTGGTTCACCCCCGACAAATGATATCTGGCCCAAAATGTCAGTAGTATTAAGGTTGAAAAATCCTACTCTAAATAGGTCTATAGATGATATATATTTTACAGAATATTATTAGACAACCTATATTTCCTGTTAGCTTTTTAAGTTGTTGTTTTTTGTTTGTTTGTTTGTTTTTGAGACAGAGTTTCGCTCTTATTGCCTAGGCTAGAGTACAGTGGCGCTATCTCAGCTCACCCGCAACCTCCACCTCCCAGGTTCAAGCAATTTTCCTGCCTCAACCTCCTGAGTAGCTGGGCTTGCAGGCAAGCACCACCATGCCTGGCTAATTTTTTGTATTTTTAGTAGAGACGGGGTTTCTCCATGTTGGTCAGGCTGGTCTGGAACTCCCGACCTCAGGTGATCCGCCCACCTTGGCCTCCCATAGTGCTGGGATTACAGGTGTGAGCCACCAAGCCTGGCCAGCCTTTTAAAATCTTTTTAAAATTCCCCAATTTTATCTCTTCAATTCTTCTAAATAAGATATTTAAAAAATTAATCCTGGCCAGGTGCAGAGGCTCACGCCTGTAATCCCAGCACTTTGGGAGGCTGAGGTGGGCAGATCACTTGAGGTCAGGAGTTCGAGACCAGCCTGGCGAGCATGGTGAAACCCTGTCTCTGCTAAAAATACAAATAATTAGCTGGGCGTGGTGGCGCATGCCTGTAATCCCAGCTACTTGGGAGGCTGAGGTTCGAGAATCACTTGAACCTGGGAGGCTGAGGTTGCAGTGAGCTATGATTATGCCACTGCCTTCCACTGCGTTCCATCCTGGGTGACAGAGTGAGATTGTCTCAAAAGAAAAAAAAATAATAATCCTGCACTTTGCACTAATTTATATTGTTCTTAATGTCTCCTCCAAAATGTTAAATAAAACAATGCATTTAAGAAGTTGTTATTAAGGGAGAGATGAAGAGGGATTGAATTTCTTTCATTTGTTCAATGAATATTAAGTACCCACTATATGCCAGGCATCATTGCAGGTGTTCGGGACACTTCAATGTACAATGAATAGAAATCCCTGCCCTTATGTTGCTTGCATTCTAATGAACTTTGTCTTTATCCAAGCCTCATTTAACAATGAGCAATCAGCTTTTGTAAAATATATTTGTTTATGTAATAGGATGAGATGATGGTAGTTAATGGAAAAAGTGGATTATTTTTTACAAAACTATTTTTGAATTGTAATCTAACAGTTCGAAACCAGGTCAAGGCCCAAAGTTATGAGAATGATTTCAGAAAGAAAACCAAACATCCAGACCTACACACTTAAATGTGGCTAAAATGAGACTAAAGTTGTGCTAGCAATATTATCTTTGTTCAAAACATTTTAACAATCCAGTTTTTGAAGCATTTTCATATTCAGTTTGTGTACCATAGAGGAAACTTGTTCACATTGTATTATAGTCATACCTTGAGCATCAGTGGGAGTCATCTAAATTTTGGAATCTGATTTCTGATCTTTTTCAGGGATTGTGCAATTGATCCAACATGTGTACTCTGTATGGACTGCTTCCAGGACAGTGTTCATAAAAATCATCGTTACAAGGTAAGAAAATATAACCATAACCTCTGAATAAGCAGGAATCTGATGGCCATCTAGTCCAAATTCTTGAGTAGTATTCACATTCCTGCTATAACAGCTCTGATATGTGAACATAGCCATTTTAAAGAAAAGATTGGAAGAGATAAGGGATGTGTGTTGCTTTACAGAAAAGAAAAAAGGAGTAATTTTAGGGAGACTCAAGATCAGATATTATGTGATGAAAGGACCAAGATAAACCTTCAGTTGCAGAATAGTCCATAACAACTTTTGAGAACAAGAAAACAAACAAAATTTTGAGCTCTTTGCTCTACAGTGTGTAATATGACCCTTCTTTGTGATCTCTAGCCTTTCAGTAGTTTACTACTAAAAAAAAAACTTACAGTAAACCTCTGTGTATTCTTTCTCAAAAATACATACATAGAAACGAACATACACTTACTGTTAAAGATTGTTTTTAATAGAAATGTTTTTTTCATGTTGTTAAATGAGAAAAATGAGCTATAAAAAGAGTGTATTTCTGCAACTATCTCTTTTAATCAGGAAAAAAATGTAGTTTTCAAAGGAAGTTTGTGGAGTTATAAAAATAAAATTTTGTTATACTTTTAAATGTAAAAAGCAAAATATATAAAATTATACATTGTGCTTTTTTAAGAACATATTATGTATATAATATTTAACCATATTTTATTTTTAAATTTACCTATTATTGGGGTATTTATTTGGGTTTCAGTTTTTTTAAAATGATAAACAGTGTTACAGTAAATGCCTTTATGTGTAAATAATTTTTTTATATGTAGGATTATTTCCTTAGGATAGGTTCTCAGAAGTGGAATTACTGGATTAAAAAATATGGATTTTTAAGAGAATAAAATGGCAAGAGATAGACTGAGCAAAAAAACTTTGCCAAACATACATCTTAAAAAAAGGCCAGTGCTAAAATTATACAAAGAACTCTTAAAATTCAAGAATAAGAAAACCATCCCTTTAAAAAATGGACAAAATATCTGAATAGACACTTCATCAAGAATATATACAAATGATCAGTAGTAAACACACTAAAAGATGCTCAACATCATTTGTCATTAGGGAATTGCAAATTAAAACAATGAGATGTTACTATATACCTATTAGAATAGTGAAAATCCAAAGCACTGACAGCACCAAATGCTGGTGAGGATGTGGAACAACAGGAACTTTTCTTTTTTTTTTTTTTTTTTTTTTTTGAGATGGGGTGTCGCTGTTATTTCCCAGGCTAGAGTGCAATGGTGCGATCTCGGCTCACCACAACGTCCGCCTCCTGGCTTCAAGTGATTCTCCTGCCTCAGCCTCCTGAGTAGCTAGGATTACAGGCGTGCGCCACCACACCTGGCTAATTTTTGTATTTTTAATACACATGGGGTTTCACTCTGCTGGTCAGGCTGGTCTTGAACTCCTGACCTTGTGATCCACCCGCCTCAGCCTCCTGAAGTGCTGGGATTACAGGCGTGAGCCACCGTGCCTGGCCAGGAAGTCTTATAACTGGTGGAAATGCAATATGGTATAACTACTTCAGAAGATAATTCAACAGTTTTTTACAGAAGTAAACATACTTTTATCATATGATCCAACAACAGCACTCCTTGGTATTTACACAAATGAATTGAAAACTTATGTCCATACAAAAAAACTGCACACGAAATGTTTTTTTTTTGAGATGGAGTCTGGCTCTGTTGCCCATGCTGGAGTGCAGTGGCACAATCTTGGTTCACTGTAACCTCCACCTCCTGTGTTCATGCATTTCTCTTGCCTCAGCCTCCCAGGTAGCTGGGATTACAGATGTGTACCACCATGCCCAGCTAATGTTTGTATTTTTAGTAGAGACGGGGTTTCACCATGTTAAGCTGGTCTCAAACTCCTGACCTCAAGTGATCCACCCACCTCGGCCTCCCAAATTGCTGGGATTACAGGTGTGAGCCACCACGCCCGGCCAGTGAATGTTTTATAGCAGCTTTCTTCATATTTCCCAAAACTTGGAAGCAACCAAGATGTCCTTCAGTAGGTGAATGGAAAAACTGTGGTACATACATACAATGGAATATTGCTTAGTACTATAAAGAAAGGAGCTATCAAGTCATGAAAACACATGGTGGGACCTTAAGTACATATTGATAAATGAAAGCAACAATTCTGAAAAGGCTACATACTGTATGATTCCAACTGTATGACATTTTGGAAAAGACAAAACTGGGGAGGCAATAAAAAAATCAGTGGTTGCTAGTGGCTGGGGGATGATGGTGGAAGGGAATGATAAACCACAGCCTGTGGGTCAAATCTGGCTCACTATTTTTATATGGCTTCAAACAGCTGAGAATGTTTTTATATTTTTAGATGGTTAGTTTAAAAAAATGTTTCATGATACATTAAAATTATATGAAATTAAAATTTCAGTGCCCGTAAATAAAGTTTTATTGCAGCAAAGCCATGCTTATTCACTTTTGTATTCTCTGTGGCTGCTTCTGCAATACGGCAGTAGCATTGAGTAATTTGACAGAGGCTATGTGGCCTGCAAAACCTAAAATATTTATTGTTTGGTTCCTTACACAGAAAGTTTGCTGATTCTTGCTCAAATAGACACCTCAAGAAGGGTACATGTGTAGTGTTCCCTGAGTCCTGACATGTTCAAAATCAGACCTTTATAGCTTGGCTGGAAATAATATCCTTAGTTTGCATTTTCTTTACTTAAAAATACTACTCTGCTATTGTTTCATATGTTGTTACTGAGAAGTCTAATGCCAGTATGATTTTCTTGTCATTATGATATCTCATCTTTTACCTGAATACCCTCAGGACTTTTATTTATTTATTTATTTATTTATTTTTGAGACGGAGTCTCGCTTTGTCGCCCAGGCTGGAGTGCAGTGGCACGATCTCAGCTCACTGCAATCTCTGTCTCCCGGGTTCACTCCATTCTCCTGCCTCAGCCTCCTGAGTAGCTGGGACTACAGGCGCCCACCACCATACCCGGCTAATTTTTTTTGTATTTTTTAGTAGAGACGGGGTTTCACCGTGTTAGCCAGGATGGTCTCGATCTCCTGACCTCATGATCCACCCGCCTCGTCCTCCCAAAGTGCTGGAATTACAGGCGTGAGCCACTGCTCCTGGCCACCCTCAGGACTTTTATCTTTAAAGTCAAATAGTTTTACTAGGATATATTTTGGAGTTGATTAGTCACTCAAGAATTCATGGGCCCTTTTAGTGTACAGATTCAGGTGTTCTTTTATTTGCAGAAAGTTTTCTTAGTTTATAGTCTTATTTTTAATTTGTTTTTACATTTTAATTTAATTCGATTATTTTTTTTAACCGAGACGAGGTTTCACTGTGTTGCCCAGGTTGGTCTCAAACTTCTGGGCTAAAACAGCCCTCCTGCCTCGGCCTCCCAAGGTGTAGGATTACAGGCATGAGCCACTGTGCCTGGTCTGTGGTTTTAAATGTTAGTTGTGTTCCGTTGTTTTGATTTTCTTCTTCGGTGACTCCAGTTATAGTGGCTTTCTTATGCCTGTCCCCCATTTCAATGACTTTCTCTCTGATCCTACTTTTTACTTCATCTCATTTTCATTCTCTTGTATTCCTGCTTTGCTTCAATGTTATTCATTAACTTTTCATTTGAGTCTATATTTTGGATACTTTGTAATGTAAAATTCATTTCTGGCATGATTTTCTCATCTTCTTGTATTTTTTTTTCCTGAGTTCAATTAAGTCTCATTTATTCCTGCTTTTTTGTCCATTTCTGTTTTTAGTTTATGTATTACTTACTACAGGTGCATGCCACCACACCTGGCTAATTTTTTAATTTTCTGTAGAAATGGGATCTTGCTGTATTGCTCAGGCTGATCTCAAACTCTTGGCCTTTAGTGATCCTCCCACTTCAAACCTCCCAAAGCATTGGGATTGCAGGCATGAGCCACTGTGCCTGGCCAGTTTTTCTATTTCTGATACAAGGTGTTTTCATCTGATTCAAGTCATAATCACCAAATGCTTGTTTGACTCCATGTAATTGAGTTTGGAGCATTGTGTTATAGTTTTCTTTAGCTTTGTGATTGGGTTTTGGCTCTTATTTGCATTTTTGCCCCTCCCCTTTTAATTTTTACATGTTTATGTGAATATGGGCTGCTTTTTCTGTTCTTTCTCATTTCATGCTCAAGGGTTACAAGTGCTCTCTTCTGTCAGTTCTTCCATTTTCTGTGTAATTTCTTTTTTTGTTGATGATATTAGTGGTGGTGATGTGAAGGGAGGGTTTGGCACGTCTTGTTTCTCTCTCATTTCTATAGAATTTTCCCTTATATCCCTTTTTCCTTCATTGCCACATCTTTAGGGGTTTCCACTCTGTAAAAATGTATCTGATTTTCTTCCAAAAGTACTGCTTCTCTGAGTTTGCCACCTCTTGTCCTTCTCACTTTCTTTGTGAATCAAGTCCCAACTCATGTTCAGGTTTCATCCCTTAGCATTGGGCTTTCTCTTTTGGGGGTGACTTTTTTCTGTGTTTCAGTGTTTCTTCTAAGTCCTCTGCACCTCTGTACTTTTTCATGGAGTCTTTTAAGCTCCCTTCTCTTGCTATCTGCACCCACAGGCTTGAAGGGATAGGCAATGGGAATTCCTTTGGAGTACGTCATATGAACGTTGTGGTAATTTTTTTTGTTGTTCTCCTAGTAAATGCTGAAAGTATGGATAATGTATGGTTTTAGTGTTCTCCTTATTCTTTTTATGTTTTGGAGGAAGTTTTGAGGAAGATTCAAAATCAGGTTGTTGCCATCATCCTCTACCTGAGGTAGTATATTTTGGATAATTTTTTTTCAACAACACTGAAAGGATAAAGTTTATAAATAAGTTTTAGTTGCTATGGGATATTTGTGTAAATTAAAATACTTTATACATTTCTTAAGTACTATGTAATCATCATGAGTTTTTTTATTTTATTTTTATTTTTATTTTTTTTTTTCTCAGATTTTTTTTTTTTTAATTGATCATTCTTGGGTGTTTCTCCCAGAGGGGGATTTGGCAGGGTCATAGGACAATAGTGGAGGGAAGGTCAGCAGATAAACAAGTGAACAAAGGTCTCTGGTTTTCCTAGGCAGAGGACCCTGCGGCCTTCCGCAGTGTTTGTGTCCCTGGGTACTTAAGATTAGGGAGTGGTGATGACTCTTAACGAGCATGCTGCCTTCAAGCATCTGTTTAACAAAGCACATCTCGCACCCTTAATCCATTTAACCCTGAGTGGACACAGCACATGTTTCAGAGAGCACAAGGTTGGGGATAAGGTCACAGATCAACAGGATCCCAAGGCAGAAGAATTTTTCTTAGTACAGAACAAAATGAAAAGTCTCCCATGTCTACTTCCATCCACACAGACCCGGCAACCATCCGATTTCTCAATTTCCTCCCCACCCTTCCCGCCCTTCTATTCCACAAAACCGCCATTGTCATCATGGCCCATCCCCAATGAGCCGCTGGGCACACCTCCCAGACGGGGTCGTGGCCGGGCAGAGGGGCTCCCCACTTCCCAGTAGGGGCGGCCGGGCAGAAGCGCCCCTCACCTCCCGGATGGGGCGGCTGGCCGGGCGGGGGGCTGACCCCCCCACCACCCTCCCCGACGGGGCGGCTGGCCAGGCAGAGGGGCTCCTCACTTCCCAGTAGGGGCGGCCGGGCAGAGGCGCCCCTCACCTCCTGGATAGGGCGGCTGGCCGGGCGGGGGGCTGACCCCCCCACCTCCCTCCCGGACGGGGCGGCTGGCCGGGCAGAGGGGTCCTCACTTCCCAGTAGGGGCGGCCGGGCAGAGGCGCCCCTCACCTCCCGGACGGGGCGGCTGGCCGGGCGGGGGGCTGACCCCCTCCCACCTCCCTCCCGGACGCGGTGGCTGCCAGGCGGAGACGCTCCTCACTTCCCAGACGGGGTGGCTGCCGGACGGAGGGGCTCCTCACTTCTCAGACGGGGCGGTTGCCAGGCAGAGGGTTTCCTCACTTCTCAGACGGGGCGGCCGGGCAGAGAGGCTCCTCACCTCCCAGACAGGGTTGCGGCCCAGCAGAGGCGCTCCTCACATCCCAGACAGGGCGGCGGGGCAGAGGCGCTCCCCACATCTCAGACGATGGGCGGCCGGGCAGAGACGCTCCTCACTTCCCAGATGGGATGGCGGCGGGGAAGAGGCGCTCCTCGCTTCCTAGATGGGATGGCGGCCGGGCAGAGACGCTCCTCACTTCCCAGACGGGGTGGCGGCCGTGCAGAGGCTGCAATCTCGGCACTTTGGGAGGCCAAGGCAGGCGGCTGGGAGGTGGAGGTTGTAGCGAGCTGAGATCACGCCACTGCACTCCAGCCTGGGCACCATTGAGCACTGAGTGAACGAGACTCCGTCTGCAATCCCGGCGCCTCGGGAGGCCGAGGCTGGCGGATCACTCGCGGTTAGGGGCTGGAGACTGGCCCGGCCAACACAGCAAAACCCCGTCTCCACCAAAAAAAAAAAAAACGAAAACCAGTCAGGCGTGGCGGCGCGCGCCTGCAATCGCAGGCACTCTGCAGGCTGAGGCAGGAGAATCAGGCGGGGAGGTTGCAGTGAGCCGAGATGGCAGCAGTACCGTCCAGCTTTGGCTCGGCATCAGAGGGAGACCATGGAAGGAGACCGTGGAGAGAGGGAGAGGGAGAGGGAGAGGGAGAGGGCATGAGTTTTTTTAAGTTTGTTTAATTAAAAAAATCTTATCAGGTTGGGCATGGTGGCTTATGCCTATAATCCCAGCACTTTGGCAGGCTGAGGCGGGCGGATCACCTGAGGTCGGGAGTTTGAGACCAGCCTGACCAACGTAGAGAAACCCCGTCTCTACTAAAAATACAAAATTAGCCAGGCGTGGTGGTGCATGCCTGTAGTCCCAGCTACTTGGGAGGCTGAGGCAGGAGAATCGCTTGAACCCGGGAGGCAGAGGTTGCGGTGAGCCAAGATCACGCCATTGCACTCCAGCCTGGGCAACAAAAGCGAAACTCCATCTCAAAAAAAAAAAAAAATCTTATCACTCAAAAATTCTAGGGGGGAGTGGGGAGGGATAGCATTGGGAGATATACCTAATGCTAGATGACGAGTTAGTGGGTGCAGCACACCAGCATGGCACATGTATACGTATGTAACTAACCTGCACAATGTGCACATGTACCCTAAAACTTAAAGTATAACAATTAAAAAAAAAATTCTAGGTGTTGTATAGATTATTTTCGCACACTTTGCAATCTATTCTTCTCCATTAGTCAAAATTTAAACAACTGTTATTTAAAAATTAGAGTTATGTTTCAAAAGCTTATCAATTTTGGCAGTTCATTTTTGTTATGATGAAGTATTCAGAATTTGGAAGTTTTGGTTTGTTGGTTTGTTTTTTAGGTAACTAATCGAAAATGGTTTTTGTTACATCCAGTTAATATTACATTGAACTCAATTAAGGTTGGAGTATTGGTGAGCATTTATTATTTGAGTCATCTTTATCATTCTTCATGCTTAGTAAAATGTTTGAAATCAAGACAAACTCATTTTTCCTTTATCAGATGCATACTTCTACTGGAGGAGGGTTCTGTGACTGTGGAGACACAGAGGCATGGAAAACTGGCCCTTTTTGTGTAAATCATGAACCTGGAAGAGCAGGTACTATAAAAGAGGTAAGAATGCTATTTTGTTAAAAATTGTTAACTATTTTAAGTTTGCTGAGATTAGATAAGAATAAATGTTATGTGTATAGATTCCAGTTAGAACCCTGCTGTTTTTATTCTCATATTTAGGTGTAAGGAGGCTTTTTTTCTAGCTCCAAAGAAACTAAGGATTTGATAATGTCTCTAAAGAGAGAATGAATTTACAATGAAAAGATGAATTCAGAATATGTTTTGTTAAGCAATCAACTTGATACATAAGAGTACACAGGTCGGGCGCTATGGCTCATGCCTGTAATCCTGGCACTTTGGGAGGCTCAATCACCTGAGGTCAGGAGTTTGAGACCAGCCTGGCCAACATGATGAAACCCTGTCTCTACTAAAAATACAAAAATTAGCCAGGTGTGGTGGCACACACCTGTAATTGCAGCTACTTGGGGGGACTGAGGCACGAGAATCACTTGAACCTGGGAGGTGGAGGTTGCAGTGAGCCAAGATCATGCCACTGCACTCCATCCTGGGCGACAGAGTGAGACTATCTCAAAAAGGAAAATAGTACACAACATATAAGCCTAAATGAACAAAAGGAAGTAATTATTAATAGATAAGAGTAGCATATAGTGAATTAGAAGTGTAGAGCTGATATATAAATTCAGTAATTGCTTTTCTTAAAGAAAATGTCAATTAGATTACATAGATATATCCCAGTCAAGGAAATAAAGAAGTTTGAGCAAGCCCAGATATAGACAATTAGAAATGAGAATAGGAAAATAACCATAGAATCACAAATACAGAAGGAATCACGAGGATTATAAAATACTCTTTTAATGATTTTGTGCAATTACACTTGAAAATGGATTATCTTATCAGATAGTATAGAGTGCAATATTTTTATTAGAAAGCAGAGAGAAAACTTGGTCAGTTACATTGAAGAAATTCAGAAAATTTTCACAAGAAAGTACTTGCCCCAGAATGCCATGTTCAGAAGTTTTACAGATGAATTATTTCACAACTTCAAGGAATAAATAGTTTTTGCGCTCTTTAAACTGTTGTGGATATCCCTAAAGCAGCAAACACCTGTAGGGCACATATGTTGATCTTTTAAGTACCATTCTGCTCTTACAGCAATAAGGTATTTCTTGTTGTCAGAAATACCTGGTTCCAGGTCTGGGTCAGGGGAAGTATAAGGCAAGCTCATGCAAAAGAACGTAGGACCCAGCTTGAAAAGGTTCACATTGACCTTACTTGGATAATTGAAGCATCAAAAGAAAAAACAATAAATAACCAATATAATTGATTGAATCACATTGAATATATAAAAATCCGTGAGTTCCTAATGAAACCTAAATGAGAGCTAGATGAAGTAAAACCTGTTTCTGACAATGACAAGTAGCTGTACTATCAATTTCTTACTATTAAAATTGGTAAAGGGAATGAAGTAAGCGCTTATCCTGCCTTTTCAATAAGAATTGTATTTCATGGTAACCAAGTATCTCTAGTTCATTAGGAAAAGCTTTTCTTTCTAGAGAAATGCTAGCTATTAGACAAGGAATGATAGAACTAGAAAAATCAACATTTTGTCAACCATAAGGAAATATTTGATTCAGACAAGGATGCTAAAATTCTTAAGACTTAGGTTGATGAGGAACAGTATTTACATTTACATACTTCTAAATTATTGATTATTTGCTAGTCATAAGGGGAAAAAACTGAAACTTTACAATGGGGTTATCATACTGTCATCACCTGAAATCAGTCATTAATATTAACATCATCATTAATAATGAAGTGATATGGCATAATAAGCTTTTGTTTTTGTTTTTGTTTTTTTTGTTTTTTTGAGACAGAGTCGCCCAGGCTGAAGTACAGTGGTATGATCTCGGCTCATTGTAACCTCCACCTCCTGGGTTCAAGCAGTTCTCATGTCTCAGCTTCCCGAGTAGCTGAGATTATAGGCGTATGGCACCACATCCGGCTAATTTTATATTTTTAGTAGAGATGGGGTTTCATCACGTTGGCCAGGCTGATTCGAACTCCTGGATTCAAGTGATTCATCTGCCTCGGCCTCCCAAAGTGCTGGGATTACAGGTGTGAGCCACCACGCCCAGCCAGCATAATAAGCTTTTCATATGATATACAATGAAGTACATAGTTTTAACATTTGAAAACCAATCAATGTAATACACCATATAAATATAATAAAAACCACATTATCATCTCAGTAGATGTAGCAAAAACATTTGACAAAATCCAGTACCCTTTCAGGATAAAAATATTTCAACAAACTTAGAAGGGAACTTCCTCAACCTGATAAAGGACATCTATGAGAAACTCACAGTTAATATCATAGTTAATGCTGAAACAGTGGATGTTTTCCTCCTGAAGTCAGAAACAAGACAAGGATGTCTGCTTTTGCTATATCTGTTCAATATTGTATTGGAGGTTCTACCAAGGAATTTAGGGAAGAAAAGTAGTAAAAGGCATCCACGTTGGAAAGGGAGAAGTAAAACTAGCTCTGTTTGCAGAGGACGTGATTTTGTAGACACCAGTCTGTTTTATCAGTTACAACCATAAAATATACACATCTTCGGCCATAAAATACACACAACTGGTGGCTCACGCCTGTAATCCCAGCACTTTGGGAGACTCAGGCAGGAGGCTTATTTGAGACCAGGAGTTAGAGACCAACCTGGGCAACTGTGATTTTGTATATGAAAAATCCTAAAGAATCCATAAAGAGTCATTTTTTATTCTGTTTATATGGTGTATTACATTGATTGATTTTTAGATGTTAAAACTATGTACTTCATTTTATATCGTATGAAAAGCTTATTATGGTGGCTGGGTGCAGTGGCTCATGCCTGTAATCCCAGCACTTTGGGAGGCTGAAGTGGGTGGATCACTTGAGGCCAGGAGACCCTATCTCTACAAAAATTTTAAAATTAGCTAGGTGTGGTAGCACATGCCTATAGTCCTAGTTACTCAGGAGGCTGAGGTGGGAGGGAAATACAAGTAATTTTTGTAACATTATCTTGTATCCTGCAATCTTGCTGATCTTTTTACATTATTTTTTACATCTTGGCCAATACTTGTTATTTTCTGCTTTTTTTGTTATGGCCACCTAGGTAGTTGTGAAGTGGTATCTCATTGTGATTTGGGTTTGCATTCCCTGATGGCTTATGATATGGAGCATTCAAATGGATTTCATAACTCATTGGCTTGAACAAGCTTTTTATTAATGTTTTGTAATGAAAAGAACATTGCTTTTTTGTGGGAGTCAAAAGACCCAGATTTTAGTCATGTTTCTGCTATTTGTAAGCTCTGTGATCTTAGATGGGTTCCTTATCTTTTTTTTTATGGTTAAGCATATGACATTAATTTATCATCTTAACCGTTTTTAAGAATATAGTTCAGTAGTGTAGATATAGCGTTCAGTAGTATTAAGTATATTCACATTGTTGTGTAACAGATCTTAAGAACTTTTTCATCTTGTGACACTGAAACTCTTTACCCACTGAACAACCTTCTGCCTACACCCAGCCTTTGGCAACCACCTTTCTATCTTCTGCTTCTATTATTATGACTACTTTAGATACTTCGTATGAGCAGAATCATATAGTATTTGTCCCTCTGTGACTGGCTGGGTTCTATTTCTTTTCAATGTCATTAATACCTGTTCTGTCTTAGAGAGAGCCATGAGGATCTGGGGAAACAAGCTGTGAGAAAAGTCTTTGTAAGCTATAAGGGATAAACAGTTGTTACGTGATATCATCGTAATTAGCTACTCAGAAAGGCAGGTAGGAACATTCATAAGAGAGTATATCACTAATGGGGAGACTTCATGGTTCTGCCTCCTT
Organism: Homo sapiens; assembly: GCF_000001405.40. Lineage (NCBI taxonomy): Eukaryota > Metazoa > Chordata > Mammalia > Primates > Hominidae > Homo > Homo sapiens. The sequence continues at coordinate 43,071,133 of NC_000015.10, read as the reverse complement.
TCTGTCATCAGTAACACCAACTTGGCCACAAGGGGTTAAGCTAAACTGATCTAAATATATAGCAACCCTCTTGAGCTCAACTTGAATTCATTCCTGGACGATGTTGTAATGAATTCAGCAAAGTGATTATTTTAACTTAACATTACCTTCCTTATCCATTTATTTGTATACAATCTTGACTAGTATGTTTTTCTCGGCTTTTTTATAGAATTCACGCTGTCCGTTGAATGAAGAGGTAATTGTCCAAGCCAGGAAAATATTTCCTTCAGTGATAAAATATGTCGTAGAAATGACTATATGGGAAGAGGAAAAAGAACTGCCTCCTGAACTCCAGATAAGGTGGGGAAAACTGTCAAACGGAACAAGTTTTAGTGATGGTTATTTGTATTGCAAAATGTGTGTTTGATAATTGTTTTTGTTATTTACTGCCTAATTATCATTATGAAAAATTCTTAGTGACTTATCTCTTGGGAATATTTCAAAATGTCCGTTTGTATGAGATACTTTGCTAGGCACCATCCAGAAGCTAAGCCAAAAGAGTAGTGTATCAGGAGCTTTGAATTTTTACGGAAAAAAAATCAACATTTTTGGGGTCCTGTTCTAAATGATTTATAAGGACCTAGCAGCCTCTCATCCCACTAGGTAAGTAAACTGCCCACTTTGATCCTGGCCTGGACTAATGTCTGGTTTCCTCAGGAGGTTCGTTAACAAAGATAGGGACTTTGGAACAGTGTATCTCCATTTAGCCCGGGTTTTTAGCTCTTGTCCTGATCAAGAAAAGTTTGATGGGAATGAGGAAATGGCCCTTTCCCCTGTGCCTTGGTGGTATCTAGGATTATTGAAATTATAGGGATGTAGCTTTTTTTTTTTTTTTTTTTTTTTTTTAGCTAGAACTCAGCAATTTCTGGTAGCCATAAGTCTTTCAGTGACAGTAATATTTGCTCTTAATTTATAAATGCAAAGAGGAATTCTGGACCTGATATGAAGATAACTTTGAGTTGTGTGAGAATTTTTCTACCTATGTAATATTAGGATTTTCACAAAATTGCAGCCCAAATCTAAATAGTCATTCTTTGAGTTTACTGGCTATTTTCATTTGTTTTGTTTTAAAGGGAGAAAGAAGTAAGAATTCTAATCAATAGAGACATTAAATGTACTATTTTGACTCTTATTAGGCTAAAAACCACTTGTGGAAATAAATGTCATGACAAACTGCATCCACAAATATGTTAATTTCCAACAGGTGTTAATGTCAGTTAAACCTTTTAAGTCACTTTATGTTGGTAAACATAATATGAGCCATCTGCCCATAAAAAAACGAGGATTGCTTGAGTGTCATTTTTTATGTGGGTAGCACGGGTCTTTGGGTTCACACATCTGAGTTCTAGGCCCTCTCATTGCCTGTTGGCATTGTGACCATGACATATTGGCCTTTTAACCCCTTTAGTCTCTGTTTTCTAAAACATAAGAGGGCTGAGAAAATATGCCCCTCAGAGTTTTGAGGATCAATTGAGCGTATTGTAAAAGTATATTACATATTGTTTAAAACTGGGAACATAGGCCGGGCGCGGCGGCTCACGCCTGTAATCCCAGCACTTTGGGAGGCCGAGGTGGGTGGATCACGACGTCAGGAGATCGAGACCATCCTGGCTAGCATGGTGAAACCCTGTCTCTACTAAAAATACAAAAATTAGCTGGGCATCATGGCGGGCCCCCGTGGTCCCAGCTGCTTGGTAGGCTGAGGCATGAGAATGGCGTGAACCCAGGAGGCAGAGCTTGCAGTGAGCCGAGATTGCGCCACTGCACTCCAGCCTGGGTGACAGAGCGAGACCGTCTCAAAAAAAAAAAAAAATACTGAACACATATGTAGCCCGTGGCAGCTGTTTTTACATATCTTGTGAGATCCTCATAACACTCTTGAATGTAGATATTATGTTCCTTTTGGAGATGAAAAAGCACTGTCATCTCAGCAAGATTAAAAGATTAGGTGAGCTGTCTTAAGGTCCTGTTGCCAAAATGGCAGTGCTGGCGCTTAAGTCTATACTGTATACTTCTTGAAACTAACTTAAATGTACATTAATACCAGTATCACTTAAATAGAAGGTAAAAACAAAAATAAATTCAATAACAACTAATTGTTAATAAAATCTGTTTATTTATCATTGCTTGCTTCAAGGTTCTGAGCCTGAGGCCTGTCTCCTTTTGTCAGAATAGGAGATAAGCAAGAGTTAAGGGTAGTATTAAAAACATACAGTCAGGCCGAGACAGGTGGATCACCTGAGGTCAGGAGTTCAAGAGCAGCTTGGCCAACATGGTGAAACCCTGTCTCTACTAAAAATATAAAAATTAGCCAAGTGTGGTGGTGGGCACCTGTAATCCCAGCTACTCAGGAGGCTGAGACAGGAGAATCACTTAAACACGGGAGGCGGAGGTTGCAGTGAGCTAAGATTGCGCCACCGTACTCCAGCCTGGGTGACAGAGTGAGATTCCATCTAAAACAAAACAAAACAAAACCCAAAAACATACGGTCACTGAACTGAGACTTTTGAAAGTAATATGAAAAATTGGGGGAAAAACATGGAAAAGGAAACATTTTTATCAGAGTTTTAAAAAGTGATGGCACTATACCACTTAAAATCAAATTCTGGGCTGGGCATAGTGGCTCACGCTTATAATCCTGGCACTTTGGGAGGTCAAAACAGGCGGATTGCTTGAGCTCAGGAGTTTGCAACCAGCCTGGAGAAAATGGCGAAGCATCTCTACAAAAAATACAAAAATTAGCTGGGGTGTGGTGACACGTGCCTGCAGTCTCAGATACTTAGGAGGCTGAGGTGGGAGGATTGCTTGAGCCTGGAAGGGAGTGGTTGCAGTGAGTCGAGGTTGCGTCACTGCACTCCAGCCTGGGTGACAGAGTGAGACCCTGTTTCAAAAAAAAAAAAAAAAAAAAAATCAAATTCTATATTACTTTTATGGTGTTACTTTCCCACAGGTTGGAAACTACACAGATGTTATGTATTAATTTTGTCTTTTTTTTTTTTTTTTTTACTTTTCCTTTATTTGTTGTAGTATCCAAATATATATGTTTTTTTTCTAACAGGGAGAAAAATGAAAGATACTATTGTGTCCTTTTCAATGATGAACACCATTCATATGACCACGTCATATACAGCCTACAAAGAGCTCTTGACTGTGAGCTCGCAGAGGCCCAGTTGCATACCACTGCCATTGACAAAGAGGTTTGTGGTCTCCTTTTGAATTGCGTTTCTGTTTTCTGTCAGCTTCCTGGCAGCCAGATGTTGACTGAGCCCTTGCTCAGTATTGTGCTAGGTCTGACCATCCTCTCCATTTATTCCTTACATCCTAGGTAAATTGGTTAGAACTTCAGTTTTGTGTGTATATCATAATTTTAAATAACTATTTATAACTTTCATCTTTTATTTTAAATAATTAGAAAGTTACTGAATTTATTTGGCAAAGCGTAGGTAAGAATGTCATCTCAACTTTAGTCTGGTCCTATAATTATTTATTGAATGAATGAATAAGTGTATGAATTATGAAAAGTTGGTAATTTCTGAGGTCTTAACATGATTTATTTAAATTATTTTTAGAGTAATATTAATTCTATGGCTCAGTTTATTTAACATCCATCCAGAGCAAAATGGGTTCTTCAAGTAATATAAGTATATAAAAGGAATATTAACCTCATCCCTGCCCTTGGGTGCAGTATAATCTAGAGTAAGAAATAGCATGACATTCGTCATTTAATTTTTTCATTTTTAATGTACTTTTTAAAAACCGCATGGTTTAATATAGAATTAGAATAGGTGGTTAACTTTCTCTGTGTTTCGTATGTATAGCTTATGTGATCGCAAATTATTAATGAAAAAGCAAACGGAGTCAAAAAAAAACAAAAGGGTACGAACAGCTAATAATAGCTAACATTTATGAAGTATTTACATATGTCAAACATGGTATACTTTATGTGTAATATCTCATTTAAGCCCTATAACCATAAGTCAACTCTTTGAGACTGATACTCATATTATTATCTCTATTTCATAAACCTGTGTTTATACCTGGAAAACTAAGAGGATCAATATCTTGGCACACCAGTAACCCATTCTGAGTACATAAGAATTCTGGTTAGAATGGCATTCTTCAAAGTTTAATGTTCACATGAATAGATCTTATTAAAAATGCAGATTCTAGGGGCCAGGTGCTGTGGCTCATGCCTGTACTTCTAGCACTTTGGGAGGCTGAGGTAGGAGGATCGCTTGAGGCCAGGAGTTTGAGACCAGCCTGGCCAACATAAAGAGACTCTGTCTCTACAAAAAAACTAAAACAAAACAATGCAAATTTTGATTTGCTATGGGGTATGCAGTTCAGTTCTTCATTTCTAACAAGTTCCCATTCACAATTGCTACAGAGAGAATAAAATACCTAGGAATACAGCTAATAAGGGAAGTGAAGGACCTCTTCAAGGGGAACTACAAACCACTGCTCAACAGGACACGAACAAATGGGAAAAAACATTCCATCTTCATGGATGGGAAGAATCACCATTGTAAAAACGACCATACTGCCCAAAGTAATTTTTAGGTTCAATGTTATTCCCATTAAACTACCATTAATGTTCTTCACAGAATTAGAAAAAACTGTTTAAAAATTCAAATGGAACCAAAAAAGGGCCTAAATAGCCAATATAATCCTAAGCAAAAAGAACAAAGCTGGAGACACCATGCTACCCTACTTTATACTACTAGTCTGTAGTAACCAAAACAGCATGGTACTGGTACAAAAGCAGACACATAGACCAATGGAACATAATAGAGAACTCAGAAATAAGACCACACACCTAGAACCATCTGATTATTGACAAACATGACAAAAACAAGCAATGGGGAAAGGATTCCCTATTCAATAAATGGTGCTAGGATAACTGGCTAGCCATATGCAGAAAATTGAAACTGGACCCCTTCCCTATACCTTATACAAAAATTAACTCAAGATAGATTAAAGACTTAAATGTAAAACCCCAAACTATAAAACCCTAGAAAAAAATCTAGGCAGTACCATTCAGGACCATAGGCATGGGCAAAGATTTCATGACAAAAACACCAAAAGCAATTGCAACAAAAGCAAAAATTAGTAAATGGGATCTAATTAAACTAAACAGCTTCTGCATAGCAAAAGAAACTATCATCAGAGTGAACAACCTACAGAATAAGAGAACATTTTTGCAATTTGTCCATCTGATGAAGGTTTAGTACCCAGTCTACAAGGAACTTAAACAAATTTGCAAGAAAAAAAACCAACAACCTCACCAAAAAGTAGGCAAAAGACATGAACAGACACTTCTCAAAAGAAGACATACATGCAGCCAGCAAACATGAAAAAAAGCTCAACATCATTGATCATTAGAGAAATGCAGCCATAAAAAGGAACAAGATTATGTCCTTTGCAGGGATGTGGATGGAGCTGGAAGCCGTTATCCTTAGCAAACTAATGCAGGAAAAGAAAACCAAACACTGCATGCTGTCATTTATAAGTGGAGCTGAATGATGAGAACACATGGCCACTTCGTGGGGAACAACACACTCTGGGGCCTGTCGGGGGTGTGGGGGTAGAGAGAGTATCAGGAAGAATCGCTAATGGATCCTGGGCTTAATACCTAGGTGATGGGTTGATCTCTGCGGCAGACCACCATGGCACACGTTTACCTCTGTAAAAAACCTGCCCATGTACCCTGGAAATTAAAAGTTGGAGAAAAAAAGGAAAGGAAGAGAATAGGAAAGGAGAACGAATCAGAGGAAGAAAGAGAAAAGTGGGCAAAGAAAGAAAAGGCAAAAAGAATAGAGATAGGAAAAGAAGACAGAAAATAATAGAAGAAAAAGAAAGTGAAATGGGGTATTTAGCGAACATTTTTTAGTCCTTCAGAATGGTACCAGATTTGGTCAGATGTCAATACCTATATTACTATTGCTACATTTTACTTATAGGTCATAGAAGGAACTTTAAAGGTTAATCAGGCTTATGATTTTCAACTACAGTACTAGTTGTACAAAGTAAAATCTACTTGGGATGTTAGATTTTCACAACAATTATTAAATATATATTTATACCCTGTCTCATTCAGAAAACGTTAGGTGGCTGTAATCACAAAGACCTTAAAAGACAATCTTTAAATATCCTTCTTAGGAGAAAAATGGAGCCTTTTGTTTTTGTCCTAGTAGGACCCTGTTTGATGATAAAGATGTAAGATAGGGCCGGGTGTGGTGGCTCATGCCTGTAATTCCAGCACTTTGGGAGGCTGAGGCGGGCGGATCACCTGAGGTCGGGAGACTAGTCTGGCCAACCTGGTGAAACCCCATCTCTACTAAAAATACAAAATTAGCTGGGCGTAGTGGCACATGCCTGTAATCCCAGCTACTCAGGAGGCTGAGGCAGGAGAATTGTTTGAACCTGGGAGGTGGAGGTTGCAGTGAACTGAGATTGCACCACTGCACTCCAGCCTAGGCAACGGAGCGAGATTCTATCTCAAAAAAAAAAAAAAAAAGATGTAAGATAGGAAATAGTGAAAAACAAGTGAAATTGGCCATCCTTGTATTGAGAGAACAATATCCCTGGTTCTCTAACTTGTGCTTTTAGCACTTAGAAAGTTTGTTTCTCTGACTGCTTTGCTTGTTGGACAGCTCTCATTCTTAGAAAAATTTTTTTCCTGTTTTCAGCCAAAATCTTCCTCCATGTGTTTTTAGACTAATTTCTTATTGAACAAACCAGAAAAGCTCTTCTTTTGCTTTCAGATGGCAACCCATCAAATAGTTTTAAAAAACTGTAATTTCTTATGTTTGCTTTCCTCTGTTTTCTTCAACTGTCCTATGATAATAACCTCATAGTGATCAAGCTCTATTTCCTTCTCTCCACCTCCTCCCCCGGGTAAATAATAGTTTATCAAAGATTTTCTTAAAATGTGGTACTCTAAATGAGTTCACTAAACATTTATTAAAGCACTTTGAGGAAATACCAAGATGAATCAGATTGAATCTACCTTCAAAGGAGTATTCTCTACTGTTCTTATGAGAGAAACAGGCATTCAAATGCTGGGCACAGTGGCCCACGCCTGTAATCCCACCACTTTGGGAGGCTGAGGTGGGCGGATCTCCTGAGGTCGGGAGTTTGAGACCAGCCTGACCAACATGGAGAAACGCCGTCCCTACTAGAAATACAAAATTAGCCAGGCGTGGTGGTGCATGCCTGTAAACCCAGCTACTTGGGAGGCTGAGGCAGGAGAATCACTTGAACCCAGGAGGTGGAGGTTGCAGTGAGCCAAGATCACACCATTGCATCCATTGCATCCAGCCTGGGCAACGATGAACGAAACTCCATCTCAAAAAATAATAATTAAAAAAAAAAAAGGCAGGCATTCTGAAAAAATTTAAAGATGTAATAGTGCTCTTTTTAAAGTTCATATTTTTAAAAAATTAATTTTATTTTAAGAGACAGGGTCTCAGTATGTTGCCCACACTTGTCTTCAACTCCTGGGCTCAGGTGATTCACCCACCTTGGCCTCCCAAAGTGCTGGGATTACAGGTGTGAGCCACTGCACTTGGCTCCTGGGTCACATTTTTGCCGTCTTATGTACAAGGTTAATATTGCAGATTGTAAGGGAAAATCTTGGTAGATATCAAGATATATTATTGTGGTAGGATTACTGTGAGCTATCATGATCGTAGGACTCTAAAAAAACACATACCAGTAGGATAAACCAGTGTCCCAGGAGAAGAATTAGCTTGGGAAAGCGTGGGGCTGTGCTTTGTCGGTTTTCATATGGAACGGAAAGATCTGTGTCTCCCAGTGTTTGCCCTATCTCTTCTTAGCCTTTATTCCTGTTACTGCTCTCCTCTATAGTCAAAGTGGAGAAGGCCTGTAGCTACAGCTAATCTATCTACTGATAGGTTGTCTTGTTTTGGGGTCCCAAAGCTCCATAAGGTGATGGTGATTGCAAGAAAAGCTTTTTAATAAATGATTATTCAAAAGGTAAAATAGGACATGAGATAATGTTGTACACCCAATTGAAGTAAAAAATGTACTCCTTGGCTAGAAGAAACTGTGTTGCAGTTAGTCTGTTTTACAAACCCTTAAAGATACACACTTGTAGTTCTGTGTTTTCAGCTATAGTATGAGGATAAAGGTAACCTATTAGAAATCACTTGGAAATAATTTTTTTTTTTTCAGAGTAGACATGCCAGCCCAAGCCTAGGAAATCAGAATTGGGAGTATGGGGAAGAGAAGAGGAAAGAAATGCCCACGTATTTTAAAAACACTGCCTCCCTTCAGTTGATCTACTCCCACCCCTGTATTTTTTGGTCATTAAGAAAGGTTATTTTTGTTGGATTCCTGTAGTCCCAGCTACTTAGGAGGCTGAGCCTGGGAGTTCAAGGCTGTAGTGAGCTTTGATCACACCGCTGCCTTCCAGCCTGAACAACAGAGTGAGACCCCATCTCCATTCAGTCAATCAATAACATTTTTAATGGTGGTAAAATCTACATAACATAAAATTTACCATTTTAATCTTTTTCTAGGTGTACCATATACTAGTGTTAACTATCTTGTCGTGCAACAGATCTCTAGAACTTTTCCATCTTGCAAAACTGAAACTTTATATCCATTGAACAATTCCCCCTTTTCCCCTCCCTCTATCCCCTGGCAACCACCAATTCTACTTTCTAAGAGCTTGACTATTTTAGATATCTCATACAAATGAGATCATGCAGTATTTGTCTGTTTGTATATATATATACACATATATACATATATGTACAGTATTGTACTGTATACAGTATATATACACACACACCATATTTTGTTTGCCTGTTCATCTTGTCAGTGGACGCTTGGGTTGCTTCCACCTTCTGCTATTGTGGATAATGCTCTTATGAACATGGATACACAAAAGTCCGTTCAAGTCCTTGCTTTCAGTTCTTTTGGGTACATGCCCACAAGTGGAATTGCTGGATCATATGGGAATTCTATTTCTAATTTCTTGAGGAACCACCATTTTGTTTTCTATAGCAGCTGCACCATTTTGTGTATTCTCCAGCAATGCACAAGGGTTTCTCCACATCCTTGTCATTACTTGTTATTATTATTTTTTTTTTTACAGCCAACTCATTTTTTCCCTAGGTTATTGGAGTACAGGTGGTATTTGGTTACATGAGCAAGTTCTTTAATGGTGATTTGTGAGATTTTGATGCACCCATCACCGCAGCAGTATACACTGCATCCTATTTGTAGTCTTTTATCCCTCTTCCCCCACCCACCCTTCCCTCAAAGTACCCAAAGTCCATTGTATCATTCTTATGCCTTTGCGTCCTCATAGCTTAGCTCCCACACATCAGTGAGAACATATAATGTTTGTTTTTCCATTCCTAAGTTACTTCACTTAGAATAATAGTCTCCAATCTCACCCAGGTTGCTGCAAATACCGTTAATTCATTCCTTTTTATGGCTGAGTAGTATTCCAGCCTGTGTATGTGTATATATACATATATGTGTGTGTGTATATATACATATGTGTGTGTATGTATGTGTATGTGTATATGTGTGTGTGTGTATCTATATCTATCACAGTTTCTTTATCCACTCTGATGGGCATTTCAGTTGGTGCCGTGATTTTGCAATTGCAAATTGTAACTGCCATAAACATGCGTGTGCAAGTATCTTTTTTCGTATAATGACTTCTTTTCCTCTGGAAAGATAGCCAGTATTGGGACTGAGTATTTGGGGTGTCTCCCAGGTCCTGCAGGAGCAGTCCCCTTGCTTCAGAAGGTCTGTAGGTCCTCTCTGGATTCCTGGTTTGTTCTTACAGTCGTTCTGGAGCTAAAATTCATGATGTGAGCCTCTGTGTGCTGCTCTGTCCATCTGAGTCAGAGCTCGGAGCTCCAATCTAGTCCTGTCTCCCATCCACCATGATCAGCAGCTAACTCCCTTCTTATTTTTTGATAGCAGCCAAAAAATATGGATGTGAGGTGGTTTTCCTCCCCCTGTTTGTTGAGATCCACTGCTTTAGGTTAATTGCCAGCATCACATACATACAAGCTGATTGAGCTCGAGTTTATGTAACTATTCTTGTCCAATCTGTTCTTTTAACAATCTCTTATGGCCTGGCTTTTTGTGCTTTTTTTTTTTTTTTCTGTAATGGCAACCTTACTGGTGTAATTAGTAGTCCAAATATATTTGGATAGTTCTTATGCTTATGTACTAAGCAGCTAAAGAGGGAATATTACAGGATGGTTAAAAGTACAGACTCTGGAGATGAAATGCTTGTCATGGATCTCTGAATCTGTCACTTGCTAACTTTCTGATTGGGGGACAAATTAACTTCTGTCTTATTTTTCTTTTTATCATCTGTAAAATGTGGTATACCTTCTTCATAGGGTCATTGTAAAGGTTAAATGAGGAAGACAGTGCTTCCTGACTTTTTTCACATGGCACATATAGAAAATGATGAATTTTTACAGGTGGGTAAAAGAATGAGCTACAAGGAAATCCTACATAGACCTTGCATGACCGCCTCCAGGACTGGTGGAATCAGTAGTCCAGCTATACTTCCCGCTCGTTAATGGGCCACAAGTATATCATAGGATACATGTTGAAGAGCTGTGAATTCATTCATGAAAAATATTTTAAATACATAGCAGAAGTTTAGAAAGCCTGAGTCATTGTTTCATATAAGTAGAGAGGACACTGCAGTAACTAAAGAACTGCCATTCCTGCCAGGCAAGAAACTCAGCATCTTAAACTATAGACTGTCTGTCCTAGAGGTATTAAAGTTTTCATACTTCATAAAGGTGTTAAACATTTGCATCTGTCTTTCAGATATTGTTCCGGTATCTTACAACTTTTAGTCAACACGCGATTAGAGCTCAGTTAAGAGCTCATTAAGTCTTTGGGCTACATATTGCTTATTGATTGTGGTTATCATTTCACTACCTAATTCTCACTTTTGTCTATAATTAGGGTCGTCGGGCTGTTAAAGCGGGAGCTTATGCTGCTTGCCAGGAAGCAAAGGAAGATATAAAGGTAACTTTCTGAATTAGGGGGAAAAAGAGAAGTTAAAGATGAATGTACATTACAAGAGCCCAAGTAGAATAATTTGAGTGATGATGTCGTTGAAGTGGTTTGGGGCACCTAGATGCAGAGATTTGGAACTGGCAGGGTTATGTGATTTCTTCATTTGAAGTATAAATCCCTTAACTAAAAGCAAATTTTAAATGCTATTTTTTTGGTTCGTTCCCTTCATTTGTAGAGTCATTCAGAAAATGTCTCTCAACATCCACTTCATGTAGAAGTATTACACTCAGAGATTATGGCTCATCAGAAATTTGCTTTGCGTCTTGGTTCCTGGATGAACAAAATTATGAGCTATTCAAGTAAGCATACCTCCTGTTTTTCTTGTTTCTGATAAAATACTATGTGTTTTATAGCCACAAATTTTAAAATGTCATTGAGTATGAAATAAAGTTTTTCTTTTTTTTTTTTTTTTGGTTTATACACTTTGATTAATTTTCAGGGTTGCATTTCAAATGTATAATATCTTAGGATATTATTTCAAGTGCATAGTATCAAATAATATCTTTTTATTGGCTGTTGAGTCTTTGATGTTGACAGAATTATTCTTTGCCTCAAATGTGGGAGGATTAATATTATTCTTTTCACATGTTATAGGAAATGTACTTTTAGGAGAAATGTTATAAGAATAAAAATTATGGCTGAGTACAGGGGCTCATGTCTGTAATGCCAGCACTGTGAGAGGCTGAGGTGGAAGGATCGCTTGAGCCCAGGAGTTCAAGACCAACCTGGGCAACAGAGTGAGACTCATCTCTATTTAAAAAGAAAAAGAATACAAGTTGTGTAACTGTGTGACCTCTTTTGTTTGTAGGTGACTTTAGGCAGATCTTTTGCCAAGCATGCCTTAGAGAAGAACCTGACTCGGAGAATCCCTGTCTCATAAGCAGGTTAATGCTTTGGGATGCAAAGCTTTATAAAGGTAAGTAGACATTTGCTTATGCTGTTTGTCAGGAAGCAAAGGAAGATTATGACCTTAAAGTGGAGCTGTAATATCTTTTGTTTATTAAATTAGTTATTAAATCTGTAATCTTGATTGATAAGATACTACATGTGAATATAAAGTTTAACCAGTCAGTATGTATTCTTTGGTGTTAAAACCCAGGGATGTTGTCTTTTAATTATAGAGTCTTTTCATTTAGTGAGAGCCAGTCAAAAAGAGTATATATGTATGTGTCTATACATGTATCTATATATTCAGGTAGTAGTGCCATTATCGAGTAGCGAAAAAGATGCTATTTTCATTGTAAAAATCTAAATGAAGAACAAAACGTAAAAGGCTAAAAGCATGGAGAAGGAAAAGTACAGTGAAATAGAAAAAGAATGAAAAGGTTGGGAGAGAGTAAATTGAAGTGTAAGATGAAGTGGTGGGAGGGGTGCAGAAAAAGAGGGAAAAGGCAATATATGTGTGTATTTTAAATTCCAGTTATTAAATATTAATACAATAAATACTATTTGAGGTCTGTTTGCATGTGAAGTAATTTTATAATATTCTGCCACTCTAATAGCCAGAATGTTTTTGGTTTTTGCCTTGGTGATTCTCCTCATTCCCCCACCCTCCCCAAAATAATCTATAGGTGCCCGTAAGATCCTTCATGAATTGATCTTCAGCAGTTTTTTTATGGAGATGGAATACAAAAAACTCTTTGCTATGGAATTTGTGAAGGTAATTATTTATAAATTAGATATCAATAAATAGAAATAGGCAGTTTTTATAAATGAATTAATAGAAACAGGGATAATTATGAATCAAAAATTAAATGTTATGATTTATTTCTTTGTCAAAAGTTTGTTCTTGGCCCTGCGGGTTGGCTCACGCCTGTAATCCCAGCACTTTGGGAGGCTGAGGTGGGTGGATCATTTGAAGTCAGGAGCTCGAGACCAGCCTGGCCAACACGGTGAAACCCCGTCTCTACTACAAATACAAAAATTAGCCAGGCATGGTGGCAGGTGCCTGTAGTCCCAGCTACTCAGGAGGCTGAGGCAGGAAAATCACTTGAACCTGAGAGGCAGAGGTTGCAGTGAGCCAAGATCGCGCCACTGCCCTCTAGTCTGGGCAACAGAGTGAGACTCCCATCTCAAAAAAAAAAAAAAAGTTCGTTCTCATACGTTATATAAATATTTTCACAAATGTTATTTGCTAGTATAGAAACAGCATTCTTAGAGAAGAGATAGGTGGAAAATGACCCACTGACCCAGAGCAAAGGGAGGTTATCACATTCACATATGCATTCAGTCTTCCTAATCATTTATTTGCCTGTTAGTAAAATTACAATAAGAATAGAAGTGACTAATTGAAAAGTATAGCAGGAAAGAAGAACAGATGTGTATGCTAAAGTGGGGGGCAGGAATTAGGTGGCCAAGAGTTCTACTTAGTTTTTGGAAGCTAAAGCATAAGGCTAAAATTTACAGCTTTTTAATGTTTTATTAATCTATCGTGTATCTCTTACCTTACTGTATCTTTTTGTCTATCTACCAAATTAGATTGCAAGGGTATACAGATCAAGGACTCCTTTGAATCTTTTATTTTGCCTTATATAAGGCAATCATACTTGCCAGTCATACTTGTTGATTTCCTCTGATTTTGAGTTGCAGTCAATTCTGTAAGACTTAAGATAGATATAGGACCCAAGATGGAATTGGAAGCAGAGAAAGAAATAATGATTGTTGTAGGCAAATGACACTGTGGGATAAGATACCTGCATTACCTGGATTTTATATGCAGACTTAAAAGTAACTAAGACATTTGTTGTATGTCTTATCCTTCAGCAGTGATGGCAACTCAAGATGTTCTCTTCTAAAACTCTTCAGATATAGAATATTGGACCATATGTGTGATCTGAAATGAAATTTTGTTTTCTTATACAAAAGCTAATCTCCCTACTTAGATGATTTTTTTTGTACACCATGGTTACCCCTTAAACTTTGTAGGAATTCTGGAGGGTAAAGTATCTAACTTAAAGTAGGTTAAGTATCCAACTTTGTGCCTTACACATAATAGATGCCTATTATGTGACTGAGTATATTCCTATTTTTGTTCTCCCAGTATATCAGGGTTGTTTTGCAGCTGTTATGTACCAGTATGGGAAAGAAGTTATTTGCAGCCAGCATCCATTCTGTTTAAGGCTGGATTCAATCTGATTGGTTGGTTTTTCTGGGTCATATCAGTTGTTAAATACTTTGAATATATTCCCTGCCCAATACCATTAGAGTGGAAGCTGCTAAAGATTGCCCCAGATTCTGTTTGGAGAAAGGATAAACTATACCATTGCAGTCCTCTGTTTTTTGTTTGTTTGTTTGTTTGTTTTTTAACCTATGTGTATATTTTAATAGTTTCCACTTCTATCTCTGCTAAATTGAGTAGGTGAATTTTTACTTGATTTGTTGTTTGTTATTCTCCTTCTAAGATATTTTTGCTGATCATAATATCTTGCCTTAATAAATAGGAATTATATTACTTGACATTTTATAGATAGAAACAAACCTGCAGCAGTTATTAAAATTGGGATTTTTTAAAGGTCTTTAGTAGTGATTTATAATTGATTCTCTACTTATATATTTCAGTATTATAAACAACTGCAGAAAGAATATATCAGTGATGATCATGACAGAAGTATCTCTATAACTGCACTTTCAGTTCAGATGTTTACTGTTCCTACTCTGGTATGTATTGATTATTCCTTTTCAGTCTTTCTAAGTAAAACTTGTTTTGCTTTGTAAGAATTCCACTTAATGTTGAATCAAATTAGAACAATGTTAGAATCACTAAGTTGGGCTATGTGAATACTTTAGTGCTACCCAAGGACTAGTTAACTAGGCGCTGCCTTGGTTCAGATGTCCTCGTCAATGCAGATGACACCTAGAGCTGGTTTCTTACTTTCTAGAGTAACTTATGAACACTGCCTTTTCAATACCAAAAATATTTTATTTTTAAGTTATTGTTTGTAGGCAGATAGAATAAGATAAAACTAAGAAGTGGGAGGGTGTGCCTGTCAAGCATTTGGGAGAGAGGGTGCTGCATAGGCCTGGGAGGAGAGTGGAAGATTCTGCTTCCTTTGTATACCACTTCTTTTCTTTGTTTTTTGTTTCTTGAGACAGAGTCTTGGCTGGGTTGCCCTGGCTGGAGTGCAATGGGACGACCTGGGCTCACTGCAGCCTCCGCCTCCCGGGTTCAAGCGATTCTCATGCCTCAGCCACCCAAGTAGCTGGGACTACGGGCAGGCACCACCACGCCTGGTTGATTTTTGTATTTTTAGTAGAGACGGGGTTTCACCATGTTGGCCAGGCTGGTCTCAAACTCCTGACCTCAGGTGATCTGCCAGCCTTAGCCTCCCAAAGTGCTGGGATTACAAGTGTGAGCCACCGCGCCCAGCCCTACTTCTTTTCTTGTCTGGAATTAGATAGTTATCCAAACTTGGTTAATTGTTTCTACTTTACTTTTTCAAAAGGATGGAGAGGAGAGTTTAGATTGGGGTAAGGAGGAGATTTCAGAATAGATCGTAGTGTGCTAGAAGTCATGAAGTATATCTTTGTTATACTTGCTCATTGTGTGATTTTTTTTTTTGAGATGAAGTCTCTCTCTGTCACTCAGGCTGGGGTGTAGTAGCACGATCTCGGCTCACTGCAACCTCCGCCTCCTGGTTCAAGCGATTCTCCTGCCTCAGCCTCCTGAATAACTGAGATTACAGGCATTGCCACCACACCTGGCTAATTTTTGTATTTTTTGTGGAGATGGGGTTTTGCCATGTTGACCAGGATAGTCTCGAACTCCTGAGTTCAGGTGATCCGCCTGCCTCGGCCTCCCAAAGTCCTGGGATTACAGGCATGAGCCACCACATTACTGATGATAAACATTTATCTAGATAACCTGTCTAATGGGCTTGGAGTATCCAGATAGGTGTTGTCTAGTTACTGAGGAGTAGGGAATTTTTTCTTTTAGAAAATAACTTCTTAGTAGTTGCTATTCAGTGAAACTAAGGACTGTGTTTAACATTCAATAACAAACATTTATTAAAAATGACATACTGACTAACCAAATGAATGAATAAATTAAGTCCATACCACAATGAGTTAATGCTAAAGAAAATATTCTTGAAATATTCCGCAGGCTCGACATCTTATTGAAGAGCAGAATGTTATCTCTGTCATTACTGAAACTCTGCTAGAAGTTTTACCTGAGTACTTGGACAGGAACAATAAATTCAACTTCCAGGGTTATAGCCAGGACAAATTGGGAAGAGTATATGCAGTAATATGTGACCTAAAGTAAGTTGTTCAAGTCAAAAGGTGAGGGCACCTGTTAAACTCAGTGTGCTTATTTGCTGTGTCTTATAAGTAATCCTGTGATCATTTTGGTTATCCAGAATTCTCTTTATAATGATGGCAAGTACAAAGAACTGTTACTGCCTCGCGTTAATAAATGTCTTCAGTGAAGGCTTCTTATTGAGTTGTAAAACCTGGTTAGTAAAGAAGGTATTGAGGAGAGGCCCATTACAGGAACTTGGGATCTCCTGGGGTCACCAAATGCATTGCCATTGTAATTACCATACTTTTCATTCACTTCCACTCACACACTTTGGTTCTGTCCTTCCTATATAGTCTCTTTGTGCATAGTTTCAGACAATCTATTGACATAAATTTCTTTCTTTTTTTTTTTGAGACAGGGTCTCGCTGTGTTGCCCAAGCTGGAGTGCAGTGATGCAAACATGGCTCACTGAAGCCTCAACCTCCTGGGCTCCAGTGATCCTCCTGCCTCAGCCTCCCATGTAGCTGGGACCACAGGCACGTGCCACCATGCCTGGCAAATTTTTTATTGTTTTGTAGAGACGGAGTCTCACTTTTTGTTGCCCAGGCTGACTTGGACTCCTGGGGTCAAGCAGTCCTTCTGCTTTGGCCTCCCATAGTGTTGGGATTACAGTCATGAGCTACTGCGGCTGGCTGTTAACATTTTTTTAACTCCTTTTTGCTATACAGTTGATCCTCCGTATTTGTGGGTTCCACATCTGTGGGTTCAACCAACCGCAGACTGAAAATACTCCATTTTTTAAAAATTGCCATGAGGCTGAGGCAGAAGAATCGCTTGAACGCAGGAGGTGGAGGTTGTAGTGAGCAAAGATTGCGCCACTGCACTCCAGCCTGGCAACGGAGTGAGACTGCATCTCAAAAAAAAAAAAAAAAAATTGCGTCTGTATCAGACCAGCCTGGACAACATAGCGAGACCTTGTTTCTACAAAAATAAAAATAAAAATTAGCCAGGTACAGCAGTGCAAGCCTCTATTCCTAGCTACTCAGGATGCAGAGGCGAGAGGATCACTTGAGCCCAGGGGTTTGAGGTTACAGTAAACTGTGATCATGCCACTGCACTCCAGCCTGGGCAACAGAGCGGGATCCTATCTCTAAAAAAATAAAATAAAGTTCAGTAAATTATTATATTTTATCTTCAGTATAAGTGGAGATGGTAGGTAAATTCAGTAGTGAATCAATATATAGCCATTGTAATTGAAATTTGTTTCTCAGCCAAATTATGCAAAACTTACATGTTGTACAAAACAAAAACTCCTAATGGCAGTACTTAAAGTTATTGTTAGGTCAGTGAATATAGAAAAAAATCTCTCTACCATGGCTATCATTACTGTGAAGTATTATAACTGAGTTATTTTTATATCCAGTTAAGTGGTGCATAATCACTTGTTTTATCATATTTTATGAGTCTCTGACTATAGCTAATCTCTACGGTGAATAATTTAGAGCCAGCACATCCCTAAATACCTACCCTTATAGTAGAACTTTAAGGTGTCTAGTTTGGAAGGCAACTTTAAATCTTCTGATGCTTACAATTCCTCCCCTCTATCCCAACCTAAATATAGATATCTCCAGTGACCAGGGGAAGGGAAAATTAACACCTGTTCTGCAGGTACTGTGTAATTCACTCTCATGAGAATCCTGTGAGATTTATTAGTAACTGCTATGTGCCAAGGAGCTTTGCTTATCTTACCTGATTATATTCTTGCACTATTCTTAGAAGGTACTTGATATAATCTTACTTTGTAGATTGTAAATATTTGCCTCAAGTCACAAACCTAGTAAGTGGCAGAACTGAGATTTGATTATAAACACCGTTTATCTGTAAAACTCATGTTCCTTTCACTATGTCATGTAGCCTCACAGGATACATAAACAACAACACAAAATCTACTCTGAAACCTGGCCTAACACACCAATCACAAAAACTCTTTATTTAGCAAATAATTCGTGTTAATTGCTTTCTCAGTCTCTCATTGTAGAAATTCTGTAGTCACATCTTACTCTTTCCCTACATGTTTATTTACTAATTTCCCCTGAAACCTTGTTTTTAAATTAGTTAGCAATAACCACACTTAATGTATTTTCTTTCCCAGATAAAGTCTAAATTCTGTCAGAATTTGTAGGTCTTCATAGTTTAGCTTTGTGTTTATCTGACTGTACCTCAGCATGAAATAAGTTTGTTGGTACTAGTAGGTACTCTGTTCAGCCTGCCTTAGGAAATTTTCATTCTCTCAAAGCAGCACATTCCAACTTTGGATAGCTTCTTCCAACTATTAGAAAGTTTCCTATTGTATATTGAACTCTTGTCTTTTTTTGTAGCTTTTATTTTCTGGTTCTAGTTCTCTCTTTGTCCATTCAGAACAACTTCAATTCTCATTTAACTTGAAGAAGTATTTAAAGGCAGCAGTCATACCTGCCAGGTCTTTTCTGCATTGAGTTGCATTTATTTCTTTAACTAGTCCCATTTCATGTTGGTTAAAATTCCTTCTAAATCATTGTCCTTCTCTACTGAACCTGTTCCAGGTGCATGTATACCATTTATGTGCCAAGAAATGAACACAGTACTCCAACTGAGATCTGCCTAGGAAAACACAGAAGGGAGGGATTGCTACCTCTCTTATTCTAAAAAATTTATGTCTATTTAGTTTTGTCACTTGCTTTTTGGGAGGTATCTCATGGGGTACTTTGTTTCTCAGTTGCTAATTTATTGTGGAAATGCAACTTAGAAAAGAGATGCAGTTGAACCTTGGTGCTATTGAGGAACAATATTATTCTTTTATTACTCTAACCTATTCCTTTGTTCCATTTCCAGAAAGTATAGCACACTCTCAAACCAAATCACTCCCTTACTGTCTCACCCTGTCCACACTTTTCTCCCTCTTTTCCCATTGCTTTTGCCACCTATTTTTATCTACAGACTTCTTTTCCTTCCCTTCCTTACCCTTTTGTTTGTTCCAATCCCTTACATCTTCTTTACTTGGTAAGTCATCTATAGAGGTTGCTCATTAGCTATGTGAGATTGTTAGAAACCAAAAATGTAAATTCTCTTCTAGATCAGTGCTTCTCAGATTTTAATGTGAATGCAAATCATCTGGGGAGCTGCTTTTTTTAATTTTTATTTAACTTTTATTTTGAGTTCAGGGGTACATGTGCAGGCTTGTTACATAGGTAAACTTGTGTCATGGGGGTTTGTTGTTAAGATTATTTTGTCACCCAAGTATTAAGCCTAGTACCCATTAGCTATATTTCCTGATCCTCTCCCTCCTCCCAACCTCAATCCTCTGATAGACCCCAGTGTGTGTTGTTCCCCTCTATGTGTCCATGTGTTCTCATCATTTAGTTCCCACTTGTAAGTGAGAACATGCAGTATTTGGTTTTCTGTTTCTGCGTTAGTTTGCTAAGGATAATGGCCTCTAGCTCCATCCATGTTCCCAGAAAAGATGTGATCTCATTCTTTTTCTGGCTGTATAGTATTCCATGGTGTATATGTACCAAATTTTCTTTATCCAGTCTATCACTGATGGGCATTTAAGTTGATTCCATGCCTTTGCTATTGTGAATGCTGCAGTGAATGTATGTGTGCATGTGTCTTTATAATAGAACAATTTATATTCCTTTGGGTGAATACCCGGTAATGAAATTGCCGGGTTGAATGACATTTCTGTTTTTAGGTCTTCAAGGAATTGTCACACTGTCTTCCATAATGCTTGAATTAATTTATGCTCCTACCAACAGTGTATGAGCATTCATTTTTCCCTGCAACCTCCCCAGCGTCTGTGACTTTTTACTTTTTAATAGTAGCCATTGTGACTAGTGTGAGATGGTATCTCATTGTGGTTTTGATTTGCATTTCTCCAATGATCAGTGATGTTGAGCTTTATTTCATGTAATTGTTGGCAGCATGTATGTCTTCTTTTGAAAAGTGTCTGTTCTGTTCTTATCCTTTGCTCCCCTGCCCCGCTTTTTTTTTTTTTTTTTTAAGACGGAGTCTCGCTCTGTTGCCCAGGCTGGAATGCAGTAGCACTATCTTGGCTCACTGCAACCTCAGTCTCCTGGGTTCAAGTGATTCTCCTGCCTCAGCCTCCCGAATAGCTGGGACTACAGGCACATGCTGTCATGCCTGGCTAATTTATTGTAATTTAGTGGAGATATTTTAGTGGAGACGGGGTTTCACCGTGTTGCCCAGGGTGGTCTTGAACTCCTGAGCTCAGGCAATCTGCCCACCTCGGCCTCTTAAAGTGCTGGGATTACAGGCGTGAGCCACTGCACCCGGCCTCACTTATTCATTTTTTCTTTTTTGTAAATTTATTTATTTTCCTTATAGATGCTGGCTATTAGGACTTTGTCAGATGCATAGTTTGCAAAAATTTTCTCCCATTCTGTTGGTTGTCTCTTCACTCTGTTGATAGTTTCCTTTGCTGTGCAGAAGCAAATCATCTGGGGAGCTTCCTTAAGTTCAGATTCTGGGGCTGATTGCGTTGGCTCATGTGCTTTGGAAGGCTGAGGCAGGAGGATTGCTTGAGGCCAGGAGGTTGCAACCAGCCTGGGCAACATAGTGAGACTTTGTCTCTACAAAAAATAAAATTAGCCAGGTTTGGTGGCACGCGCCTGTAGTCTTAGCTACTGAGGAGGCTGAGGCAGGAGGATTACTCGAGCCTGAGAGTTTGAAATTGTGGTGAGCTATGATTGCACCACTGCACTCCAACCTGGGCAACAGAGTAAGGCCAAGTTTAAAAAAAAAACGGGGGCAGGGAAGCTTCTTATTCAGCAGGTCTAATTAGAGCCCAACATGTTGCCTCTTTAAAGAGCACTCAGGTGAGGCTGGTGCTGCTGGTTAGTGGACCACACTTTGAGTAGTAGTGCTCTAGAAAGCAACAAAACATGAATGCCGTTTGTTCAATGTGGCAGATTTTAAACTTTAATCTTTTTTATCTTTTACTTTAAAAGAAAGATTTAGATGGTAATTAGTATATTTGAATTAAATCTTTATAAGTTTCTTTGATGATTGTATTTTTAATGTACATTTGCATGTTAATGGGTATCTAAAGAGTGAGAAAAATTAAACCACAATCCTATCTTTGCAGTTCAAAAAAAATGTATTTTCTTTGTTGCTTTGTCTTTATGTACCTACATTACTTCTTTTTTTGTGTGTCATGCTGTCACCCAGGCTGGAGTGCAGTGTTGCGATCTCGGCTCACTGCAAGCTCTGCCTCCTGGGTTCACGCCATTCTCCTGCTTCAGCCTCCCGAGTAGCTGGGACTACAGGCACCCGCCACCACGCCCAGCTAATTTTTTGTATTTTTAGTAGAGACGGGGTTTCACTGTGTTAGCCAGGATGGTCTCAATCTCCTGACCTCGTGATCCACCTGCCTCGGCCTCCTAAAGTGCTGGGATTACAGGCGTGAGCCATACATTACCTCTTTTATACATTATTTTAGTGTTTAACATTGAATTTCTGTCTACTGTGTGTATCTGTTTTTCCCACTATACTATGAACTTCAGGACAGGTGTGTCCATGTTTATGTTCCCAACACCTGCAATATAACAGGAATTTATTCTCATTGGTCAAGTGCAAAATAGTATTTTATACTTGTTAATAATTACTTCCTGATAACTCATTTCATGATAAACATTGTTCCCATTGTATATGAAACCAGTCATTGTCTTTACAGCCAAAAGAAATATTAATCATACAAATTATAGGCTAAAATGAGTTTGTTTATCTCTTGAAACTAGTACATCCTGATGTGCAAGTCAAGATGACAGGTGCTTACATCCTTCTTCCAAGTTCTGGGTTATGAAAAACTGGAGGTAGAAAATCTGTTCCAAATCTCCTGAGGCTGAAACAATTTCAGCTGGCCCTTTGGCTGATGGGTGTGAACAGTTCTAGGGAATCTGTACTGTGGTTGTCCAGAGTTAGCTGTGACAGGCTTGGTCAGTTCTAGGTTCACTTAATCAGACTAACCTCTGAGAATGTAGTGTGTGAAGTCAGGTTTAGCTTGATATCTGCCTCTTCTAGAGCATTCATGTTTTACTGGTTGTATTTAAAATAAGGCAGAATAAATAATTCTAGCTCTACTCAGAGCTTCTAATTATTGTGAGAAATTAGAATCCATAATTTTTATAAATCAACATTGTCTATAACCCTGAGAACCTTAAAATTATCTCAAAATAGATAAATGAAATATTTCTTTCTTTCTTGAAACGATAGGTATATCCTGATCAGCAAACCCACAATATGGACAGAAAGATTAAGAATGCAGTTCCTTGAAGGTTTTCGATCTTTTTTGAAGATTCTTACCTGTATGCAGGTATGATCATTTTTCTGTACATCAGTAAAAGAAATTTATTTTTAAAAATTGAACCGCAGTCTTTTTAAAGCAGATTTTGGTTTTAATACAAGAAAGAATTTATCTAGCAAAGTAGAAACAAGATTTAAACATTGACTCACTCATCCTGTTTTGATAGATCCTTTTATATACCTTAGTTTACTATTGCTACTTTTTTTTTTTTTTCGAAGACAGAGTCTCGCTCTGTTGCCAGGCTGGAGTGCAATGGTGCAATCTCGGCTCACTGCAACCTCCGCCTCCCAGGTTCAAGCGATTCTCCTGCCTCAGTCTCCCAAGTAGCTGGGATTACAGGCATGCACCACCACACCCAGCTAATTTTTGTATTTTTAGTAGAGGTGGGGTTTCACCATGTTGGCCAGGATGGTCTCAATCTCTTGACCTCCCAAGGTGCTGGGATTACAGGTGTGAGCTGCCATGCCCGGCCTACTGTTGCTACTTCTGTTAATGTTTGCTGAATACTTACCATGTGATAAATGTGTAGTAAGCACTTTTCATGCATGATCTCTTTTGAGCCTTATAGCAATCTTATTAAGTAGTTACTATTAATATTCTCCTTTTACATGTAAGGGTTACTTGCATGTGCAGCAAGCACAACACATATTTTTTTGGCTCCCTCACCCTTATGGAAAGCATGTACAGTTGTTGGGTGATGAGGTTAAGGTGCTTGTTTTCATCTTGACATCTCCTAAATACTCTTAATTCATCTACATTTAGTATCTTCACTTGTTAGCTTCTAATACTTCTTTAGAGTCTGACTTTATGCCCTTATCAATTGACAAGAACTGCATTTAGGAAAAAATCTCAAAGGATCCATTTAGTAACCAAGCTTAGAAATAATTTGCCCAGGGTCACACAGCTAGAAATACCAGACAGAGCTGGGCTTTGCGGTTAATGTTCTAACCCTGAGCACATACCTGAGAGCTGGGAATTGAACCCATGCATTCTGACCCAGTGTAACAACCATGTTAAAATGTTATGAATCCTGACAGTTTTATATTTTGCCAAGAGCAGAGCAAAGAGAGAGGGCTCAGATAGGTGTATGTTGACCAACTTGTAATTGCAGGGAATGGAAGAAATCCGAAGACAGGTTGGGCAACACATTGAAGTGGATCCTGATTGGGAGGCTGCCATTGCTATACAGATGCAATTGAAGAATATTTTACTCATGTTCCAAGAGTGGTGTGCTTGTGATGTAAGTAAAATTTGTTAGTAGGATCAGTGCCTTTTTAAGTTCTTAGTAATTATTAATAGTATAGTTTTATGTTGCAGCTTCCTTGATGTAAAGTTTTTATTATTTATAGTAGCTTTTTACATATTTGAATTTCTCTTTTTAAATTTAGGGGGAAACTGTATATACTTGAGTAGAAAATGTGCCCTGTGGTAGTTTTGCTTATTTTGGGGAATAGCAGGGTTTATACATGTGTATGTATGTATTTATACACACGTTTATTCCCTGGAAAATGCATATTAATAATAATATAATGAGGACCATAGTAGACTTTTAAATATTCCAGGAATGGAGAGGGGTAGATTATTCATTCAAGAGCTTTGTTGTATGTGTTAGTTTCAAACTATAGAACTAATGTATTTCCTTAAGCAGCAATTTTAGACCATAACCGTCTTTAAATATGTAATCCCACCCTAGATTCCCTTTAAGAATGATGACCTCATTTATTTATTTTCTGAGAAAATTGCTATTATCTAAGTTAAATTCCCTCATCATCTCTGCTTTCTCTGTGTCTGTTACCATAACCTATTCAGTGACTAAGTTTTTCTGCGTCTTCACTATTGGTCTTTTCCTTTTTGTCTCTTTCTAAGTCTAATGACTCTACCTAGGCTCTTGGTTCTGACTTATATTACTTTTTCCTGGAGTTAGCTTCCTGAATTATCTGGACTTGTGTTTCCTACTCTTTTATTCAATTGTCTATAAACACACAGGACTCGCTTATTTTTAAAAACAACAATAATAAAAGCCTCCTTTCTTGCCTTTGCACCCCTGTGAACTATAATCTCTTCTGCTTCACCACCAGCAATTGGTCATAGGTTCAGAGTGGCAGCCATACTCACAAATGTAGTAGACTTTAATCTAGCACTGTAGCTTTTTAGTACAATCACCACAGGAAATACTGTCCAGCAAGCACAGCATGTATTTTTTGGCTTCCCTCACTTTTATGGAGGGCATGCACAATTGTTAGGTGATGAGGCAAAGGTTTCATCTTGACTTCTTCCAAACCTTCTGAAGTCATCTACATTTAGTATCTTCACTTATAGCTCCTAACACTTCTTTACAGTCTGGCTTCTGCCCTTATCAATTGACAAGAACTGCATTTAGAAAAAAATCACAGAGGATCCATTTGGTAACCAAATTCAGAGGTCTTTCCTTAGTTTCCATCTTCCTTGAATTATCTGTAGCATTGTATTTTCTTGAGTACTTTAACCATCTTGAAACTTTGTTTCCCTCTGGTTTTCACAAACAGGCATTATCCTAATACATTTATTATCGATTACCTATTTCAGTCAGTGATTACCTTTTTTTCTAGTGCCTTCTGCCTGCTAAACGAGACATTCCCCAATATTCTCTTTCTTACAGAAATATGTTTTCACAAATACGTCTTCCTAATTGTTTGTGATTATTTTCTTTGCCGTCTTAGGGCAATTAGCTTGTCCCATTTACATGGTATTTAAAATTTTTTTACTTTGATGGTAAGTGTGTATGTGTGTATATCTTACATTCTTTTCTCTTCTCTTGTATTTCTACCACTTAGTTAAAAGTTCATAGGGATGACTCTCCTAAGCTACAGTGTCACTTCTGTTTGTGGGCCAGACATTCCTGTTTAGATCTTACACGTGTGTGTCTGTGTGTGTGAGTGTGTGTGTGTGTTTTTAGAGACAAGGTCTTACTCTGTCACCCAGGCTGGAGTATAGTGGCGCTATCATGGCTCACTGCAGCCTTGACCTCCTGGCCTCACATGATCCTCCCACCTTAGCCTCCAAAGTCGCTGGGACTACAGGCACATGCCACCACACCTAGCTAATTTTTAATTTTTTTATTTTTTGCAGAGACAGGGTTTCTCTGTGTTGCCCAGGCTAGTCTCAAACTCCTCACTTCCAAGTGATTCTCTTTCTTTGGCCTCCCAAAGTGCTGGGATTATAGGCATGAGCCACCACACCTGGCCTCAAACTCAAAATATTTTAAATGGACCTGTCATCATTTCCTTCTACTTCCAACTTGCATTTTCTCATTTTGATTATCCTTGTTTTATTAATGACATTACTATTAAATTCATCCATATGGGAAATCTCAGAGCCACTGTTTTCTATATGTTCAACATTAACTGGTGTTTTGAAGGGAAAAATGTTCTGGGTTCATGTAAGATTCAGAAATGTCAGGTTAAACAAAAAGAGGATTTTTTTTTCTTTTAAAGCTACTGAATTTCTTTCTTTCTTTTTTTTCCTTTGAGATGGAGTCTCGCTCTGTCACCCAGGCTGGAGTGCAGTGGCACGAACTTGGCTCACTGCAACCTCCGCCTCCTGGGTTCAAGCGGTTCTGCTGCCTCAGCCTCCTGAGTAGCTGGGACTACAGGTGTGCACCACCACACCCGGCTAATTTGTTTTGTATTTTTTAGTAGAGACGGGGTTTCACCATATTGGCCAGGCTGGTCTCAAACTCCTGACCTCGTGATCTGCCCACCTCGGCCTTCCAAAGTGCTAGGATTGCAGATGTGAGCCACTGCGCCCAGCCGCTACTGAATTTCTAAAACCCTTTAGTTAGTCAGTATGCTGATTTCTGAGAGGGATGTTTCCAAATCATCTGTTTTGACCATGGAGTTCCTTTTTCAAGATTAAATTAGAAACATTATCTTAAAAGAATGGTCTTTAATGTCTCCCTTCTGTATTCACCCAGATTTGATTCTTCCTTATCTCAAATATATTTTATAATTCTAAATTATTTTCTATGGGTTCATTCTTTTTTGTCCTGATGGCCCCACCCTAGTTCAGACCCTTATCACTTTACTTTATAGTCATCTTCCTGTTGGTTTCTTTGTCTACTAACTTTATCCTCTCCAATCTACCATCTTCAATGACCCACATTAATTCTTCCTGAAGCAGTGTGTTGGCTACATTATTACACTGCGGACTCCATCAGTGTATTCACATGCCTGTGCCAAGGCACATTTCCAGTTCAAATGCTTGTTAATTTCATCCGTAAATTCTTTCATTTTATCTACTCTTTATTCTCCACTGCCTGAATAGGAGTTGTATTTCTCTTATTTTTGTCTTTATTTATTTTATATCTCTGCTTAGAATGCCATCTTCTCCTTATCTTTCCCCATACTTAAATTATGCATATTCTTTTAGGGCCCATCAGAAGCTGCTTTCACAAATATGTCTTCCCAGTTCTTTGTGATTCTTTTTTTTCCCCCCTCTTAGAGCAATTAGTCTGTACCATTTACATGGTACTTATTTTTTACTTTGATTATAAGTGCATATATAGGTATATCTTATGTTTCCTACAAGTTTGCAGATCCTGTGGAGGTAGACTTAGTAATACATAGAACAATTTTCCACTCATATTTAGTAAATATTTATTGAATGATGCATGTTATGCTGGGCATGGTGGCCCACACCTGTAATGCTAGCACTTTGGGAGGTCAAGGTGGGTGAACCACTTGAGCCCCGGAGTTCAAAACCAGCTTGGCCAACATGCGGAGACCCTGCCTCTACAAAAAATACAAAAACTGGGCATGGTGGCACGCGCCTGTAGTCCCAGCTACTCAGGAGGCTGAGGTGGGAGAATCACCTCAGGTGACTGAGCCCAGGAGGTTGAGGCTGCAGTGAGCTGTGATTATGCCACTGTACTCCAGCCTAGGCCACAGGACAGGCTGTCTCAAAACAAAACAAAAAAAGTGTTAAAGTAGAAAACTTGTCAACTTTTTGTATCTTATTTTCCTCTTAGGAAGAACTCTTACTTGTGGCTTATAAAGAATGTCACAAAGCTGTGATGAGGTGCAGTACCAGTTTCATATCTAGTAGCAAGACAGTAGTACAATCGTGTGGACATAGTTTGGAAACAAAGTCCTACAGAGTATCTGAGGATCTTGTAAGCATACATCTGCCACTCTCTAGGACCCTTGCTGGTGAGTGTTTGTTTTTTCTTTTTGCATATACCTATTAGCTTTCTTTCTAGGTATTCATTTAGTAGAATCATTTCTATTTTTGTTCTGTGCTCAATATGTACAGACATGCTCAGGTCAGATACTGCAGTTAAGGGCTGTCACTGTCCTTCAAGGAGCTGTCACCAGAACATCTATTTAAAGCTGCTTATTTACCTGGGCTTTGTTTTGTCTGGGTCAACTTATGGATCCTTAGAGTATATACTTAAGGACTAACGTGGTAACTCATCTCCCACCCAAATTTAAATATAATAAAATCTGGTTGCTGGTTTCTAAACCTCCTCTCTGACCAATTTCACTGGTGTATTATCTGTATCATTCTTTATCATTAAAAGGAAGAAATCATAGATTCTCCTTAATCATTTGCATTTCCATGTAAATTGGCCATTCATTTGTCAGGGTTTTTAAAAAATAGCTTTATTGAAGTGTATATATTTCTATTTTCAATGATAAAATGTACATGACATAAAGCTTATCATTTTAGCCATTTTTAAGTGTACAGTTCAGTGGCACTAAGTATATTCACATTTTCTACAACCATCACCACCATCCTTCTCCAAAAGCTTTTTATCTTCTAAGCATGAAACTTCCAAAACTGAATAGAATAATAATTTATTAAACAATTATTATTACTAAACAATACCTCCCCATTGCCTCCTCCCCACACCCGCTAGCAACTACCACTCTGTGTCTATGAATTTGACTACTCTAGGTACCTATTATAAGTTGACTCAAACAGTATTTGTCCTTTTGTGACTGGCTTATATCACCTAGCATAATGTCCTCAGGTTTATGTTGTAGTACATCTCAGAATTCCCTTTTTTTTTAAAGGCTGAATAATATTCCATTGTATGAATATACCACATTTTGTTCATCCATTTATCCGTTGATGGACACTTGGGTTGCTTCTACCTTTTGGCTGTTATGAATAGTGCTGTTATGACATGGATGTAGAAGTATCTCTTCAAGTCCTTGCTTTCAGTTTTTTGGGTATATACCCAAATGTGGAATTGCTGGATCATTTGGGAATTCTATGTTTGGTTTTTTGAGGAACCATCATAGTGTTTTCCTTAGTGGCTGTACCATTTTACATTCCCACCCGCATGCACTAGGATTCCATTTTCTCTACACCTTGCCAACACTTGCTATTTCTCCTTTTTTCCCCCCCAGATAATAACCATTCTAATGGATATGAAGTGATATCTCATTGTGGTTTTGATTTGCGTGTCCCTAGTGATTAGTGATTTTGATCAGCTTTTCAAATGTTTGTTGGCCATTTGTATATCTTCCTTGGAGAACTGTCTATTCAAGTGCTCTGCCCATTTTTTAATCTGGTTTAATTTTGCTGTTCAGTTGGAGTTACTTATATAATTCTAGATATTAAGTGTTCATCAGATATGTGATTTACAAATATTTTCTCCCATTCTGTGGGTTGCCTTTTTACCCTGTTGATGGTCTTCTTTGAGACACAGGAGTTTTTGTTATAGTTGAATTTATCTACTTTTTTCTTTTGTTGCCTGTGCTTTTGGTGTCATATCCAAAAAACTCATTGTCAAATCTAATTTTTTTTTGTTTTTTTGTTTTTTAATTATACTTTAAGTTCTAGGGTACAGGTGCACAACATGCAGGTTTGTTACAAATGTATACATGTGCCATGTTGGTATGCTGCACCCATTAACTCGTCATTTAATGTATAGGGGGGTCCCTATACATTGGGGGCCCCTCCCCCAACCCCACGACAGGCCCCGGTGTGTGATGTTCCCCTTCTTGTGTCCAGGTGTTCTCATTATTCAATTCCCACCTATGAGTGAGAACATGCAGTGTTTGGTTTTTTGTCCCTGTGATAGTTTGCTGAGAATGATGGTTTCCAGCTTCATTCATGTCCCTACAAAGGGCATGAACTCATCCTTTTTTATGGCTGCATAGTATTCCATGGTGTATATGTGCCACATTTTCTTAATCCAGTCTATCATTGATGGACATTTGGGTTGGTTCCAAGTCTTTGCTATTGTGAATAGTGCTGCAATAAACATACGTGTGCATGTGTCTTTATAGCAGCATGATTTATAATCCATTGGGTATATACCCAGTAATGGGATTGCTGGGTCAAATGGTATTTCTAGTTCTAGATCCTTGAGGAATCGCCACACTGTCTTCCACAATGGTTGAACCAGTTTACAGTCCCACCAACAGTGTAAAAGTGTTCCTATTTCTCCACGTCCTCTCCAGCACTTGTTGTTTCCTGACTTTTTAATGATCGCCATTCTAACTGGTGTGAGATGGTAATCTCATTGTGGTTTTGATTTGCATTTCTCTGATGGCCAGTGATGATGAACATTTTTTCATGTGTCTGTTGGCTGCATAAATGTCTTCTTTTGAGAAGTGTCTGTTCATATCCTTCGCCTGCTTTTCAATGGAGTTGTGTTTTTTCTTGTAAATTTGTTTGAGTCCTTTGTAGATTCTGGATATTAGCCCTTTGTCAGATGAGTAGATTGCAAAAATTTTCTCCCATTCTGTAGGTTGCCTGTTCACTCTGACGGTAGTTTCTTTTGCTGTGCAGAAGCTCTTTAATTGGATCCCATTTGTCAATTTTGTCTTTTGTTGCCATTGCTTTTGGTGTTTTAGACATGAAGTCCTTGCCCATGCCTATGTCCTGAATGGTATTGCCTAGGTTTTCTTCTAGGGTTTTTATGGTTTAGGTCTTACATTTAAGTCTTTAATCCATCTTGAATTAATTTTTGTATAAGGTGTAAGGAAGGGATCCAGTTTCAACTTTCTACATATGGCTAGCCAGTTTTCCCAGCACCATTTACTAAATAGGGAATCCTTTCCCCATTTCTTGTTTTTGTCAGGTTTGTCAAAGATCAGATGGTTGTAGATGTGTGGTATCATTTCTGAGGGCTCTGTTCAGTCCCATTGGTCTATATCTCTGTTTTGGTACCAGTACCATGCTGTTTTTGGTTACTGTAGCCTTGTAGTATAGTTTGAAGTCAGGTAGCATGATGCCTCCAGCTTTGTTCTTTTGGCTTAGGATTGACTTGGCAATGCGGGCTCTTTTTTGGTTCCATATGAACTTGAAAGCAGTTTTTTCCCATTCTGTGAAGAAAGTCATTGGTAGCTTGATGGGGATGGCATTAAATCTATAAATTACCTTGGGCAGCATGGTCATTTTCACAGTCAACGCATGCAAATCAATAAATGTAATCCAGCATATAAACAGAACCAAAGACAAAAACCACATGATTATCTCCATAGATGCAGAAAAGGCCTTTGACAAAATTCAACAGCCCTTCATGCTAAAAAGTCTCAATAAATTAGATATTGATGGGACATATCTCAAAATAATAAGAGCTATTTATGACAAACCCACAGCCAATATCATACTGAAAGGGCAAAAACTGGAAGCATTCCCTTTGAAAACCCGCACAAGACAAGGATGCCTTCTCTCACCACTCCTATTCAACATAGTGTTGGAAGTTCTGGCCAGGGCAGTCAGGCAGGAGAAAGAAATAAAGTGTATTCAGTTAGGAAAAGAGGAAGTCAAAGTGTCCCTGTTTGCAGATGACATGATTGTATATTTATAAAACCCCATCGTCTCAGCCCAAAATCTCCTTAAGCTGATAGGCAACTTCAGCAAAGTCTCAGGATACAAAATCAATGTGCAAAAATCACAAGCATTCTTATACACCAATAACAGACAAACAGAGAGCCAAATCGTGAGTGAACTCCCATTCACAATTGCTTCAAAGAGAATAAAATACCTAGGAATCCAACTTACAAGGGATGTGAAGGACCTCTTCAAGGAGAAATACAAACCATTGCTCAACGAAATAAAAGAGGACACAAACAAATGGAAGAACATTCCATGCTCATGGATAGGAAGAGTCAAATCTAAAGTTATGAAGCTTTTCCCTACGTTTTCTTGTATGAGTTTTATTTTTTAGTTTTAGCACCTATATTTAAACCTGTGTTTAAAGTCTTTGATCCATTTTGAGTTAATGTTTGTATATGGCATAATTGATGTCATGTGATTTTATATTGCTTCTATTTTTATTAAAAATGCCTTTTTAATAAAAATAAAAATTTTTGTTAAAAATACCTTTTTAATAAAAATAAAAATTTTTGTAAAAAGTACCTTTTTAATAAAAATAAAAATTTTTGTTAAAAGTACCTTTTTAATAAAAATAAAAATTTTTGTTAAAAGTACCTTTTTAATGAAAATAAAAATTTTTGTTAAAAGTACCTTTTTAATGAAAATAAAAATTTTTGTTAAAAGTGCCTTTTTAATGAAAATAAAAATTTTTGTTAAAAGTACCTTTTTAATGAAAATAAAAATTTTCCTTAAAAATACTTAGATTAATTTTCATTTCTTTTGATACGTGGCTAAAGGCAGAATAAAGGTATCTTGAGAGACAGTTTGTCATTTTTAAATAAGGTATGAGCACACCTTGCATGGTGTAGGATTTTAAATACGTTAGTAATATTGTATTTCAAAATTAGAAATCAACAGTCTGCATTCTAGATTGTCACTTCTAAACTCAGTAAACATACATTTAACTCACACAAGTTTCTTTCTTTCTTTTTTAAGACGGAGTCTCACTCTGTCACCCAGGCTGAAGTGCAGTGGCATGATCTTGGCTCACTGCAACTTCCGCCTCCCAGGTTCAAGCGATTCTCCTGCCTCAGCCTCCCAAGTAGCTAGGATTACAGGCCCGGCTAATTTTTATATTATTGTAGAGACGGGCTTTCACCATGTGGGCCAGGCTGGTCTTGAACTCCTGACCTCAGATGATCCACCCACCTAGGCCTCCCAAAGTGCTGAGATTACAGGCATGAGCCACCGCGCCCAGCCAAATCAAATCGCACAAGTTTCTAAACTTGATGAGTTAACTAGTTAACAAATTGGGTTTGTTTTCTCATTTTCTCTCTCGTTTTTTTAACTTTAGGTCTTCATGTACGTTTAAGCAGGCTGGGTGCTGTTTCAAGACTGCATGAATTTGTGTCTTTTGTAAGTGATTCTACTAAGTATTGATTTGCTTATATTCTGTTTCTGAATATCTCTTGGTTGATGGACGAGAAGGAGATAATATTTAGAAACCCACCTGAGGAATTCCCATTTAGTAATTTTACATCTTCATATAGTACATTGTAATCTGAGTCACAGGGACTTAGACGTCATCTAGTTCAAGCTCTTCCATTTTTCACGTGAGAAAACTGAAGAATATGTAGTGGCATAACTTGGAGACACATCTAAGCTCTGTGAGAAATGATAAAATTGAACTCACTCTATTTCAGGAGGACTTTCAAGTAGAGGTACTAGTGGAATATCCTTTACGTTGTCTGGTGTTGGTTGCCCAGGTTGTTGCTGAGATGTGGCGAAGAAATGGACTGTCTCTTATTAGCCAGGTACAGCAAAGTCTATTATTCATATTTATGAATGTGCTCATTTTCTAATTTTTTTCTCTTATATGATTTTACCCTGTGTTCCTAGATTTTACTGAGTGTATGTTACTATTCTCTTGTATAAACTCCTAGAAATGAAAGTTCTAGGAACTATATAGACATTTCTCCTATCCTGTTCACTGTGTATTCCATCTGAATTATAAACTAGGATGCTTGTGTGATAAATTAAGGGAAAGCCGGTAGTACCACCAGAGTCCTCCCCATTAACATAGTTCTTTTCTGAGAATTACCTTACTTAGAGGCCTTTAGTCTTTCCACCATCTGTCTTAATTGAAGGCCACCTTGTAATTTTTTCTTCTATTTTGGAGTAAATATGCAGCAGTGCTTTTCTTTTCTTTTTTTTTTCCTTTTTCTTTTTTTTTTTTTGAGACAGAGTCTCACTCTACTGCCCAGGCTATGGAGTGCAGTGGTGTAATCTCAGCTCACTGCAACCTCTGCCTGTGGGGTTCAAGTGATTTTCGTGCCTCAGCCTCCCCAGTAGCTGGGACTACAGACATACACCACTATGCCCGGCTAATTTTTGTGTTTTTAGTAGAGATGGGGCTTTACCATGTTGGCCAGGCTGGTCTTGAACACCTGACCTCAGGTGATCCGGTCACCTGAACCTCCCAAAGTGCTGGGATTACAGGCATGAGCCACTGAGCCTGCCCTTGCATTTCTTAAAAGGTGGAGAAATAGGTCTTGTAAAGTTAGCACTTGGAAGAAAAATGGTATTATGCGTTTACCTCTGTAACAAACCTACATGTCTTGCACATGTATCCTGGAACTTAAAATGAAATTAAAAAAAAAAAAAGAAAAAAATGGTATTATGATTGAGTGTAGAAATTGGTTTACTTTTATTGAAGTAGGTATTTTAAACTTAGGGAAAATAAATTCTCTTGTTATACATGACAGTAATAACTAATATAGAACATTTTTAACCCTGAAGTGATTTCATGCCATATTTCTTCACTTCATCCTCGCTAGTCCCTTTAAGTGATTCATAGATTTACAACTTATTTTTGCCACTAAGGATTTTGAGGGGTTTCTAGCTTAGAGAAAGTTTTAAGGATAGGTTTTCTTGAGAATTTTGCTTGAAATAAAATAATTCTTTTAGGATTTATTCTACCTATTACCTTATAGGTGTTTTATTACCAAGATGTTAAGTGCAGAGAAGAAATGTATGATAAAGATATCATCATGCTTCAGGTACCTATTTAAATTGTTTCTGATATTTGTGTCTTCATCTTCCTTCTTGAATTCTTTCTAAGGAGAGAAGATAATGTAATAATTTTTAACTTAAAATACTCTCACTGTTAAACTGATTATGACTCATAGAAATAGAAGGGACTACTACATTATCTTCTGCAAACTTTTTAATTTTTGACAGTCCTACATGAGACAAAATGTTTCTCCATATAATACAGAAGAAATATGATGCTGGATTTCTTTCACAGATTGGTGCATCTTTAATGGATCCCAATAAGTTCTTGTTACTGGTACTTCAGAGGTATGAACTTGCCGAGGCTTTTAACAAGACCATATCTACAAAAGACCAGGTATACAACCTGTAAATTATGTGAATTAATTTTAAAGGAAATATTGTTACTATTTCAGTCATATTTTATTTCAGTCATATTTAGCCATATTTTTTAAAATTATACTTTAAGTTTTAGGGTACATGTGCACATTGTGCAGGTTAGTTACATATGTATACATGTGCCATGCTGGTGCGCTGCACCCACTAACTCGTCATCTAGCATTAGGTATATCTCCCAATGCTATCCTTCGCCCCTCCCCCCACCCCACCACAGTCTCCAGAGTGTGATATTCCCCTTCCTGTGTCCATGTGATCTCATTGTTCAATTCCCACCTATGAGTGAGAATATGCGGTGTTTGGTTTTTTGTTCTGGATCCCTTCCTTACACCTTATACAAAAATCAATTCAAGATGGATTAAAGATTTAAACGTTAGACCTAAAACCATAAAAACCCTAGAAGAAAACCTAGGCATTACCATTCAGGACATAGGCATGGGCAAGGACTTCATGTCCAAAACACCAAAAGCAATGGCAACAAAAGACAAAATTGACAAATGGGATCTAATTAAACTAAAGAGCTTCTGCACAGCAAAAGAAACTACCATCAGAGTGAACAGGCAACCTACAAAATGGGAGAAAATTTTCGCAACCTACTCATCTGACAAAGGGCTAATATCCAGAATCTACAATGAACTCAAACAAATTTACAAGAAAAAAACAAACAACCCCATCAAAAAGTGGGCAAAGGACATGAACAGACACTTCTCAAAAGAAGACATATTTAGCCATATTTTAAAAGTTATTTCTTAACCATACCTCCTGAAATGAGATGTATACATATGGCACACATATATACACATATATAATCTTTTTAATCTAGAAAAATTAGAATATGTAGATTAACAAAGAAAAAAAATCACATGAAAAACACTGCTTCCTAGAAATGATCACTTTTAAAGTTTTAGTGTCTTGCTTGTTTTTAAAACAAAAATTGTATCATTGTGAATGTGCTGTTTTGTAATCTGCTTCCTATGCTTAACAACATATTGTGAAAAGTTTTTTTTCTTGTCATGAAATAAGTACACAATTATATCATCATTTTTAATAACTATATAGGATTGCACTATATGATGCATTATACTTTAAAGTCTATTACTGAAGAGGTCTTTCTAGTTGGTTGGTCTTATAAACATTTGTAGCTCAGTATTTAAATACTTCTCTATTTTGTTAAGACACATTTTTAGAAGTGGATTTGTTGGATAAAACAACGTGTTTTTCTTTCTTTTCTTTCTTTTTTTTTTTTTTTTTGGAGATGGCGTTTTGCTCTTGTTGCCCAGGTTAGAGTGCAATGGCGCGATCTCGGCTCACCATAACCTCTGCCCACCCCGGGTTCAAGCGATTCTCTTGCCTCAGCCTCCTGAATAGCTGGGATTACAGGCATGCACCACCACACCCAGCTAATTTTGTATTTTTAGTAGAGACAGGGTTTCTCCATGTTGGCCAGGCTGGTCTCGAACTTCTGACCTCGGGTGATCTGCCCGCCTTGGCCTCCCAAAGTTCTGGTGAGCCACCGTGCCTGGCCAACAACATGTTTTTCTTCAGGCTCTTAATACATATTGTCAAATTGCTCTCAGAAGAAAGTCCTATTTAAGCTCTCTCTTTCAGTATGTACATCTATAAAGACATTGGTCTTTTTTATCTTTGTTGTCTCAGAGGTAATATACAAATTTTATTTTATTTATTTATTAATTGTTTTTGAGACAGAGTCTCACTCTGTCGCCCAGGCTGGAGTGCTGTGGCGCCATCTTGGCTCAAAGCAACCTTCTTCTCCCATTCTAGTGATTCTCTTACCTCAGCTTCCTGCATAGCTGGGCCTGCAGGGATAAGCCACCACGCCCAGCTCATTTATTTATCTATTTATTTATTTATTTATTTATTTATTTATTTATTTATTTATTTTTGAGATGGAGTGTTGCTCTGTCACCCAGGCTGGAGTGCAGTGGCACAATCGGCTCACTGCAGCCTCCACCTCCTGGGTTCAAGCCATTCTCCTGCCTCAGCCTCCCCAAGTAGCTGGGATTATAGGTGTGCACCACCATGCCCAGGTAATGTTTGTATTTTAGTAGAGACGGGGTTTCACCATGTTGGCCAGGCTGATTTCGAACTCCTGACCTTGTGATCCACCCGCCTCGGCCTTCCAAAGTGCTGGGATCACAGGCGTGAGCCACTACACCTGGCCAATTTTTTGTATTTTTAGTAGAGTCGAGGTTTCACCATGTTGACCAGGCTAGTCTCAAACTCCTGAGCTCAAGTGATCTGCCTGCCCTGGCCTCTCAAATTGCTGGGATTATAGGCGTGAGCCACCGTGCCCAGCCACGTCTTTATTGTTTGAATATTTGAAGTACCAGCCTATAAAGTAGCCCTTAACTATTTTGAATTCATGAAATCACATTATTTTATTCTTTCAAATTAGAAGTTACTCCTGCTAGTAAAATTTCTTTGGAAAAATAATAAATAAATATATAAATTTTTTTTTCCTTTTTGAGACGAAGTCTCGCTCTGTCGCCCAGGCTGGAGTGCAGTGGCTCGATCTTGGCTCACTGCAACCTCTGCCTCCCGGATTCAAGGGATTCTCCTGCCTCAGCCTCCTGAGGATTACAGGCGTGCTGGGATTACAGGCGCATGCCACCATGCCTGGCTAATTTTTGTATTTTTAGTAGAGACGAGGTTTCACGATGTTGGTCAGGCTGGTCTCAAACTCCTGACCTTGTGATCCACATGCCTTGGCCTCCCAAATTGCTGGGATTACAGGGGCGCACCACCACGCCTGGCTAAGTTTTGTATTTTTAGTGGAGACGAGATTTCACCATGTTGGTCAGGCTGGTCTCAAACTTCTGACCTCATGATCCGCATACCTTGGCCTCCCAAAGTGCTGGGATTACAGGTGTGAGCCACCATACCTGGCCTCATATAAAATTTCTAAATCAAATTTAAGAATTAAAGAACTCTGGGATAGCCAGGAGCAGTGGCGCATGCCACTGCACCTGGCCAAAAAATGTTTTTAAATGAAAAAAATAGAAGTTACTTGCAAAGGGCTAACATGAATAGGATATAAAATGCAGAGCTAATTTTTAGTTGTTTTATACTTAGTGAAAATCAGTATCTGATTTCATAGTTTAAATGAGGGGCGTGTTAGAGAAGGATACTCTCACCATATAACTGTTGGCAATCTATTTGAAGGCACTTTCTCACTAACGCAGGTAAGAAGGCAGCAAATAATAGAAGAAGAGTTGAAGATTAGCATGTGTGCTTATTTATGACTATGTGGGGGATAATGATAATGAAAATGATGACAGTATTTAGCAATTATATGCCAGGTATTGTTGAATTTGATGTCAAAAAAGGGAACTATTGTAACTATTTGTGCTGTGCACACATACAAAAAAAATACTGGACTGGATGAAAAATACTAGGCTGGATGGACCATGAGTCTCGTCCAGAAATGCATGTTTTATGGAGGTTTTTGGTTCTTCCATAACTAATTTACTCTTTTTCGATTCTATAGGATTTGATTAAACAATATAATACACTAATAGAAGAAATGCTTCAGGTCCTCATCTATATTGTGGGTAAGATTAAAACACAATGTTTTGAAATAGAACATGGGTTACTTTTTAGAGAGACCATTTATATGAACTATAATTGATCATTTTACTCCTTATTCGTATACTGCATTTAGAAAATCACCTTCACAAAAGCACAGATTTTACATTTTTATTTTTCAGTACCTGATTTGTAAATGTTTTGACTTATTTGGAGGTCCTTTAGTGCTAAAAATTTTATATATATTATAGGTCTAAGTGAAATATATTTTCATTATGTCATTCTGTTTAATTATTTTCTGCAAATATTGGTCATACTTAGCTTTGTTAAGGTTACTTAGA
The DNA here is from genome assembly GCF_000001405.40 of Homo sapiens. Taxonomy (NCBI): domain Eukaryota; kingdom Metazoa; phylum Chordata; class Mammalia; order Primates; family Hominidae; genus Homo; species Homo sapiens. The sequence continues at coordinate 43,032,252 of NC_000015.10, read as the reverse complement.
GAAAAGAAAAAGAGTGTTCTTTGCCAGAAATAATGTTTATCAAGTTATGACATTGACCCATAGAAATTCAGTTGAGATTAATATAAATATTTGCTGCAGAAACACTATATTCTAACCTATTGAATACAAATATATGCTATGTCATAGTCTGTGTTGATTTTACCACCTGGTACATTCATTGCCATCATCTTGTTCTGTTTTGTTTTGTTTTGTTTTTTTGAGACGGAGTCTTGCTCTGTCGCCCAGGCCGGAGTGCAGTGGTGCGATCTCAGCTCACTGCAACCTCTGCCTCCTGGATTCAAGCGATTCTTCTGCCTCAGCCTCCTGAGTAGCTGGGACCACAGGTGTGCGCCACCACGCCTGGCCAATTTTTGTATATATGTATATATTTTTTAATAGAGACGGGGTTTCACCATATTGGCCAGGCTGGTCTTGAACTCCTGACCTCATGATCTGCCTGCCTTGGCCTCCCAAAGTGCTGGGATTACAGGCGTGAGCCACCGCGCCCGGCTGTCATCTTGTTTTTGACTTCTCATTCTGGCTTTTGTTATTTACTTTACTGCACCAAACGCTGTTTGGTTTGAATAGTTCTTTAGTTGGGGATTCTAGCTGTTACCTAAGTCTGTAAACATGGATTCATTTTTACTTATTGTTTGTCAGAGAGCTAGTTGCTAGACCAGCTACATGTCTCAGCAGAAAGTGTAGTAAGCCTTTATTGCTGAGTGAGACTTAAACCTTCCTGTCCAGAATATGCCAGTTAGAAACAGATGGGAAAAAATGGGCAAATTAAGAATGTGTAAAAGATTTTAAAATTGATTATATACTTTTTCAAATTAGGAAAACTCAAGGGAAATTTTTGCATTTGTCCTTAGAGTGCTATGTAAAGAATCTCTAATATTGTAGTATAATTTTGCTGTTTTATTTTTACTGTTTTATTTTTCCTACTGTTATTTTACTATTATTGTGTTTGCCCAAATTTATTGTTTTTTTTTTCTTGTGATTTGATTTTTAGTTAATACTTGCTCTGCTCCTGAGTTTAAGTTCATTACTCTCAGGAGTCAACATTTTTGTTTAAAAAATTATATTTCTGATCTATAGTGGAAAATCATTAAGAAATAGAAAAATATTTGGATTTAGTATCAGGAACTCTAGTCTTGGCCTTGCTACCAACTTTCAAGAGCATGCAGTTGCATTCTTTGGGCCTCAGATTCCTGATTTGTAAAATGTGGAGGTAACCTACGTGATCTCTAAGGTTTCTTCTAGCACTGAAATTCTAGGGGATACTGTTTTTGGTGAAAAGTTATGGAAATTACAAAATGCTTTACAAATGTAAAGAGGAATGAATGTGTTGGAAACGAATTCACTTAACAAAAAGTCGTTCTTTGGCAAATTTGTAGAATTCATCAAATCTCTTAGGCAAGGGGTTTCTTTGTAACCCTCTTATAGATATCATAGGACTTCATACAGATACTGTAGTGTTGAAAATCAGTGGTAACATAAGGCCACATATTGTAAGCCTTCTTAAGGCAATCGGAATTAGATGCTGTTGACACCGGTGAAGTTCTCATACTTATTTTAGCTATTTTCTCTCTTCATTTGGCAGTTTATTGTGATGAAAATGGAAATCTGACCTTGTGGGCATTTTCACAGCACCAGTCATTTTTAATACATATTACTGTTTTGTCATTTAGCACATAAAGACATTTTAAAGTATTGTGTTTTTCAGTTTTCACTTTGTTCTTTGTTAAATAACAAGTAGAGACAAAATTGAGAAAGATCTTGAAAGAAAAGCTATTCAGTGATGGCCACTGCTCATTCAGATGCCATCAGCCATGTGTTCTGGGTTAGAAACACATGCTAATTTATTTGAGGGGCCTTGTTTATAATGTGTGAGTATGTGTATGTGTATGTATACGAATATGTATGTATATGTATGTGTGTTTGTTTGTATGTGTGTAAGTAAGCTAAGACAAGGCCTGGATTCTCCTTCAGGTCACAGTTTTCTGCCTCTGTCTTTCAACATAGATTCTTATTCAGATTTGGGAACACATTCAAATAACTTTTGCCCCTCTCTCACAGATTTAATTTAATGCAGTGTTCTGTGTGTAAGTGCTTCTGATGGGGAGAGATTTAAATAGAAAATAATTATTCTACTTTTTTTTTGTTTTTAATTATTTGAACTAGGTGAGCGTTATGTACCTGGAGTGGGAAATGTGACCAAAGAAGAGGTCACAATGAGAGAAATCATTCACTTGCTTTGCATTGAACCCATGCCACACAGTGCCATTGCCAAAAATTTACCTGAGAATGTAAGTCTGATTTTGGTTTTATCTCTATGTACCTCAAGATGGGGTAGATGTTTCTTTTTCTTTAATTGGAAACTACTTCAAAATTTTAGGCAAAAAGTCCTATATCATTACCTTATAGATGTAAACCAATCACCTTCATCCTTTAGTGGTATAAATTTTAATTCTGGGAGAAACTCCTTTACTTTTTGTTTACTTTAAAATAAAGATTACTCCAGAGGAAAAAAGGGAACTTCTTGAAAGGGAACTTCTGAAACTGGGTGGTGTGTTAATCTGGGTCTTCTGAGAAGCAGATCTTGTGACAAAACATTAAGATTTTTATTAAAGGCAATGGTAAGGGATCTGGGAATGACAAGGGGAGCCATCAGATTCTGATGCCAATCTGATTCCCAGTGAAATAAAGAGGGAAGGAAAGTTACATAGAAGCATCCCAGACTGCTGGGCTTCAATGGCCTTTCCATCTGTCCCTCCCCATGTCTCCCAGAATGAGCCTGCGTTAGTATCTCTGCCTTGCTCATTGTCTGGTAATGACTGGTGAGAAGCTTGGCCTTAGTTTCACCAGAGCACAGCAGTTGAGGCACGTGGTTATTTACTCCCTGTAATCAGATGTCTGCAAGGTACATTCTCATGACCACCACAGGTGGCATTTGTATTTTTGTATATACAGATACTGTGGTAATAGTCCTACAGATTATGAGTCTCATGTTTTTTCCCTCTGAGATTTGAATATGAGTTAGAAAAATGATTCTTAAAAAATAATTATACTTATTTGTGCTGTCAAGGCTTTCCAAAGAGGTAGAATAGAGATGTGTGTGTGTGTGCGTGTGTGTGTATTTGTTTTTATTTATTTATTTTTCTCCTTGAGACGAAGTCTCGCTCTGTCACCCAGGCTGGAGTGTAGTGGCACAATCTTGGCTCACTGCAACCTCCGTCTCCCGGGTTCAAGCGATCCTCTTTCCTCAGCCTCCCGAGTAGCTGGGATTACAGGTGCACGCCACCACACCCGGCTAGTTTTTATTATTTTTGGTAGAGATGGGATTTCACCATATTGGCCAGGCTGGTCTGGAACTCCTGACCTCAAGTGATCCACCCATCTTGGCCTCCCAAAGTGCTGGAATTACAGGTGTGATGTACTGCATCCGGCCAAGGAATATATATATATATATTTTTTTGTTGTTGTTTGTTTGTTTTTTTTTTTTTGTTTGATGGAGTCTTGGTCTGTTGCCCAGGCTGGAGTGCAGTGGTGCCATCTTGGCTAACGGTAACCTCCGCCTCCTGTGTTCAAGTGATTCTCCTGCCTCAGCCTCCTGAGTAGCTAGGACTACAGGCGCGCACCACCATGCCTGGCTAATTTTTATATTTTTAGTAGAGACAGGGTTTCACTATGTTGGCCAGGCTGGTCTCGAACTCCTGACCTCATGATCTACCCGCCTCGGCCTCCCAAAGTGCTGGGATTACAGGTGTGAGCCACTGTGCCCGGCCAAATATATGTATTTTTAAGGGAGGTTACCTTTCTTATCTTTACAAGCCTACAGGAATCTGTGAGCTTACTGTAGTAGTTTGACTAGGTCCTTATCTTAATTTTAAATGACTTTGTAAAAAAATAGTGTTCCCTATTTAAGGAAAAGATCAGGTCAATCAGAAAAAAACTTGCAAAAGGTAGAATATATTAGGACATCTAGACATGTATTGCTATAGATTAACTAGTTGGAGCTCATTAATTTTGTTACCTTGGTTTTAGGGATTAATACAGCATGGGCATGTACATAAATGATGAGGGTGATGAACATACTACATAAAGAAGAGCTTCTTTTCTTTGAAGTATTGGTAATACTATGTGTGTATGCTGTAGATGTATGTGTGTACTTATACACACATATGAAGGCAAACTTAGATAACCTTTCTTAAACAGTTTATATATACATCTTACCTCTTACGAAGTTGGTCTCCCAAAACGTAGATAATTGGTTTTAGACCTAATTTTTTAATAGTGGAAATTGATCTTTTTAAAATTATTTACAAAGTACTTCAGAGATGCAGTAGAAAATGTATTTCACTTCACAGAGAGGTGGAAGTCATTATATGAAGGTAAAAATGACAAAAATATTGTTTCAACAGGAAAATAATGAAACTGGCTTAGAGAATGTCATAAACAAAGTGGCCACATTTAAGTAAGTGCTTAATATTTATGCTTATTCTAAAAGGTAGTTTGATCTTTGTTCTTGTACTTTGGATACTTTGTAGAAGCTCTGAAGTTCTTGCCTGAACTCCCAAGAATAAGAGTGGAATACAGATTAGAAAGGGTGAGAATGAGGGGCTCACAGTAGACACTTAGCACCTGTTTGTTGAAAAAATGAGTGTTTTTGGCAAGTGAATGAGAAATACTCATTTATGATATTAGGTGATTTATTTAGATAGTAAGTAAATGAACTTTTCTGATACTCTCTTTCCCATTAATCTGAACCCATGATTTCATTTATTTTATAAATTTTTATTTTATATGCTAATTTTGGATTATTCTCTGGTAGAATTAAAACAGTATTTTATAATATTTTCATTTCAGTATATAAAATGGAAATACAAATTTAATTGTATTAATCTTTGAAATTTGAAAAATCGATACTGATAGTGAATTTCTACTTGTTACAGTATTGTGTTTACAGATACATTACTAGTTTCAAATAACTTTTAAAATAGGGTATAGCTTTTCTTATGATCTAGTAATGTTCATTGAAATATTCGACTTAGAGATTGGATAGAAACCAAAAGCTGTTTAATGTTTAGAACAAATATGGAGTACTCCTTTTGACCTCAGTGATTTTCCTTATAGTACTATATAAAGGATTCAGTAGTATATTTTCATTTGCAAATTACTAAGGTTATGATGTCTCCCTACTGTTTTAGATATGACCTTAGACAATGAAGTGTCTAAGGTCAATGAAGTGTTCTTTAGTTGAACAGACAACCTTTAGGCATCAGAGACTCTTAAATCTCTAAGAAGCTTTAGAGATAGGGCATGGTATCAGTTCTAGATAGTATAAAACAAACTTCTCCAGATTTGTTTGAATTTCATTATTATAAAACACAGCTTAGCTGTTATCAGGCTTTGTGTTCACAATGTAGGTTTTTAGTTTTATTATTGCAATGGAATTTTTCATAAGCTAAATGAGACATAATTTTTTTCTGTATATTTGACTTCTAGATTAATTTTTAGGTTTTTATTTTGTCTATATTTTATACTTCAAGAACACTGCAGTTCATCTTGTATTTTCCATCTATTTAGGAAACCAGGTGTATCAGGCCATGGAGTTTATGAACTAAAAGATGAATCACTGAAAGACTTCAATATGTACTTTTATCATTACTCCAAAACCCAGCATAGCAAGGTAGAAAAAAGTATCCTTTTCAGTAAATAAACCTAAATGCTTTATGCTTTCTAACTCCACAGAAAATTTTCTGCTTTTTCTATAGTTTCACGCTGGTTCTTATTAATAGAGGTCATTATGTCACCCAAGAATTAAAATTGAATCAATAATCTTATCTAGTATACAGGCAATATTCAGATTTTCCTGATTATACTACATATGTCTTTAATAGCTGTTTTGGGAAGAGGATTCAATCAAGCATCATGGACTTCATCATCACACACTCATTTGATTGTCATGTTTCTTTAGTTTTTGTTTTGTTTTGTTTTTTGTTTTTGTTTTTGTTTTGTGAAATGGAGCCTCACTCTGTTGTCCAGGCTGGAACGTAGTTGCACGATATCAGCTCACTGCAACCTCCACCTCCCAGGTTCAAGTGATTCTCCTGCCCCAGCATCCTGAGTAGCTGGGACTATAGGCACATGCCACCATGCCTGGCTAATTTTTGTATTTTTAGTAAAGACCGGGTTTCACCATGTTGTCCAGGCTGGTCTCAAATTCCTGACCTCAAATGATTCCACCCACCTCGGCCTCCCAACGTCCTGGGATTACAGGCGTGAGCCACCTCGCCCGGCCAATAGTTTCCTTTAATTTAGAAGATAATTCTTTTGCATTTTTTTCTTTTGTAACATCGGCATTTCTATAGAGTACCAAATAGATTCAGCTTAAACAGTTTTTGGCAAGAATACTATGTAAATGATATATTGCATCCCATTATTAGGCACATACGTCTTTTTGTCCCATGAAGGATCATGTTAAGTTTGATCAGTTAGTTAAGGTGATGTCTGGCTTTGTCCTTATCAAGTAAATACTTTACAGCCCATAGCATAGTACCCTGTGCATAATAGGTACTGGGTAAATATTTTCAGTAGAAAATAATGGAGACTAAGTTTTTGATCAGGGATATTCCTCATCTATTTTGCATTAGGTTTCTCTAGAACACAATTTTATTTCTAGGACAAAGAGGCATTTTGAATACATGCTTCAGTATATAAAGTATTTTAATAGGTGGTTGGGTCTTTCCTGACTGCTTTAATGTATTTCATTTGTTTCATGCTTCCAAAGCAGTATATTTAATGATAGATTTTTTTATAGGCTGAACATATGCAGAAGAAAAGGAGAAAACAAGAAAACAAAGATGAAGGTAAAAAGTGAGATTCTGAATTGACTCATTTTGACTATTTTCTGTGGTTTCACATCAGCAAAGCATATAGTTTTTTGTTGTTGTTGGTTTTTGAGAGTGGGCAACTCAAGGAAGTGCAAAGAGCTTTTTGCTTCTTATTCACATATTAAGATATGGTATATATCAGTAGTGATTGAATTTAAAATTGATAACAAATGTAGTTCATTTTGGGTGACTGATATAGTACTTACATTACACTTAACATTGATATTTTCAGTACTGGAAAGGTAGCAAAAAAGCATGTGTTGTTTTGCATGTAACCTATTATTTTTTGACATTTGCACTTTAGTATGTAGGATAACCCAAATAAAAATGTACCTGTTTGTCTCTTTCCCCATCCATTCCCCACCTCCTATAGCATTGCCGCCACCACCACCTCCTGAATTCTGCCCTGCTTTCAGCAAAGTGATTAACCTTCTCAACTGTGATATCATGATGTACATTCTCAGGACCGTATTTGAGCGGGCAATAGACACAGATTCTAACTTGTGGACCGAAGGGATGCTCCAAATGGTTTGTTTACCTGAAATATTTTCTCTACATCAAGTCCTAGAGTTCTTGGGGAGCTAGGGAAGATCTCAGGTCTAACTTCAGTTGGAACCACATCTAGAGCACCGGAAACATAGGGGTCATTAAAAATAGCTTACACACAGCACAAATTTTTTTTAGTGATCTCGTGTTTTTAGCATCCTTACTCTTGGGAACCATTTCTGTTTAATAAAACCCATGAAAACAAAAACAGGTGTACTTATGCTAATAAATTGACATGTTGTTATTGTGTCATGATTTTTTATATTTTTAATTTTACTTGAATTATAAGGAGACAGTATAATAAAATTTGAAGATAGGTCTAGACGTCAGTCTTGGGTTTCCCCACTTCCTATTTAAGGAGCAAATAATAATTTTCTCATTAGTAAAATGGATAAAAGTGTAATTATTCATAGAGGTAGGAGAATTAGCTAAAGTGAAAGCAGCTACTTTTCCTTGTTACTGTTGTAGATAAATACACGTTACTTAATTATGCCACGTCATGGTAGTTGTAACACCATATTTATTTATACCTGCCTAACTAAATGTTCCTTTTTCCTTGAGTATTGTTGGTCTACAGGTTCTAAATGCTGTCATTGCCATATGTGTGCCTCAATTTTTATTATAACACTGATAAATACATTCACTAGTAAATTTCAAACCATAGAGATATGTTTGAAACCAAGTTAAAATTTCTCTCCCTGAGTCCCAGTATGCTATATAGGACATAAGCATTGTTAAAGTTTTGTATATTCTGGAAATCATTGCACATTAGTGCATATAGATCTACTTATTCTTGATAGCTGCGTAGTCCATTGTATGGATATAATGTGTTTCAGTAGTCTCCTATTAATAGACATTCAGGTGTTTCTAGGTCTTTGCTGTAACAAAGAACAATAAAATGTACGTTCTTATACAAATGTTTTTGCATACCTAAGGGAGCGTATTTGTCATACTAATTCCTAATAGTTGGTATATACCTTTACATTTTTGATAGATGTTTTCAAATTGGCCTCCAAAAATGTTATACCAGTTTACTTTACCATCACCACTATGGTCAAAAGTGCCTACTTCCCAATACCTATGCCAGCTCTATATTTTACTAAACACCAAAATTTTTGCCACTGTAATAGGTGAAAAATAGGATGATCTTGTTTCAACTCATTTTTCTTTAAGTGAGGTTGAACTTTTTTTTTTTTTTTTTTTTTTTTTTTTGAGATGGAGTTTCACTTGTCACCCAGGCTGGAGTAGGCTGGAGTGCAGTGACACAATCTTGGCTCACTGCAACTTCCGCCTCTGGGTTCAAGCGATTCTCCTGCCTCAGCCTCCCAAGCAGCTGGGATTACAGATGCCCACCACCACACCTGGCTAATTTTGTATTTTTAGTAGAGACAAGGTTTCACCATGTTGACCAGGCTGGTCATGAACTCCTGACCTCAGGTGATCCACCCACCCAAACCTCCGAAAGTGCTGGGATTACAGAAGTGAGCCACCAGCTCCGGGCCAGGTTGAACATTTTTCATATGTGTATTCATCATTTCTCTTTCTGTAAACTGCTTAATGTGAACTGCTGAAACCTTTCCGTGTTTTTTACCTATCAGCTTTCTTATTTTTATACTTCTACTTAAAATAGATTTACCTTGCTAGGCATGGTGGCCCATACCTGTAATTGCAGCACTTTGGGAAGCTGAAGCAGGAGGATCACTTGAGCGCAGGAGTTTAAGACCAGCCTGGCCAACATAGTGAGATGCTGTCTATACCCCCCGCCCCCTCCAAAAAAAATTTAGCTGGGCGTGGTCGTGTGCACCTCTAGTCCCCAGCTACTCAGGAGGCTGAGGCAGGAGGATCACTTGAGCCCAAGAGCTTAAGGCTGCAGTAAGCTAGGATTGCCCCACTGCACTCCAACCTGGGTGACAGAGTGAGACCAGTCTCTGAAAAAAATTAAAATTAAATTAAAAATATATTTACCTGAAGAAGCGCAATTTTAAAGATCTCTTATTTTCCTCCTTCAGGCTTTTCATATTCTGGCATTGGGTTTACTAGAAGAGAAGCAACAGCTTCAAAAAGCTCCTGAAGAAGAAGTAACATTTGACTTTTATCATAAGGCTTCAAGTATGTTTGAGTATCACTCTTCAACACATTTGTCATTGAAAGTCTAGATCTTAAGGAGTTTTAATTTGTCAATCCTGAAAGTTTATATCTTACAGAGTTTTAATCTGTCAGTCCTTAAAACATAGGTAACCCTGAAATAATTTTTTTCCTAGCATTCTTAGTTTGTAACTAATATTTTCAAGTATACTAATATATTTTTTAATCCCTTACTATAATCTTTACTACAATCTTTTTACTACATGATCGCCCCACTTTTTTTTTTTTTTGGTTGCATATATTGGTATTTTTTAACTTTCATTCCTCATCTCAGTATTATCAAATATTTGCTGCTGTGTCAACCATAGCATTCAAGTGACATGTCTTAATAAGATATTGTTTCTGAATTTTAAATGATAGAAATCTGAATGATAACGTTCATTTTGCGTTGTATTCAACTTGGAAGAAAAGGATAGTTTTAAATTAGATTTCTAATAAATGCTACCTGATTAAGATAGTTTTTTTCAAAGCACATTCCAGGCATGTTGATTATAAAAACAATAGGAGACAAACATTTTCTATTTACATGCTGTATTTTTTAGATCCCTGAAGACATCAAAAACCTATTCAGTTTATGGATATACAGTCCTCCACTTCAATATTTTTGGCAATTTTGTTTCTCATTAAGCACTTTTGCTTAGATGTTGAGTCAAGCAGAGGAAAGACCAGAGACAGATATTTAGGGTAGCTTTCACTTAGCAGTGCCAGTAAAAGATGTAAGAGAGAGACTTAAAGTCATTTTTAAATTTAGTAGATCATATCATTGTAATCCAGTACTTCATATAATTGCAGATTTGTCCATTGAATAATTAATGAAGTTAAGGGATTGATTGGCAAACCTTGGTTATCAATGTAAATAACATTAACTAGAAATTGTAATTTGTACATAATTATGAAGACATAATTGACCCTCCATATCTGTGGGTTCCATATCTAGGGATTCATCCCATCGCAGTTTGAAAATATTCAGGGGGAAAAAGGAAAAAGGATGGTTGTCACTGTACTGAACATGTACAGACTTTTTTTTCTTGTCATTATTCCCTAAACAATATTATCTAATAACTATTTACATAGCATTTACATTGTATTAGGCATTATAAGTAATCTAGAGATGATTTAAAGCATACAGAAGCATGTGTATAGATTTTATGCAAATACTACACCATTTTACATAAGGGAATTGAGCATTAGTGGACTTTGATGTCCACAGGGGTCCTGAAACCAATTCCCTGAGGATACCAAGAGATGACTTTATGTATTTATGATGTGTGATTTTGTGTTTTAAAAAAGGATTGGGAAGTTCAGCCATGAATATACAAATGCTTTTGGAAAAACTCAAAGGAATTCCCCAGTTAGAAGGCCAGAAGGACATGATAACGTGGATACTTCAGGTAAACTAAAAAAGTAAAGTGATCATATCTTGGTTTAAATATTTAAGAATTCTCTGCTTGCCTCCAGTGTTAAACCACTGTACCATTGTAGACATTTACTACTGGTTTTCATAATCACTTATTTTTCATGTTAATAATTCTATTTTCCTATATTTTATTGTAGTTTTAAAAATAAACTAAGATTTATTCATTTTTTTTGTCGTTATTTAGTCAACTTTACTGAAAACCTACCATGTGCCATGCTCACTTATAGATTTCTAGATGGAACAAGGCAGACAAGGTGCTTACTATCATGGAACATATACTCCAGTTGAGGGACAGACATTAAACAAATAAATAAACAAAAATATCAGGGTAATTCAATAGATGAGTAAGGGGTTACTTTGGGTAATTAGGGAAGGCCTCTCTCAAAACACGACATTAGAGCTAAGACCTTAATGACATGGAGTCAGTCTTAGAAGAGTCTGGAAGAGTACTCCAGGAAGAGGGAACAGCAGTGCAAAAGCTCTGTGGTGGCCAGAAAGAAGGTCAGTATGGCTGGAACATAATGGGTGAGGGATGGAAAAGTGGGCAATGAGATCAGAGGGGTGGCCAGGGGCCGGATCTTGTAGGTCCTTATAAGTCAGCATAAAGTGATAATTTTTTAGGACAATGGGAAAATATTGGAGGATTTTAAGTGACCTAATCTATATTTGTACAAGATGGTATTGGCTGCTGTGGAGTAAATGGATTATGGGGGATAGGCATACAAGTAAGGAAACTGTTAGGAGACTGTTGCAGTAATCTTGATATGAAATAAGCATGACCTAGGCTAAGATGCAGATAGTAAGAATCTGAACTGATTAAGGTGCATGTCGAAGGTGTATGAAGATAAAATCTATAGTACTTGCTCATCAGTCTGATGGGAGAGATGAAGGAAATAAATCAAAGATGAGGCTGGGCATGGTGGCTAGCACCTGTAATCCCAGCACTTTGGGAGGCCAAGGCAGGCAGATCACCTGAGGTCAGGAGTTCGAGACCAGTCTGGCTAACATGGTGAAACCTCATCTCTGCTAAAAATACAAAAAATTAGCCAGGCATGGTGGGGCACACCTGTAGTCCTAGCTACTTGGGAGGCTGAGGCAGGAGAATTGCTTGAACCAGGGAGGTGGAGATTGCGGTGAGCCAAGATCGCACCACTGCACTCCAGCCTGGGTAACAGAACAAGAGTCTGTCTCAGAAAAAAGGAAATCAAAGATGACTCCTGGATTTGGTGCTTGAGCTATTGAGTAGATAGCATTGCCTTTGGAGACGAGTGAATTAAATAAGCAGGGGAGAGAGAGGCCAGGAATGTTACTTTAATGGAAAACCTCCACATAGAAACATAAAACCGGCCAGGCACGGTGGCTCACGCCTGTAATCCCAGCACTTTGGGAGGCGGAGGCGGGTGGATCACAAGATCAGTAGTTCAAGACCAGCCTGGCCAAGATGGTGAAACCCTGTCTCTACTAAAAATACAAAAAAAAAAAAAAAATTAGCTGGGCGTGGTGGCAGGCGTGGTGGCAGGCGCCTGTAATCCCAGCTACTCAGGAGGCTGAGGCAGGAGAATCGCCTGAACTCTGAGGGCGGAGGTTGCAGTGAGCCGAGATCGCACCACTGCACTCCAGCCTGGGCGACAGAGTGAAACTCTGTCTCAAAAAAAAAAAAAAAAAAACCTGAAGCCAGGATTATGGAGCTTCTGCACTCATTGCATTCATTAAGATATTCTGATGTTTTTAGGTAAGTATTGTTTTGATAATCAGAATATATAAAGTAGTTATTTTTCACATTCTTATCAATTGGAAATCTTGGTACTGATTTATACTTTTAAGAGGGCAGCTCTTCTTACCATTTTATTAGAAACAGTCCTTAAGCATGATGTAATATCATTATTGGCCTGGCGTGGTGGCTCACGCCTGTAATCCCAGCACTTTGGGAGACTGAGGCGGCGGGGTCACGAGGTCAGGAGATCGAGACCATCCTGGCTAACATGGTGAAACCCCGTCTCTACTAAAAATACAAAAAACATTAGCCAGGTGTGGTGGCGGGTACCTGTAGTCCCAGCTACTCAGGAGGCTGAGGCAGGAGAATGGCTTGAACCCGGGAGGTGGAGCTTGCAGTGAGCCGAGATAACACCACTGCACTCCAGCGTGGGCGACAAAGCGAGACTCCGTCTCAAAAAAAAAAAGATAGTGATATTATTAAAATTCTTCTTGAAGTAGATTTTATGAATATGTAGTATTTGTGTTAAACTAGCCAATATTATTTTAAGATTATAAAATCAAACGAAAGTAGGTAACTATTAAGAAAGTAAATCGAGGTACCATTTAGTTCAGCATTCATATCCCATAGAGATGGTGTTATGAATTGCAGATCTAGTCCTGAAAATTCATTTTCAATTAGAATACTAAATTTTATTATCAAAATATCTGAAAAGCACATGTATCTGCTGTTAAAAACATTAGATACTCTATCCAGATGGTTGATTTAAAGCTATGTTGTAGGTGTTCATTGTGGGAAATTTTTCCTCATGAGACCAAGGTTCTTTCAAAATATAAATAAATTTTACTGGGCACAGTGACTCACACCTATAGTTCCAGCACTTTGGGAAGCTAAGGTGGGTGGCTTGCTTGAGCCCAGAAGTTCAAGACCAGCCTGGACAATGTGGCAAAAACTCCATCTCTACAAAAAATACAAAAATTAGTCAAGGGTATGGTGGTGTGCGCCTCTAGTCCCAGCTACTTGAGAGGCTGAGGTGAGAAGATGGCATGAGCCCAGGAGACAGGTTGCAGTGAGCCAAGATTGTGCCATTGCACTCCAGCCTGGACGACAGACTGAAACTCTGTCGAATGAATGAATTAATGAATTAATGAATGCATTCATGCTGAAACCATGAGCTTTGTTAATAAGAATGAGGCAGTTCTGTATAAGCTGTTGTGGAAATGTCTCCGAGGATAGCTGGGCGCGATGGCTCATGCCTGTAGTCCCAGCACTTTGGGAGGCTGAGGTGGGCGGATCATGAGGTCAGGAGATCGAGACCATCCTGGCTAACATGGTGAAACCCCGTCTCTACTAAAAATACAAAAATTAGCCGGGCGTTATGGCGGGCACCTGTAGTCCTAGCTATTCAGGAGGCTGAGGCAGGAGAATGGCATGTACCCAAGAGGCGTAGCTTGCAGTGAGCCAAGATTGCACCACTGCGCTCAAGCCTGGGCGACAGAGCAAGACCCTGTTAAAAAAAAAAAAAACAACAAACCAAAAAAGAAATGTCGAAATGTCTCCGAAGATAAATGATTAAGTGAAAAGAGGATGTGTGAAACAGTATGTATGGTAAGATCTCTTTTTATGAAAATAGATGTAAATATAAAAATTATATATTCTGATAGAGGTGTTGTAATCAGGGAGAGGAGGATTTTACTTTCCATTTTGTATCTTTTTTTTTTTTTTGAGACAGGGTCTCGCTCTGTCACCCAGGCTGGAGTGCAGTGGCACAATCTCAGCTCACTGCAACCTTCACTTCCCAGGTTCAAGCGATTCTCCTGCCTCAGCCTCCCAAGTAGCTGGCATCACAGGCATGGGTCACCACGCCCAGCTAATTTTTGTATTTTTAGTAAAGACAGGATTTTGCTATGTTGGCCAGGCTGATCTCTAACTCCTGACCTCAGGTGATCCACCTGCCTTGGCCTCCCAAAGTGCTGAGATTACCCGCCTCCGCCTCCCAAAGAGCAGTCACCATTTTGTGTCTTTGTTTTTATGTGTTTTTGCACAAAAATATTATTTCAAATTAAAAAAATTTTTGTTTCCTGGCAAATCTCTTGAAAGCTAACAGAGGCATGCCCCCAGCCTACTGAATCTGCTGATTCTGCTACCAGTGGCCTCCTCCTCAGCTGGATTGCTCATTGACCAGGGGAGGCGTTTGTCACAGTCAGAGTCACTTTTTTTCTTCATATATTGAAATAGTTTAAGTGAAAGACATTTGGAGATATGATGCCAAAATCAGATTAGTGAATGTTTCTGTTCCTGGTCGGTCTAACAGTCTAACTAACTCTTTTAACGTTTCATCTGTTTTTCACAGATGTTTGACACAGTGAAGCGATTAAGAGAAAAATCTTGTTTAATTGTAGCAACCACATCAGGATCGGAATCTATTAAGAATGATGAGGTATGACACTGTAATAACACTGTAGTAATGGTGACATTCATCTCTGTCTTTGAACTTTACTGGTATAAGGGAGCTACTGCTTTTTTGTTAGGAGAAACCTGTTGATTGTGAAGTATATGAGATCTGTCCATCTTTTATTCATTATGCTTCTATATTGTGGAGATTAATGGTACGTGACAACTCAGTATAATTTTTGTATTTTGCAAAAACAGGAGAAATTGATATATCGTAGAGCTCTGTTAGAAATCCCAGCTCTTTGAGAGGCGGAGGTGGGTAGATCACTTGAGGTCGGGAGTTCAAGACCAGCCTGGCCAACATGGCCAAACCACGTCTCTAGTAAAAATACAAAAATTAGCCCAATGTGGTGGCTTGCTCATGTAGTCCCAGCTACTCGGGAGGCTGAGGCACGAAAATCACTTGAACCCAGGAGGCGGAGGTTGCAGTGAGCCAAAATCACGCTACTGCATTCCAGCCAGGGTGACAGAGCAAGATTCCATCCCAAAAACAAAAAACCAAAATACCATATTTTATTAACTTTTAATATATTTTAGTGACTTAAATTGGGATATGTCTCACAATAAATGACTTTCATCAACAGCATGTTTTAGAGAAATATAAGATAATGGTATATCTTAGATTCAATGAAATGCAATAATATTTGTGTTATTGCTATAATATAGTGAATCAGGTTTTGATGATTCTAAAATTTGTATTATTAGAATAATATTATTTGTGGTTATTACATGTTCAGTAAAACACACGATGTAAATTTGAATAGAAAATTAACATGCACCAAATGTATCTCAGTAATATTGTTAAAGTTAAAAAAATTGTTAAATTTCTCATTTTTCACAGTGCATTTAGAAGTAACTGTTAGAAATCAAGATTGTTTAAATTGTCAGTGATTAAGTGATTGACAAATGATTTTGAAATTGTTTTATCTAATTTTATTTCTTAAGGTACCTGCATTGAGTATAAAAGGCAGTTAATTGGATATTTAAGGTTCTTAGCTTTTTACAGTAAATTATTTAAATAACTAAAGGAATAATTAGTTGTATGATGTCATGCAGCCTGTAATGCTAATTTTGAAACATTAAACTGAATCCAGGATGTAAGGGGTAATCAGGGTTTCAGAATCTTATTCTAAGGAATTTTGCCATCCAAACAGCGTATATAAATGTTTAACAGTGGATCTTACCTAAATTTGTCATTTCTTAATACCCAGATTACTCATGATAAAGAAAAAGCAGAACGAAAAAGAAAAGCTGAAGCTGCTAGGCTACATCGCCAGAAGATCATGGCTCAGATGTCTGCCTTACAGAAAAACTTCATTGAAACTCATAAACTCATGTATGACAATACATCAGAAATGCCTGGGAAAGAAGATTCCATTATGGAGGAAGAGAGGTAAAATAAAGCAAACCAAAAATTACCAACTCAATTTTTTTTTTTTAAATTGATCATTCTTGGGTGTTTCTCCGAGAGGGGGATTTGGCAGGGTCATAGGACAATAGTGGAGGGAAGGTCAGCAGATAAACAAGTGAACAAAGGTCTTTGGTTTTCCTAGGCAGAGGACCCTGCGGCCTTCCGCAGTGTTTGTGACCCTGGGTACTTGAGATTAGGGAGTGGTGATGACTCTTAACGAGCATGCTGCCTTCAAGCATCTGTTTAACAAAGCACATCTTGCACCGCCCTTAATCCATTTAACCCTGAGTGGACACAGCACATGTTTCAGAGAGCACAGGGTTGGGGGTAAGGTCATAGATCAACAGGATCCCAAGGCAGAAGAATTTTTCTTAGTACAGAACAAAATGAAAAGTCTCCCATGTCTACTTCTTTCTACACAGACACAGCAACCATCCGATTTCTCAATCTTTTCCCCACCTTTCCCCCTTTTCTGTTCCACAAAACCACCATTATCATCATGGCCCGTTCTCAATGAGCTGTTGGGTACACCTCCCAGACGGGGTGGTGGCCGGGCAGAGGGGCTCCTCACTTCCCAGTAGGGGCGGCCGGGCCGAGGTGCCCCCCACCTCCCGGACGGGGTGGCTGGCCGGGCGGGGGCTGACCCCCAACCTCCCTCCCAGTCGGGGCGTCTGGCCGGGCGGGGGCTGACCCCCCACCTCCCTCCCTGACAGGGCAGCTGGCCGGGCGGGGGCTGACCCACACCTCCCTCCCGGACGGGGTGGCTGGCCGGGCGGGGGCTGACCCCCCACCTCCCTCTGGGACGGGGCGGCTGGCCGGGCGGGGGCTGACCCCCACCTCCCTCCCGGACGGGGCGGCTGGCCGGGCAGGGGCTGACCCCCCACCTCCCTCCCGGACGGGGTGGCTGCCGGGCGGAGACGGTCCTCACTTCCCAGACGGGGTGGCTGCCGGGCGGAGGGGCTCCTCACTTCTCAGATGGGGTGGCTGCTGGGCGGAGGGGCTCCTCACTTCTTAGAAGGGGCGGCTGCCAGGCGGAGGGTCTCCTCACTTCTCAGACGGGGCGGCTGGGCAGAGACGCTCCTCACCTCCCAGACGGGGTCGCGGCCGGGCAGAGGCACTCACATCCCAGACGGGGCGGTGGGGCAGAGGCGCTCCCCACATCTCAGACGATGGGTGGCCCGGCAGAGACGCTCCTCACTTCCTAGATGGGATGGCAGCCGGGAAGAGGCGCTCCTCACTTCCTAGATGGGATGGCGGCCGGGCAGAGATGCTCCTCACTTTCCAGACTGGGCAGCCAGGCAGAGGGGCTCCTCACATCCCAGACGATGCGCGGCCAGGCAGAGACGCTCCTCACTTCCCAGACGGGGTGGCGGCTGGGCAGAGGCTGCAATCTCGGCACTTTGGGAGGCCAAGGCAGGCGGCTGGGAGGTGGAGGTTGTAGCAAGCCGAGATCACGCCACTGCACTCCAGCCTGGGCACCATTGAGCACTGAGTGAGCGAGACTCCGTCTGCAATCCCGGCACCTCGGGAGGCCGAGGCTGGCGGATCACTCGCGGTTAGGAGCTGGAGACCAGCCCGGCCAACACAGCGAAACCCTGTCTCCACCAAAAAAATACGAAAACCAGTCAGGCGTGGCAGCGTGCACCTGCAATCGCAGGCACTCTGCAGGCTGAGGCAGGAGAATCAGGCGGGGAGGTTGCAGTGAGCCGAGATGGCAGCAGTACAGTCCAGCTTCAGCTCGGCATCAGAGGGAGACCATGGAAAGAGAGGGAGAGGGAGACCGTGGGGAGGGGGAGGGGGAAGGGGAGGAGGAGAGGCCAACTCAATTTTTGGAGGAAAAGTTAAATAGTCACTTTAAATTTTGCTTTTCCAAAATGGATTTTATGGCAAGAGAAATTCAACTATTTTCATTCTAGAAAGGTCAGAGTGAAGACTCTATGGTACTTATTGAATATAATTTTATACTGATAAATGCATTGAGTGTGCAGTAAAGTTAGGTTAGGAACCTTTATGCACAAAAAGATAACCAACCCGTTATTTTGTGTGCATTAGCACTTTTAGGTACACATTTACACATCAGTTCACTTATTTCACATTATTATTTCTAATAAAAATGACTGCAGTTATTACATTATTGGAAACAAATTCTTTGCCTGAAAAAGGTGGCTTATACAAGTTTTTCTTTTTTTCTTAGAAGAAAGACATTGCCTATAACTACAGGTATGGATAGCACCTTGGAATTGGAATCAGTAAATCTGGTTTTCTGAGTTCTGACTGTGGTATGCTCTTAGAGAAATTGGTTAATTTTCTGAGCTGTGCTTTGTGGGCTATTATACAGTGATAAAAGGGAGGAGACATAATGTTACTTTGAACAGCATTCCAAGAAATTTAAAATATTGAAAGTACCCACTTTGGCCCTTTTTAAAGACAAGCTTTCACTGCTGTTTAAAACAATATGTGTTGAGGGCTGTGAGCAGTGGCTAACCTCTGTAATCCCAGCACTTTGGGAGGCCGAGGCAGGTGGATCATCTGAGGTCAGGAGTTCGAGACCAGCCTGGCCAACAGGCAAAACCCCGTCTCTACTAAAAATACAAAAATTAGCCGGGTGTGGTGACGCGTGCATTTAGTCCCAGCTACTCAGGAGGCTGAGGCACGAGAATCACCTGAACTTGGGAGCCAGGGGTTGTAGTGAGCAGAGATTGTGCCACTGCACTCCAGCTTGGGCAACAGAGTGAGACTCCATCTCAAAAAAAAAATCTTGTGGATACTTTTAGAAAATTTTGGTTTTGGAATACTAGTAGGCACAATACATCCTATCTGATATGTATCTTTAATCTTGAAGCTGAGTATGCTAACAAGGACCATAAAGAATAATGATTATATTAGTGATTAAAAATAAAAAGATATGAAGGTATGCTTTCCTTGGCTGACTATAGGGTAATAAAACTGGAAATTTTAAATGACAAGCCAAAGTCCCACCTCTAGATATTATGTATTAACAACATACTATTTAGAAATAGTGAGAAAGAAACTACTGACAATAAAATAAGAAGGTGTAAGCAAAGGTGTACTCAGAGTTCATTTATGGCCTTAATGCTTTCATTATTTATTTTTATTGCTTGATTAATTGGACATGTGATTTTTGAATGTGTTCTTATTGAAAGCAATTTAAATAATGCAGGAAGTCCCCCTTTGACCATCTCTGCATTACTGATCTTTCTCCACACATAACCATGATTACAAATTATCATTGTTCTTAGACCTCTTTCTATGCATTTATAAACATGTATACATGAAGAAATAGTGAGGCTTGTTTCGTGTTTTCTAGTGGTTTTTCTTTTTTAACCATACATTTTGTCTGCAGCTTGCTATTTCAGTGTCTTAGGAATCTTTTGATATCAGTACATGTCACTCTATAATGTAGATTCTTTTTTTTTTTTTTTGAGACGGAATCTCACTCTGTCGCCCAGGCTGGAGTGCAGTGGCACGGTCTCGGCTCACTGCAAGCTCCACCTCCAGGGTTCACGCCATTCTCCTGCCTCAGCCTCCCGAGTAACTGGGACTACAGGCGCCCGCCACCACGCCTGGCTAATTTTTTTGTATTTTTAGTAGAGAGGGGGTTTCACTGTGTTAGCCAGGATGGTCTTGATCTCCTGACCTCATGATCCGCCCACCTCGGCCTCCCAAAGCGCTGGGATTACAGGCGTGAGCCACTGTGCCCGGCCTATAATGTAGATTCTACATCATTGTTTATGACTGCTGCATAGTGGTCTCTGATGTGGTTATATAATAGTTTATTCATCTGACTTTAGACATTTAGGTTGCTTCTAATTTTTCCTTAGAACTGTTCGTGAGAATCTTTTTGTATGTGTCTCCTTGTGGAACTCTGCAAGTACTTAGTCAAGGAGTCCAGTAAGTGAAAGGGCTGGGTTAAAATTTTTATAGATGTGGCCACATTACCATCCAGAGTGGTTTTACTAGTTTCTGCTCCTGATAGTGTATATACGTGCCTAATTTACTTTGTTCTCACTAATACTTAACTATTTTCAGTACTTGAAAATGTGATATTATTAAAATTACAGATTTGTGCCAATCTGGCTGAATTTCCCCAATTGCTATTTAGTACTAGGTTGAGCAGCTTCTCATATGATTATTCACTGACCTTTTACATTTTATCCTCTGGGAATTGCCTATTATTATTCTTTGCCCATCTCTATTGGGTGCTTTCCTCTTGTCTTACTGACTTATATAAGTCTTAAAATTATTAATACTTAGCTTTGTTACATATGTTTACCATATTTTGTCCCTGTTTCTTTAACATTAATTATGGGGTTTAGCCATAGAGAAGTGTGCAGTGTTGATAAAGACAAATTTATCAGTCTTTTAGAGTTTTAACTTTTTGTATTAATATCTTGTTTAAGAAAGCTTTTCCTATTCCAAAGTCTCAAATATATTCTCTCATATTTTTTTAACCAGTTTTTTTTTTTTGAGATGGGGTCTCACTATGTTGCCCAGGCTAGAATGCAGTGGCTCTTCACAGGCATAATTATGACACACTACAGCCTCAAACTCCTGGGCTCAAGTGATCCTCCTGCCTTACCCTCCTGAGTAGCTGGGACTATGGGCGTGTCACCACACCTAGCTAAAATTTTAATTACATAGTGTTACACACACACACTTGAGATGGAGTCTTGCTTTGTCGCCTAGACTGGAGTACAGTGGCGTGATCTCGGCTCACTGCAACCTCCGCCTCCTGGGTTCAAGCGATTCTCCCTTCTCCACCTCCTGAGTAGCTGGGATTACAGGCTCCCACCACCACACCTGGCTATTTTTTTTTTTTTTTTTTTTTTTGTATTTTTAGTAGAGATGGGGTTTCACCATTTTGGCCAGGCTGGTCTCGAACTCCTGGCCTCAAGTGATCTTCCCACTTCAGCCTCCCAGAGTGCTGGGATTACAAGGCGTGAGCTAGTGTGCCCAGCCAAATTACATAGTTATATTTCCTCTTGAAAACTGAATGTCAGAGATAAAGCTAAAGTTCCATTTGAGCACCAGCCCAAATCCTGGACTTCTTTCTGCTCCTCCTCAGAGGTTCTCTGGTTATAAGTTTTATGTGTATCTTGCCAGAATTTTTCCTATGTTATTAATACAAATATATGTAGCCACAGAAATTATAGCGTGTCATTCAGCCTTTGGTTTTATTTGCATTGATAGTATTATGTCCATATCACTCTACAACTTCCCATTTTCACTCTGTAGTATGTCTTGGAAATCTATGTATGTTCTTATATACAAAACAAGCTCAGCGTTTTTCAGTCTTGGCATTTAGGCAGCTTTTTTTTTTTTCATGTAGTACTGTCCTGTGAATTGTGGGACTGCATCCTGCGCCCACTAGAACCTTGTGACAATCAATAAGTAAACCTTTCATAATTTATTGCTAGATGCCTCCTAGGAGGTGGTACCACACTTAGTGAGTCCCACCTTTTAAAAACTGCAGAGTAGGGCGGGCGCAGTGGCTTACGCCTGTAATCCCAGCACTTTGGGAGGCCAAGGCAGGCAGATCACGAGGTCAGGAGTTTGAGACCAGCCTGGCCAACATAGTGAAACTCCGTCTCTACTAAAAATACAAAAAAATTAGCTGGGCATGGTGGCAGGTGCCTGTAATCCCAGCTACTTCAGAGGCCGAGGCAAGGAGAATCACTTGAACCTGGGAGGCAGAGATTGCAGTGAGCCGAGATCGCGCCACTGCACTCCAGCCCGGCAACAGTGCAAGACTCTGTCTCAAACAAAATAAAACAAAAAAGCTGCAGAGTATTCTATGTTAGGTAAGTTCATCTATATATGATGATTAATATTTATTTATTGTTCAATGATATACTATAGTTCAGGGAGCTTCTTGCACAGACAGAGACAACATTGTATAGTAGTTCAGAACATGGACTGTGAGCCTAGATTACCTGGATTAAATCCTGGCTCTACTACATACTATTGATGAATCATTGGGTTGAGTCTTTTGTTGTCACTAGGCCTCAGTTTCTTCATCTGAAAAGTGGAAGTATCACAGGATCCTTAGGGTGTTGCTTTTCCAGCCAGAAACCTCTGTGGCCAGTGGCACCTTTGCCAGAATTTTGCTTGGTCTTTCTGGGCTCATCCTGCCCACTTGGCCTGGCAGGCTGCACTTGACTGACACTACCAGCCTGGATCCCATGCCTGCCAAGGGCAAGCCAGGTGTGGAGTGACCAGGGGTGCATAAGCGGGCACCTGCAGGGTCTGGCCACTGCACACAGCCAGGCACGCCAGCTGCTGTGCAGGGCAGGGAGCTCTAGGCACAGGGACAGGGGCCAGCTCTGTGCAAGCCTGCAGCTGGATCATATGCACCAGCAGGTTCCGCTGCAGGGACTCTTGTCTGGACAAGGGGAATATGGTGGCACCTGGCAGCTCAGAGATGCCAGAAACTGTGAAGCCCCAAAGAGGGTGTCACAGCCCTGGCTCAGGGAGCCCCTAGGTGTGGGCTCCCCAAAGGACCACAGCTCTTCTCTCCTTCTTGTCACCTGCAACGTGGCAAGCTTTGGGTGTGGGCATTTCAGCCCTGTTTATGTTACTAGCTCTTTCAGTCCTGCCATTTGGTGGTTCCCGAGTTCTTGTCCTGCATCCAGGAAGAATGAGGTACACGGACAACTGGAGGGTGAGCAAGGTGGAGAGCTTTATTAAGCAACAGAACAGCTCTCTAGGGACCCAAAGTGGGTAGCTCTTTCTGCAGGCAGGTCATCCCAACAAGTGTCCAGCACTCAGTGGAGAGGAGATCCAGAGTGGGTATCTCCTTTCCACAGGCAGGTCATCCCAGCAAGTCAGGAGACTTGAATTGGGTAGCTCCTTCCTGCAGCTGTAGTCTCCATGTGAGTCTGGCTGAGTCTGGGGTTTTTAGGGGCTTCAGAAGAGAGAAAGTGTGTGCTGACTGGTTCATGGACAGACCCGGAGAAAGCACCATAAATTCTCACCCCAGGCTGTGGATTCCACCTGTAACTGACATACCGGTCCCCAGGCTTCAGGCCATTCCTGGCTTGGGGACCCATCCCTTTCTGCCTAGGAACCTGTCTGCCTCCTGCCGCCATCAACATATCATCCACAACTCCCTGGCTGTTTGTGCCAAGGGGCACCTGCAGGCCCATGCTGAGCCACCTGTTTCCTCTTGGCCTTCCTTCCATGCTTATCAGCACCCAAAGACCAGAGGGGTCCAAGGCAGGAGGGGGCTGACATGTCAGCACCGCCCCTAGTGTGCACACACCTGGCCGGGGCCGCGGCAGCGCCTGGGCTTGGCCACAGCTTTGCTCCAAAATCGGAGCGGGCATTGGGAGTGCGGAGAGGCTCAGAACACGCACTTCTGAGCTGGGCAGTTGCAGCTGTGCCCGGGAGCACGGGGCTTCTGCCCTGCAAACTTGGAAGGGGTGGGGTTCCCTCCTGTTCCCAACCCAAGGGCTACATGGAGCACGTTGCCCCAGCCACGCCTCCACTGCTGCAGCGACATCTTTGCAGGAGCTGCTCTAGACAGAATAATACCACCTACCTCATAGGATTATTGTAAGGATTGAGTAAACATGTAAAGTATTTGAAACAGTGCCTAGCTTCACAATCAGCATGTTACAAATATTTGCTATTATTTAAATATTATTGTACGCCTCAGTAGATCTTGAGTTTTGCCCAGTCAGTAAGAGTAGATTCTAAGAATTGCTGAATCATTAAGGTGTAAGTTTTTTAGTTTGAATAGCGACCAAAATAGAATAGAAACCTAAATGCCTAATGACAGGGAATGGATAAAAACTATTATGGCACATACAGTAAGAGCTGTGCAACCATTTAAAATGTTTCTGAAGAAGTTTTAATGATGTAAGATACTATAAGTGAATAGAGCAGGATGCAGATCTGTGTAATGTGATCTTATTTATATGAAGAAGTATATTATAAATAGAAAGCAGACCTAGAAGGAAATATACAAGGTTACTAGTAGGTATCTCTAGGTTGTGGGAATATAACACTTTTTTATACTATTATAGATTTTCCAAAATTTATTCAATAAGCCTGTATTACTTTTATATCCAGAAAAAAAAAAAAGCCCAGCTTATTGGTATAGTAAATTAAGTAAAATTATAATATACATTCCATTTTATCATCTGTTTTTTGCACTTAGCAACACTTGTATTTTGTAATAAGCAAATAACTGATAAAAGCCACAAAGGAAAGGGGGAAGCTTTTAACTTAATATTGCTAAATATCATTTTTATTTTTATTATCTTTCTTATATTTCTTGCCTATAGTTACTTAAAATCTACCAAAATATGAAGACAAGTGACCAAAACATGTGTCCTCATTTCTGATCATTTCTTTTGGTAGCACCCCAGCAGTCAGTGACTACTCTAGAATTGCTTTGGGTCCTAAACGGGGTCCATCTGTTACTGAAAAGGAGGTGCTGACGTGCATCCTTTGCCAAGAAGAACAGGAGGTGAAAATAGAAAATAATGCCATGGTATTATCGGCCTGTGTCCAGAAATCTACTGCCTTAACCCAGCACAGGGGAAAACCCATAGAACTCTCAGGAGGTATGTATTATTTAATAAATATCCTTTTGTGCATTTCTTTTCATGCCTGTGTAATTAAAGAAAATACTATTTGAAAAACATTTGGAAATAAGGGTTATATATCTACCATACCATTATCATATTTAAGAAAGTAATAATAATCCAGGAATATTATCTAATATAAAATCAATTTTTCTCCAACAGTTCTCAAAATGTCTTCAATTCCTAGACTTTTTTTTTCACTTAGGATCCAAACAAACACGTGTTGCTTTGGCTATATTTCCTTTACTCTATTTTAATCCAGATTAGTCCCTCCTTTTTTTATGATAGTAGCTTTTTTGAAGAATTCAGGCCACTTGCTTTGTATAATGTGTCACATTCTGAATTTATCTGATTGTTAAGTTGCCTCCTGATTAGAATCATGTTAAACATTTTCTTGGCAGGAATGCTAATTAGATAATTTATTGCACTTATTACATCAGGAATTAGCTGCTTTAGCATCATTATTATTTTAAAATATCCTTGGAATAGGCCAGACATGGTGGCTCACGCCTGTAATCCCAGCACTTTGGGAAGCCGGTGTGGGTGGATCACTTGAGCTCAGGAGTTTGAGACCAGCCTAGGCAACATGGCGAAACCTCGTCTTTACAAACATATTAGCCAGGCATGGTTGCATGAGCCTGTGGTCCACAACAGGGTGAGACCCTGTCTCAAAACAAACAAAACAAGCTCCTTGGAATAATAGTGATAATAAAGACTAGCATTTATTGAAAACTTAACATTGCCAGGCACTTGTTAAGTGCTTTATGTGTATTTACTTACTTAATCCTCACAACAGCCCTATGAGTTAGTTATCACTATTAGTTCCATTTTATAGATGAAGGACCTGAGGCACAGAGAGGTCAAGTAACTTACCCATGGCCATGAGTTACAAGTGATGAAACCAGAATTTGAAATCCTCAATCTGTGCTTTTCTTTTCTTTTTTTTTTTTTCTTTTTTTTTTTTTTAGTATTTATTGATCATTCTTGGGTGTTTCTCCGAGAGGGGGATTTGGCAGGGTCATAGGACAATAGTGGAGGGAAGGTCAGCAGATAAACATGTGAACAAGGGTCTCTGGTTTTCCTAGGCAGAGGACCCTGCGGCCTTCCGCAGTGTTTGTGTCCCTGGGTACTTGAGATTAGGGAGTGGTGATGACTCTTAACGAGCATGCTGCCTTCAAGCATCTGTTTAACAAAGCACATCTTGCCCCGCCCTTAATCCATTTAACCCTGAGTGGACACAGCACATGTTTCAGAGAGCACGGGGTTGGGGGTAAGGTTATAGATTAACAGCATCCCAAGGCAGAAGAATTTTTCTTAGTACAGAACAAAATGGAGTCTCCCATGTCTACTTCTTTCTACACAGACACAGTAACAATCTGATCTCTCTCATTTCCCCACATTTCCCCCTTTTCTATTCCACAAAACCGCCATCGTCATCATGGCCCGTTCTCAATGAGCTGTTGGGTACACCTCCCAGACGGGGTGGTGGCCGGGCAGAGGGGCTCCTCACTTCCCAGACGGGGTGGCTGGACAGAGGCGCCCCCCCACCTCCCAGACGGAGCGGCTGGCTGGGCAGGGGCTGCCCCCCCACCTCCCTCCCAGATGGGGTGGCTGGCCGGGCGGGGGCTGCCCCCCACCTCCCTCCAAGACAGGGCGGCTGGCCGGGCGGGGGCTGCCCCTCACCTCCCTCCCGGATGGGGCGGCTGGCCAGGCGGGGGCTGCCCCCCACCTCCCGGATGGGGCGGCTGCCGGGCGGGGGCTGCCCCCCACCTCCCTCCCGGAAGGGGCAGCTGGCCGGGCAGAGGCTGCCCCCCCACCTCCTGGACCGGGCGGCTGCCGGGCGGAGATGCTCCTCACTTCCCAGATGGGGCGGCTGCTGGGCGGAGGGGCTCTTCACTTCCCAGATGGGGTGGCTGCCGGGCGGAGGGGCTCCTCACTTCTCAGACGGGGCGGCTGGGCAGAGACACTCCTCACATCCCAGATGGGGTGGCGGTCGGGCAGAGACGCTCCTCAGTTCCCAGACGGGGTCGCGGCTGGGCAGAAGCACTCCTCACATCCCAGATGGGGCGGCGTGGCAGAGGTGCTCCCCACATCTCAGACGATGGGTGCCGGGCAGAGACACTCCTCACTTCCTAGACGGGATGGCGGCTGGGAAGAGGTGCTCCTCACTTCCCAGACTGGGCGGCTGGGCAGAGGGGCTCCTCACATCCCAGACGATGGGCGGCCAGGCAGAGCCGCTCCTCACTTCCCAGACGGGGTGGCGGCTGGGCAGAGGCTGCAATCTCGGCACTTTGGGAGGCCAAGGCAGGCGGCTGGGAGGAGGGGGTTGTAGCGAGCCGAGATCACGCCACTGCACTCCAGCCTGGGCACCATTGAGCACTGAGTGAGCGAGACTCCGTCTGCAATCCCGGCACCTCGGGAGGCTGAGGCAGGCAGATCACTCGCGGTCAGGAGCTGGAGACCAGCCCGGCCAACAGGGCGAAACCCCGTCTCCACCAAAAAAATGCAAAAACCAGTCAGGCGTGGCGGCGTGTGCCTGCAATCCCAGGCACTCTGCAGGCTGAGGCAGGAGAATCAGGCAGGGAGGTTGCAGTGAGCCGAGATGGCGGCAGTACAGTCCAGCCTCGGCTTTCACAACTTTGGTGGCA
Source organism: Homo sapiens (assembly GCF_000001405.40). NCBI lineage: Eukaryota > Metazoa > Chordata > Mammalia > Primates > Hominidae > Homo > Homo sapiens. The sequence continues at coordinate 43,004,409 of NC_000015.10, read as the reverse complement.
TCAGAGGGAGACCGGGGACAGGGAGAGGGAGAGGAGGGAGAGGAGGGAGAGGAGAGGAGGGAGAGAGAGAGGAAGAGGGAGATCCAATCTGTGCTTTTCTTAATGAGGTTATAATTCCCCTAAGTATCCCTTAAAATTATTATTTATCAAATTACTATTAAAATTAAAAAAGTAAATTATCTTGGAAACATAGAAGATCACTTAAATAACCAAGATAATGCAGATTAAACCCAATATTCAAGGTTAAAAAGTAAATCAAAGATAGAGTTATTAATCCATACTAATTTTAGAATCATATCTGACAGGCTACCTTTATGCTTTTCTCTTTTGTTACTATTACTTTTCTCTTTTTGTTACTATATATCCTCCTATCATGATATTGTGACACTTTGCTTGGACATTCCTAAGACAGTTTGTGATTAGACTTTGGACCTGATAACCTGTCTCTCTTTTTCCCTCCTTTTTATACCTTGTACCAGAAGCCCTAGACCCACTTTTCATGGATCCAGACTTGGCATATGGAACTTATACAGGAAGCTGTGGTCATGTAATGCACGCAGTGTGCTGGCAGAAGTAAGTTGTCCTTCTGACATGTTCTTGAAAGAGACTAGGAACATTGAAGTTCACTCAAGGCCACAAAAAGGCATGTTTTCTCATGTCTTCTTTCCTTTCTTCTTATTTGAATAATTGAAACAGTTTTAATTACTAATTCTGTTTGCATGAATTATTATTATCAAAGTTGGAAAGTGGTGTGTAAAGTTACCAACTTTAGATTTTCACTGTTCCTTTGTGCTTGCTCTCCATAAACTAATCAGTTGCTCTTCATCAGTATTCATGTAAAAAAAGTAATAATTGGCCGGGCGTGGTGGCTCACACCTGTAATCTCAGCACTTCGGGAGGCCGAGGCAGGAGGATCACCTGAGGTCAGGAGTTTGAGACCAGCCTGGCCAACGTGGTAAAACCCTGTCTCTACTAAAAATACAAAAATTAGCTGAGTGTGGTGGCACATGCTTTTAATCCCAGCTCCTCCGGAGGCTGAGGCAGGAGAATCGCTTGAACCCAGGAGGCAGAGGTTCCAGTGAGCCAAGATTGCGCCATTGCACTCCAGCTTGGGAGACAAGAGCGAAACATCGTCTCAAAAAAATTAATAAACACAACAAATAAATAATAAAAAAGTAATCTTTATAAAAATCTAATTTCTGTCAAAACATACAGCTGTGAAAAGTACCTTTGAAATAGAATAGGATGAATAGGACAAGAAGTTCTCGTTCTATCTCTGGAAAATATAAAATTTCAAAAATGTAATTCCTGAGAAATCTTTTGTGTAGAGTTTACCCATTTGGCTTTAGATTACAATATATAATTTTTCCATGATAGCCCTCACTACTTCAGTTCATCATTAGAAACTGAGGAAAGTAGTGTCCATGCTGTATCACCATGCTGTTGAGGCAAGAGATGAGTTATGATTCAATAAACTTATTTTAAATTTATATCTGCTCTGATGTATTTTCCAATTTGTCCCCAAAATAATGGGCAACCTGTTTCTTCTATAATTACAACTTGTGTGTTTTTGCATGTATGTTCTAAAGATGTTTATTGGGGCAAAAATTCCAGATTTTTAAAACTTGGATTAGAGCAAGTAGAGATACACATGTAGAGATGCATGTGTAGTTCTGAATGGGCCTGTGTCTTTGTAATTTTGCAGGTATTTTGAAGCTGTACAGCTGAGCTCTCAGCAGCGCATTCATGTTGACCTTTTTGACTTGGAAAGTGGAGAATATCTTTGCCCTCTTTGCAAATCTCTGTGCAATACTGTGATCCCCATTATTCCTTTGCAACCTCAAAAGATAAACAGGTATATTTTAATTTATGTTTTGGTTAATTTTTTAAAAGTTGGCCAGGTGCAGTGGCCTGTGATCCCAGCACTTTGGGAGACTGAGATGGGCGGATTGCCAGAGCTCAGGGGTTCGAGACCAGCCTGGGTAACATGGTAAAACCCCATCTCTACAAAAAATACAAAAAAAAAAATTAGCCAGGTGTGGTGGCACACGCCTGTAGACCCAGTTACTTGAGGGGGCTGAGGTGGGAGAATCACTGGAGCCCAGGAGATTGAAGCTCCAGTGAGTCGAGATTGCCCCACTGCACTCCAGCCTGGGTGACAAAGCGAGATCCTGTCTCAAAAACAAATAGAAAGTTGTCTTTAGTTCTTTAATTTGTGCCTGTTTTTGTTACATTACTGTTTTTTATTCTTTAAAGGAATTAATACTTTTTCATTTTATATCTTGTATTATACTTTTAAAATGTGATCAAAAGCCTAATTTTTGGACTCTAAGAGAACTAGAATGTTTATTTACTCAAATCTTTACATTGTGGTTATATTTTCCAGCAGCCATTGAAGTAATAGAACTCTGACTTCTGCCTTAGCACTCACAAAAGGAGAAAAGATGCAAAAAAAATTCATTCCTTTCATATGGCCCTTTGCCATCATTAGAGTTGCCAGTTGGAGTCTGATAGCTCTAATGATCTTTGTATTATTTTTAATTTCATTTTTCTGAAGATCCAAATGCTATAGCTCTAGAGATATGGACAAATGTTAACTAAAAAAATTAAATAGAAACACTAGATTTGTTTTTATATATCTCTCTTTGGGTAGTGTTTTAAGCATTTTGAGTTTTTAAATTTTTATATTCTGATCTGTAAATGGAATTAACAGCAAATTATTATTTTTTGTATAACATCTTGGAAATTTAATTATATATTTCTATATTCTCACTGTTGTACATGATGATAACAGTAGTATAATATTTATATTATTTCAGTTGCTTTAAAATGCAATGGATTTGTAATGGTAAACCTAAATTCTCCTAAAGAAAATGGTTTTGTTGATAAAAATACCTTTATGTCCCCATAAAAGTTCAAAGGTGATAGGTTGGGCGAGAAGGGTCAATATAAAGACTTGCTCTGGCGGGACGCCATGGCTTACACCTGTAATCCCAGCACTTTGGGAAGCCGAGGTGGGCGGATCACGAGGTCAGGAGTTGGAGACCAGCCTGGCCAACATAATGAAACCCGTCTGTACTAAAAATACAAAAAAATTAGTTGGGTGTGATGGTGGGCACCTATAATCCCAGCTACTTGGGAGGCTGAGCCAAGGAGAATTGCTTGAACCTGGGAGGTGGCAGTTGTAGTGAGCCAAGATTGAGCCATTGCATTACAGCCTGGGCAACAATGTGAGACTCCGTCTCAAAAAAAAAAAAAAAAGAATTGCTCTAACCTTGGCTGGGCACAGTGCCTCACGCCTGAATCCCAGCACTTTGAGAGGCTGAGGCAGGCAGATCACCTGAGATCAGGAGTTTGAGACCAGCCTGGCCAATATGGCAAAAACCCATCTCTACTAAGAATACAAAAATTAGCCTGGCATGGTGGCACATGCGTGTAATCCCAGCTACTCAGGAGGCTGAGGCACGAAAATTGCTTGAACCCGGGAGGTGGAGGTTGCAGTGAGCCGAGACCATACCATTGCACTCCAGCCTGGGCGACAGAGCTACACTCTGTGTCAAAAATAAATAAATAAATAAAGAGTTGTTCTAATCTCTAATATTCCATGTCATTGATAAACCTAAATTGAAATTGTCTTCTTCAACGTATGTGGTAACATGAGAAAGAATTATCTTTGATTTGAGTAATTAATATATTTTAGGCATTTTACCAAGCAAATGCTGCATTATCTTATTTAATTATCACAGTAGTCCATTGAAGTAGGTACTGTTATTTCCATTTAAAGATAAGGAATTGGAGACTAGGGATAGTTTTTACTTGTCCCAAGACAGACCTAATATTCAAACCCAGACCTGACTCCAAAGCCTTACCTAACTATACAGCAGAAGACAAAGATAAAGGAAATCATAATAAAGTGACTTTCCAATTTCTTGTACAAGCCTTTTTTACACAGTGGCTCCCCCAAAATAGGATTATTAAACTATGTAAATTGTTCTCTAACAGAATATTTAGCTACTTCTTTCCTTGATGACTTTAAGGATCAGATGCTTCAGAGCAGTTCTTTCTAAATTCAGAAAACTGATCCTTAAAACTCTTAGAACTAGTTAAAGGTCTCTTAGAACTCTGGCACACTTTTAATCTATAGTAACAATTCTGTTACTCAGGATCTGAAATACATGATTATACATAGCAGTTTTATTAGATACTTCGACTTACCCATATAGTTGATTATATTTGCCTTTTTTGGATTTTAGGAAATCAGCATGAATATAATCTAAGATAGTAAAGATAAAAGCATATAAAAACTGTCAAAACTAAGATTTTGATTAAAAATGTATAATACAAACTTACGAAAAAATTTAAAACTAATAAACTGGTATCTGTAAAGAAAATTGGTTATAACCAGTCATAGTACATTTCCATTTTTTGAAAACAAAAAAAACTTCTTAGGTCAAATTTGTGCCCAGATAGGTAAATTTTGGCACAGTTCATTATATATTTTACCTTTGCTCAAGACTATTCTTTCAATAAAAAGATTCCTATTTTATTTTTAATAACACTGTTTCTAGTCCTTCTTGGTTTTTTTTTTTAGATAGGGTCTCACTGTGTGCTGGAGTGCAGTGGTGTGATCTTAGCTCATTTCAGCCTCAACCTTCTTGGGCTCAGATGATCCTTCCACCTCAGCCTCCCAAGTAGCTGGGACCACAGGCATGTGTCACCACACCCCACTAATTTTTGTATTTTTTGTAGAGACAGGGTTTCACTATGTTTCCCAGGCTGTTCTCTAACTCCTGGGCTCAAGCGACCCACTCACCTCAGCCTCTCAAAGTACTGGACTACAGGCCTGAGCCACTGCACCCAGCCCTTCTTTGTTCTTAATAACAGTCTGTCTCAAGTCCCTGTCCTTACGTCCATTTTAGGAAGGAGAGACTGGCAATAAAAAAATAAAACAAAATGTTGAGTAGTGAGGAATACTATGAGAAAGCTAAAGCAGTAGGTTAAAGGGCTGAAGACAGACTGGGGCATGAGGCTATTTATAGACAGAGTTGTCAGGGAGCTCTTCTCTGAGATGGTGACATTTGAACAGAGACCTGAATAAAGTGAGGAATAATCACTGCTTTTCTCTGGGAGAAAAAAATTCTAAGCACAGGCTATATCAAGAGCAAAGGCTCGGTTGGGTGTGGTGGCCCACGCCTGTAATCCCAGCACTTTGGGAGGCTGAGGCGGGCGGATCACGAGGTCAAGAGATCGAGACCAGCCTGGCCAACATGGTGAAACCTTGTCTCTGCTAAAAATACAAAAATTAGCTGGGCGTGGTGGCAGGCACTTGTAATCCCAGCAACTCGGGAGGCTGAGGCAGGAGAATCGCTTGAACCCAGGAGGCAGAGGTTGGTTGCAGTGAGCCAAGATTGTGCTACTGCATTCCAGCCTGGCGACAGAGTGAGACTCCATCTCAAAAAAAAAAAAAAAAAAGCAAAGGCTCCAAGTTTGGAACCCCATGATCATGTTTGAGTCACAACAAGAAGGCAACATGGAATGGAGCAAGCAAAGACCAGATCATAAAAGGGATTATGAGCAAAGATTAGAAGTTATATGATCCTATTTACATTTTTAGAAAATTCTTCTAGCTGCTGTATGATGAATTCATACTTAAATGAAACACAAGAGTAGAAGCAGGAAGAACACTTAGGAGTCTATTTAAGTAATCCAAGTGAGGGCTGATGTGACTTGGATTAGGGGGTAGTAATGAGAGGTAGGAAGAAGTGATGAACTTGGGATATATTTGAAAGATAAAACCTGCAAGGTTAATTAATAGATTAGAATGTGGGGTGTGAGGGAATCAGAGAAATCAATGACAACACCTAGTTTTTGACTGGAGCAACTAGAATGGTGATTCTATTTACTGACATTTACTACCTGTGGGTGATTGGCATGTGGGTGGTGACTTATTTCTTGTAAGTTTAAAATTTCCTTCCCCTTCCAAAAAGCTACATTTTTAGACACATGTTTCTGTGACCTAGGAAATTAATCTGGAGGAACTCAACTTTTTTATATGACCATTTATCCAAGGAAATAATACAAATTCAGCTTTTCCATTTGACTTTGTACCCATGGTTGTAATAATTTTTAAATATCATTTTTCAGTGAGAATGCAGATGCTCTTGCTCAACTTTTGACCCTGGCACGGTGGATACAGACTGTTCTGGCCAGAATATCAGGTTATAATATAAGACATGCTAAAGGTTTGCTTAAATTTATTTTATATTAGCTATGTGAAGATGGTGTCAGAATCTTTATTTTTTTAAATAATTATTGGGCTAAAATATGGTTTGCAAGTACAGATTTCTTGAATATCAGGAAATAGAAGTTTTTGAAGCTAAAAATAAGTGGCTTAAATTGCTTTATTAAATTTAATCGTTTTTCATACTAGGAGACAATACAGACAGTGATTATACTATCAAGTCCATCTATCTGATTATTCCAAGCAGTCAAACTGCTTAGATTTAAATCTTAGATCCAAGATTCATCTAAATCACTAAGATCCACTTACTGATTATGTGATCTTGGGCAAGTTACTTAAGCTCTGTGTGCCTCAACTTCTTATTTGCAAATCGGGGATAATAATATTATAATAGTACCTATTTTATTGGTTGAAGGATTAGCAGAGTTATTATATGTAAAGTAGAATAGTCCATGGTACATAGTAAGTGCTACATGTTAGCCATTACTATTACTAATACTATTAATGTGTGGTTAGTAATGTTTGTAATAACAAAAACATTTTAAAACTATCATCTTATTTACATATTCTTTACAGTTGTGAGACAAGTATGGCTATTAATGGAGATGTGCTTAAAAGGATAAAGTGGGAATTTTTAAAATACAGTGAGGAAAAGTTGTCTTTTGTTTAGGCCAATGGTCCCCAACCTTTTTGGCACCAAGGACCGGTTTTATGGAAGACAGTTTTTCCTCGGATGAGGGGGATGGTTTTGGGATGATTCAAGTGCATTACATTTATTGTGCATTTTATTTCTATTATTATTACATTGTAATATATAACGAAATAATTATATAACTCACCATAATGTAGAATCAGTGGGAGCCCTAAGCTTGTTTTCCTGCGACTAGATGGTCCCATCTGGGGGTCATGGGAGACAGTGACAGATTGTCAGTCATTAGATTTTCATAAGGAGTGGGCAACCTAGATTCCTCACATGGGCAGTTCATAGTAGAGTTTGCGCTCCTATGAGAATCTAATGTGGCTGCTGATCTGGCAGGAGGCGGAGCTCACGCGACAATGCAAGTGATGGGAAGCGGCTGTAAATTCCGATGCAGCTTTGCTCACCTGCTGCTCACCTCCTGCTGTGCAGCCCATTCCCAAGGTTCCCAACAGGCCATAGACTGGTACTCGTCCATGGCCCTGGGGTTGAGGACCCCTGGTTTAGGCAGTGAAATCAGTAGGGTGAAGGCAAAGTCCAGTATTTAAAAAATTATCTTCTCATCCCCTCTTTGGATCTAAAATTGATGAAAACCATACCTAGAAAATATTCAAGAATATTTCTAGGTATTCTACTCAAAATATTTATGTCTTATTTCTACAATTCATATCTTTCTGTATTTATCCACATTTTCCCTGATTATTTTACCCTCTGTTGTGATTTAATTATGTCCTTTCAGTTACGTACTTTTAAGGAAAATGAAGGATGTATACAAAAGCTACAGAGGAAGAAATAGCGGTGATGGTTTTATTTCTCATCACCATAGTCTAAGTTACAAAGGTTTTTTGTTTGTTTTGTTGGGGGGGTTTGTTGTTTTTTTGTTTGTTTGTTTAGACAGGTCTCGCTCATCACCCAGGCTGGAGTACAGCTCACTGCAGCTTCAACTTCCTGGGCACAAGTGATCCTCCCACCTCAGCCTCCCAAGTAGCTGGAACCACAGGCTTACACCACCACACCCAGCTAATTTTTAAATTTTTTGTAGAGACAAGGTCTCGCTGTGTTGCCCAGACTGGTCTCAAACTCCTGGACTCAAGCAATCCTCCTACCTCAGCCTCCCAGAGTACCAGGATTACAGGCATGAGCCAGTGTGCCCAGCCTAAGTTATCATACAAAGTTTTATGTTCCCTGCCTCGTTGACCTCATATGTGTGCATGTTACGCAGTTAAGAATGATACAAGAGGAAATAGCATTAACAGCCAGATTTTATAGTATAAAACAATAGGACTCATAGGATTTTTAAGAAGGAATTGATCAGTAGGGGCTGAAGTAGTAAGGGAAGATGTCATGGAAAAAATGAGATTCGATTTGACCTTGTATAAAATTTGGATGTGTGGTAGGGATAAAGGAGAACCCAGGTGGAAAACAGAAATGTTTTTAGGGAACTGTGAGCATGGCATTTTCAGAGACATTGAAAAAGCCTGGCCTACCTTAGTTGAGAGTACACAGTGGGGAACAGTGGAGAATATGGGGCAGTTGTGGAGGTTTGTAAGAATTTGGACTTGGTCATGTAGAAACACAGAATGATGGAAGACAACAGTCAGCAATGAATGAGTCTGGCAACGTCCTGTCAGTTTCCCCTCCTCCTTCATTTTATAACAAAACCTTTACCACAAGTGCTAATGAGATAACAATCTGTTGGGTGGAAAACTCTTCTAACAAAAGAACTTATATTTGCTAAGAAGTGATTTTTGGCATGTACTTAACTACTTTGCTACTTGTTTTTTTTTGTTTGTTTGTTTGTTTTGAGATGGAGTCTCGCTCTGTCGCCCAGGCTGGAGTGCAGTGGCGTGATCTCGGCTCACTGCAAGCTCCACCTCCCGGGTTCACGCGATTCTCCTGCCTCAACCTCTCGAGTAGCTGGGACTACAGGCGCCTGCCACCGCGCCCAGCTAATTTTTTTTTTTTTTTGTATTTTTAGTAGAGACGGGGTTTCACCGTGTTAGCCAGGATGGTCTTGATCTCCTGACCTTGTGATCCACCCGCCTCGGCCTCCCAAAGTGCTGGGATTACAGGCGTGAGCCACCGTGCCCAGCCTTTGCTACTTGTTTTAAGCACCGAGAAGCAATTCAGTACAAGAGATTCTTCTTAATTTTTATAGTAATTTAAAATGACTTTGACATATGTGAATTTAGTTTCTTTTTATTTAAAAAAATGTAGAATGACATGTTGGTTTTACATCATGATTTTTAGGTCTCAAAAATTCAGCCTTAAATCAGTTTTTTTATTGTTATTTTGGCCTCTAAATGTTTAATTGGAGGTCTCAAACATGGCATTAAGTAGAAATATCACTTTATTAGCAGTAGGACCTCTGTGACCGTCTAAAGAAGCATAAGAGTGATTAGTATCTTTTAAACATATTCACTAATTTACTTAGAAGCCTATATTTTTAAGGGAAGAAAATACTGAACATAAGCTAAGGAAAAACTATTGAAATAGAGAACTTTAAAAAAGAAATCATGGAATGATTAAAAATTTTTGAGCAAGTGACTAGCATTTATTCTGGTAGCTTTTTAGTGTGGGAGTGGTGCCGCAGATAGATTGCAAGAGTGAGGAGATAACTCAAGAAGATTAATCAGGAATCAGTTGCACTGGTCCTACCATGACATGGTGAGAGGTGGTGGTATTAATAGTAAGCATTGACAAGTTTGCTCTGAATGCTTATTGAATGACTAATTGTTTGGGGAAAAGAAACAGCCAAGAGATTGTAAAGGAAGGATTGCAGAGAATGTGTAAGCATTTTATCTATATTGCCTACAAATATGGGGAGGTTAGGAGAAAAGACAGATAGTAAATTCAGTTTCTATTTATTTTCACGCTGTGTTGTTTTGGTACATAAGTAGAATTAAACAAAAACATAGTGATAGTGGGAGATAGTTTTATGGCTGGTCAAGTCATCCTAATAAATAAGGACTTAGAGAATTTTTAAAATTAAGCTTGATTTAGTAATATGTTCTACAGAAGTTTGTTCCTATTGGAGAATATATTTTTATCAAATGCCCACGGATTTTTTTTTTTTTTTTTTTTTTTTTTGAGACAGCGTCTTGCTGTGTTGCCCAGGCTGATCTTGAACTCCTGACCTCAAGTGATTCTCCCACCATGGCTTCCCAAAGTGTTTGGATTATAGGTGTGAGCCACTGTGCCTGGCCTTTCCATGGATTATTAATAACAGATTGGTTAATAAATTAGGCCATGTAAGAATCTCAATAGTTTTCAAAAAGGGAAATTATGTACGATACTTATACTATCCACAATACAATAAAATAATACTTAACAAAAGAGAGCTCAAAAACCTAACAAATTAGGAATTTTAAAATACTGTTCCATGTAACTGTTGAATGCAAGGAAAAAGCTAGAGAGAGATGGAGAAATCAGTGACTATTTAGCAATTAACAATGAGAACAACACAGATCAAATCCATGGAGTATGGCCAAAACCATGCTTAGAAGACAGCTCATAGCCCAAAAGAGACAATGCTCAGATTGGGTTTATTCTAACAGTGCCTTGATGGAAACTTCTTAAATAAATAGGTTAAAGATGAAAACTAATATGGTCATTACAGCCTTTTTTTTTTTTTGAGATGGAGTCTCGCTCTGCCCCCCAGGCTGGAGTGCAGTGGTGAGATTTTAGCTCACTGCAACCACCGCCTCCCAGGTGTAAGCAATTCTCGTGCCTCAGCCTCCTGAGTAGTTGGTTGCCCGCCACCAACACCTGGCTTGTCATTGTAACTTTTTAAAAGACATTTCAAGCTGGGTGCAGTGGCTCACGCTTGTAATCGCAGCACTTTGGGAGGCCGAGGCAGGCAGATCTCTTGAGGCCAGGAGTTCAAGACCAGCCCGGCCAACATGGTGAAACCCCGTCTCTACTAAAAATACAAAAATTACCCAGGCTTGGTGGCCCGCGCCTGTAATCCCAGCTACTCGGATGGTTGAGGCAGGAGAATCTGAGGCATGAACCGGGGAGGTGGAGGTTGCAGTGAGCCGAGATTGCACCACTGTACTCTAGCCTGGGTGATACAGCGAGACTCTGTCTTTAAAAAAAAAAAAAAAGACATTTCATAAAATCCAATCTCTAATTCCTCATACTTTCACAGGATACAAAAAAACCACAGCAGCTGAAGTCTCTGAAAAGTAGACTAGCAGGCAGATGGGAACTAAAGTCAAAATTTAAGAATTATCATTACGGGTAGTGAGTTTCCTGAGGCTTTTTCTTCCTTTATTTCCCAACTTTCACTCAAGAACAGCTGAGTCCTAGAACTGTACAACAAGCATGAACAGCAAAAATCCATGAGAAATGCCATCTCTTTCTGGTCAGAGGATCAGGAAAAGAAGCCCCTCATAGCCAGAATATAAAAGGAGTGTGTTTATTTTATTTTTCCTCTGGTCTTCTCCCAAGGCCAGCCTCAGGCATAGAGCTGCACAGCCATGGTGGCCATGCAGATGCCCATAATCTCAAGAGAAAACCAGTCTCTGTGGTGAGGAACTGGGAAAAGGAGCTCCTGTGTTCCAAAGAGTACAAGGTTAATCTTCATCATTTTTTTCTGTCTTTGCCTCGTGGCTTCACGCCAAGGGCATCCGCAGTCATAAATCTGACTGACAGCATGGGAGACTAAAACTGAGAAAAACATGTCATTCTGGCCAGAGAAACTGGGGAAAAGGGCCCTTTGGAGCTAGAAAGTGGGAGGACTGGGGTGGGAAATCCCCAAGAGGAGAGAACTATAGAAGGGGACTCTCATATTTTTGAGGTCCACACAAGTCCTGGGCTCACCTCCAAGCTGCACATGTGCAGAATAGGCTCAAAGAGGCATAGCCAAAGTTTTGAGAAGTAAGCTTCATTTAAACCATCACTCAAGTCCCAGGCTAACCCCCCGAGGAGTACATGTGCTGGGCAGATCAAAACACCACAGCACAGGCTCTGAAAACTAACATTGGAATCACCATCCACAGAGGATGAGACAGAACTGGTTGAACCTGAGTTTATTGCCTTCTAAAACACTTTAAAACTGTTCATGTTTCCAGAGGTTTTTAACAGGACCAGAACCTCCCAATGTAATATTCCAAATATACAAGATAATATCCAGAATTACTTGACATACAAAGAACCAGAAAAATCTGACCGATTCTCAAGGGAAAAACAACCAAATGCCAATCCTGAGATGTTTTAAATGTTAAACTTATCGAAGAGTTTTAAAGCAGCTAGTTAGCCTTAAACATAAGGTGAAGGTAAACACTCTTGAAAGAGTTGAAAGATAGAAGTTATCAGAAAAATAGGAACTAAAAAAACCAACCGTATGGAGATAATAGAATTGAAAAAATACTGGATGAAACAAAAATTAACTGGATGTGCTCAATAGTAAACTAGAAGGCTGAGCACAGTGGCTCAGGCCTATAATAACAGCACTGTGGGAGGTTCAGGCAGGAAGATCACTTGAGGCCAGGAATTCAAGACCAGCCTGGGCAATATAATAAGACCCCATCTCTAAAAAAATAAAAAATAATAATAATAAAAATTAGCTCTGTTTGGTGGTGTGTGCCTATAGTCCTAGGTACTTGGGAGGCTGAGGAGAGGATCGCTTGAGCCCAGGAGTTTGAAGTTACAGTGAGCTATAATCATGCCACTGCAGTCCAGCCTGGGCAACACAGCAAGGCTATGTTGTTTCAAAAATACATATACTAGACTGGAGATGAGGTAAAGTGTCCATGAATGTGAAATTAGGTCAGTGGAAATTATTCAGTCTGGAGAACAGACAGAAAAGAGATGGGGGACAAAAAAATATATCCTTAGGGGTCTATGGGACAATTTTTTTTTTCAACCTGACATTTGTGTCATTGAAGTCCCAAAAGGAAGGGAAAAATAATGCAGAAAAAATATTTGAAGAAATAATTGTTTGAAAATTTCCCAAATTTGGTGAAAGACAAATTTGCAGATTCAAGAAGTTCAGTAAATCTCAAGCAGATAAGAAAACCACACTCAGACACATCATAAAGCAAACTGCTGAAAACAAAAAATAAAGAGCCAGGCACAGTGGTGCGTGTCTGTAGTCCCAGCTATTTGGGAGGCTGAGGTGGGAGGATGCTTTGAGCCCAGGAAATTGAAGCCAACCGGCAAAACATAGCGAGACCTCATCTTTTTTTTTTTTGAGATGGCGTGTCGCTTTGTCGCCCAGGCTGGAGTGCAGTGGTGCGATCTCGGCTCACTGCAGACTCCACCCCCTGGGTTCAAGTGATTCTTCTGCCTCAGCCTCTCAGGTAACTGGGATTACAGGCACCCGCCACCACGCCAGGCTAATTTTTTGTATTTTTAGTAGAGATGAGGTTTCACCATGTTGGCCAGGCTGGTTTTGAACTCCTGACCTCAATTGATCCTCTCACTGCGGCCTCCCAAAGTGCTAGGATTACAGGTTTGAGCCATCATGCCCAGCTAAGACCTCATCTCTTGAAAAAAAAAAAAAGATTAAAAATCTTGAAAGCAACCAGAGAAAAACAACCCATTTCATGTCGGGAAATAGCATTTGAATTTGACAAGGAAATGGAGCTACAGAGAGGTTTAGCTTTCACACAAGGTTGCAGTAACAGTAAGTGGCAGAGCTAGGATTCAAACCCAGGCAGCTTGGCTTCAGATCATTTACTCTTATTCACTAACATATGCTGCCTTATCAAGAGAACATTTATGCAGTCATTAAACATGGCAAAATAGAGGGAAAGTTACTGTTATAGAAAGATGTTCATGATCTATTAGGTGCAAAGGCAAGATGCAGGCTAGTATTATGTCATCCTCTTAAAAAAATTCTATATATGTAATATTTATATGGGGAACAGAAGAATATCACCCAAATGTTAACAGTGGTTATCTGGATGGCGAAACTTCAGTTAATCATTCATTGCTTATTAGCATATTCCAAGTTTCCTAAAATGATCATGTATAGTATTAAAAAGCTAGAAAGCTTGGGCACAGTGGCTCATGTCTGTAATCCCAGCACTTTGGTAGGCCAAGGTGGGAGGATCTCTTAAGGAGTTCAAGACCAGCCTGGCCAGCAGAGGAAGACCCCATCTTTACAAAAAAATTGTTTAAAAACTAGGCAGGCATGGTGGCACATGCCTGTAGTCACTTGGGAGGCGGAGATTGGGAGGATCGCTTGAGCCTGGGAGATGGAAGCTACAGATGATCATGCCACTGTGCTCCAGCATGGGTGACAGAGTGAGACTGTCAAAAATAAATAAATAAATGCTAGAAAACTGTATGTCAGACTAAACTCATTCATGATTTTTCTTTCTTTTTCCTTTTAATTTATAAGGAGAAAACCCAATTCCTATTTTCTTTAATCAAGGAATGGGAGATTCTACTTTGGAGTTCCATTCCATCCTGAGTTTTGGCGTTGAGTCTTCGTAAGTATCTAAATAGTTAAGAGAACTTTGTAAATGATTGTGAAAATAAGAGTAGGAAACAGTGTAGGCTTCCATCTTTCCTTACTTTTTTATTTGTAAAATAGTTTATCCCATTATCTTGTTTCTTTCTCGTTTGTTTTATTTGTATTAACAAAATGAAGTGGTTTGAGATATTAAAGTAATATATATTAAGGTGAACTATGCCTCTGAGTAACCATTTTTAACCAACAAAAATGCCAGTTCTCTGTGGCCCTACAAGAGGACCAAAAATGCCAATTCTGTCTGGTCCTACAAGAGGACCAGAATTATGAGACTTCATTTAAAATTACATCTAACTTGCTTTGTGACTTTCTGAAAAGTCTCAGGTCACTCCATGCCACCACCCGTTCATTTTTCTTGCATGTAAAATTGAGGCAATGGCCTTCTATCCTGCCTCATTAGGTTATTGGAGAGATGTAATGTACCCAAATCAGATATTATTATTTCATTAATATTGAGTATCCAGGGTAGTTTTTCTAGTTGTGATCCTTGTTTATCTATCCCATTGCTACTGAAAATACTTGTTATAAATGGAAGTTCAGAAAACTGGAAATTATCACTCCAGGTACATGGTATCATATCACACATACACACAACACAAACACATACACATACCTATCAACACAAAAGTACTTCTTTGGTTCCTTTTCCAAGCATCAAAGCTTGTTAGGTTAGATCTGTTCCTCTGAATTTTATTCTTTCTGTGTTCAGTCTGGTTTTTAATTAGAACCTGAACCCCTTCTAGCTGTGAGCATTTGCTGCATCTTTTACAGGAAGTGAAGTTATGTAGGTCATTAGCATTTTATAAGAGCTGTTTCTCTACCTTTAGAAAATACAGTTCTGCTCTTCCAATTTTTTTCCAACTGAATAAATCTTTGGAGGCTCTAATCTCTAATTTGGCAAAGAGCAGTTTACTTATGTTGAAAGCAGTTAAATTGTTTCTGTTGCTTCAGGACTTAATTGGACTTCTTACTAAGTAGCTCCTTTTACTAAATCATACAAATTTTCTTGTTTTATTTATAGGATTAAATATTCAAATAGCATCAAGGAAATGGTTATTCTCTTTGCCACAACAATTTATAGAATTGGATTGAAAGTGCCACCTGATGAAAGGGATCCTCGAGTCCCCATGCTGACCTGGAGCACCTGCGCTTTCACTATCCAGGCAATTGGTAAAGCTCATAAGAAAACTGGTTTGGAGGTTTCAGTGAGAATTAACTTTGATCATTCATTCTTAAATTCTTTTTTTCACTGATGGCCCAGAATAATTTGACTTGTATGAGGACTATTAGTATTTCAGTGTATTAGTGTGGCTCATGCCATTTGGTCTGGTAATTTTTTTATGTTGATCTCTTTTTAACTATGATTGTGGCCATATGCAACATAAGTTAAAAAAAATATTTTTAAAAAGCTGGGCACGGTGGATTATGCCTGGGAGGCTGAGCTTTGGGAGGCTGAGGTGGGAGGATAACTTGAGAGCAGGAGTTTGAGACCAGCCTGGGCAATACAGCAAGATTGTCTACAAAAAATTAGCCAGGCGTGGTGGTATGCACCTGTAATCCTAGGTAATCAGGAAGCTGAAGTGGGAAGATCATTTGAGTCCAGGAGTTTGAGGCTGCAGTGAGCCATGGTTGCACCACTGCACTCCAGCCTGGGCAACAGAGTGAGACCCTGTCTCTAAAAAGTGTGTGTGTGTTCACACACACACACACACACACACATATATTCCTTTAGTATCTATATTAAAGGAACAGCATGATGTAAGTTATAGAGGTTCAAGGAAAAAAGAAAAGAATCAACTCAGAAGTGTTCAGTAATTTTTCTTTCTTTTATAGTTTGAGAGAAGAAGTGAGGGGAAACCAAAGTCACCTAAAAATTAACGGAAAGGGGAAAGGAAGACTGAGGCAGTTTAAGAGAGATTAGCAGGCAGAAACCAGCTCTAAAGGGAAGCCTACTATCAAATTCTCTGCCATATTGAAAATTTTGCACAGAAAAATGTAGCAGTGAGGGATCACTTAGATTTTTTAAGTTAGTGCATTTGTTCGTTATAGGGACAAGGTGCAATATTACATGGAAAAAATTAAGAATGGTGATTCTTCCCTATCTTTATCCAAGCCAACTTTGATTTCCCTTTCAATATATATATTTTTGGTAATTGTTTTTAATGGAGTCCATTATATTTTCTTCATTTAAATGTATTTTTGTAACAAGACACTTATATTTCATAATTTGAATTAAGTAGCATGAAGCCATATTTTTTTTTTTTTTTTTTTTTTTTTGAGACAGAGTCTCGCTCTATTGGCAGACTGGAGTGCAGTGGCACAATCTCGGCCACCACAACCTCCGCCTCCCAGATTCAAGCAATTCTCCTGCCTCAGGCTCCCGAGTAGCTGGGACTACAGGTGCACGCCACCACGCCCAGCCAATTTTTGTATTTTTAGTAGAGACGGGGTTTCACCATGTTGGCCAGGATGGTCTCGATCTCTTGACCTCGTGATCCTCCCGCCTCAGCCTCCCAAAGTGCTGGGATTACAGGCGTGAGCCACCACACCCGGCCTTGAAGCCACATTTTTTCCCAAAGCCTTCCTACATACTATCATTAGTTTCTTAATAGAGTTTAAGAGTCGCTTTCAGTGCCTTGGCAAAGGCAGGTTCCAGGCCACGGGCACCTGCCCTTAGCAGACCCCCTACCGGTGCCCTCAGAGGGCTCCTATGAGTGGGTTCATTGGCCTTGGCCCAGTGAGCCTCCGCCTACATTGATCTTAAGCCCATAGAGAGGGCCCATCCCGGCTCTGCCCCTGCCGGGATCCAGTTGCTGCCCCAGGGGGACTGATGGGCAAAGCCGCCCCTGTGGCTAGGCCGTGACCATCCTTGTCAGAGCCAGACTGCGGTTGGACATCTTGGGCCGAGCCCAGCACCATGCAGGGGCATGGGAGCTGAGGAAGCGCCGCTCAGGAGCTGGAGTCACCACTCCACCGTGTGCCTTCCAAGGATACCCAGGGGGTCAGTGGGCTGGCGGCTTCCTGCTGCTCCCTGTCAGAGTCAAAGCACAGATCCTCAGGGTGGGCTCAGGGGCCGAGGCAGCCCAGGGAAGCTCCGGGTGGGGACCGTGTCTTCCTGGGGTTGGTGCCCTCTGGCCGGGACCCTTTGCTGGCCCATGGTCCCCGGGTACTGCCGTGGCGTGGCCTCCCACCTGTCTGCCTGGTGGAGGGAGCTGTGGGGGTGGGGATGTGACTGAATAAAGCCACTGTGGGTGGATGTGCTTGGGGGAAAAAAAGTCACATCCAAACCTGTTAGACTTAAATCATGGGTATAGGATAATACATCAGTTTATATTTGCTATGATTCAATCAAGTGGGATATAGGAAAGGTGAGGTTTATATAAAATAGAGTCTGAACAAATTGATAAGAAATGTAAAGCATTCTTGTGGAGTCATGACATGCTAAGTCTCTTCAGACTTTCAGTGAAGCTATTTCACACTTTACTATTTTGGGGAAGATAAGCATTAGGAAATCAAGAATTTATATTTAGACCTTGAACATTAAAAAGGGGGCACAGTCTGTTATAAAGGAGATAGGAAATTCACTGCTGATAGAGCTGAATCTTTTCATATGTGGTTCTATAATCTAGTAATTGGATTCCATTTGATTAATATCATATTGTGTTCACTATTGTGCTTTTTCTATCAAGCAGGCATAATGCTCTACTTTATTCTTAGTACATAAACAACTAACTTATCTCAGTCCCTGTGGAGATGGAGAGATATGTACAGAATGCATTGGCATAGGATAATAGTTGAGGAATCAAAACAAAGCGTCCTTTGAATTACTGTTTATGCAAAGATGAAAAAAAATGCTTCCACACTCGTATCTGCTGCTAAGGATCAGTGAAAATAAGAGTAATTTAGGAATAAATACCATGGACAACAAAACACAAATCTGTGATTTTGGTATTTTAATTTTCTCTTTTTCTTTCTCTTTTTTTTTTTTTTTTTTTTTTTGAGACAGGGTCTCACTTTGTTGTCCAGGCTGGAGTGCAGTGGTGCAGTTATGGCTCACTGCAGCCTTAGCCTCCCCAGGCTCAGGTGATCCTCCCACCTCAGCCTCCTGAGCAGTTGGGACCATAGGCATGTGCCACCACGCCCAGCTAATTTTTGTGTTTTTTGTAGAGACAGGGTTTCACCATGTTGTCCAGGCTGGTCTTGAACTTCTGAGCTCAAGCAGTCCTCCTGCCTCACCCACCCAAAGTCCAGGGATTACAGGCATGAACCACTGCACCCGGTCTCATTTTCTTTTTTTCCTATTGATCTTTTCTAATTCTTTTAAAATTGTACCCGAGGTCGGGCGCAGTGGCTCACGCCTGTAATCCCAGCACTTTGGAAGGCTGAGGTGGGCGGATCACCTAAGGTCAGAAGTGCGAGACCAGCCTGGCTAACATGCTGAAACCCTGTTTCTACTAAAAATACAAAAATTTAGCTGGCGTAGTGGTGCACGCCTGTAATCCCAGCTACTGAGGAGGCTGAGGCAGGAGAATCGCTTGAGCCCAGGAGGTGGAGGTTGCAGTGAGCCGAGATCGCGCCATTGCACTCCAGCTTGGGCAACAAGAGCGAAAGTCTGTCTCAAAAAAAAAATTGTACCCAAAAGAGCAATGAAGTTGTTTGTATCTGCCTTACATATTATTTTTAAACAAAATAGGCTATAATTACATATATAAATTACTTATTTTAGAAAATTTTGCATAAAAAAGATGCTGAAATGAGAAGAAGCAGTCCAGGCTGCTTTGTTTTTCCCAAGCATTCTTATAAGATTGCTGCAGGTGCTTTATTTTTTATGCTAGTAATTTGTAAATGATATACATTTGATTCTCTAATTTTCTCTCACTCAAAAATTGGAAAATTTTGGCATAGACTTAAAACACAAGACTTTGAAGGGGAAAAATGCAAATCATCTCATCAAAAATATTATTAAAGAACATTTGATAAAAAGTACAGTATATGATTATAGCACTATTCAGGATTTATTATTTTTATTTTTTTTTATTCTTTGAGAAAATCTATTGGGAGATGAAGGAAAACCTCTGTTTGGAGCACTTCAAAATAGGCAGGTATGTATATTCCAACAAGGTACATGTAACTCATGGCATGCCTTTTTTCCCCCCCACAGTTTATTATTAAAAACAAAAAATCTTTACTCATTTTCTGTAAAAATTAGCAGAATTCTATAGTGGGGAAAAAAGGAACTGCATCAGTCTTATAGGAAACTGAATAGCATGTGCACTTTACAGCGCTTACTCAATCTCAGAGGTTAAGTGTAATTCATACAGAGATTTCATGTGATGATTACTTTTTCTCCCTTTGTTTGTTACATTTCAAAATCCTGATGTTTCCTATATTTTTCCTTCTCACTAATTTTACACCATTATATAACATTGAGTATTAATGCTGGCTTAGCTCTGGATGAATCATCATACTGAATTCAAAAATAAAATTAAGACATGACTCCTTGATGGGCAGATACTGACACTACTGTAGGACTCTACTCCTGCCCCAGGCCTAAACCTCTTTACATAGTGATCCCTGGAAAACAGTACTAAAGAAATATGCAGAGTAGCCCTGTGAAGACAAAAGGGGTAATTGAGGTTGCCATTCCTTCCCTGCCATTTCCCTCTTATTTTTCTGACAGCTGGCACAGAAGACTAGAAGACTTGTGGTACACAGTGTGCTCAGCTCTGGGGAAAACACTTTTTATGTGAAAATTAAAATAATTATAGCTTTAATACCACTTTTTTATAAGAAAATCTATTAGAAATTTAGCAAGGCCATAAAACCTTGTACAGGTATTAAGAATATTGTAATTTATTTGCAATGATATAAGGTATATAATGAGTCTGCAGCTAATTCCGACAAACTAGAGTTGGTTTTTACCAACTCTTAAGTGGATGACTTAGGTCTCTCATCTTCCCTCATCTTTTTATCTTCCTTCTCTCTTACAATCTAGCATAATGGTCTGAAAGCATTAATGCAGTTTGCAGTTGCACAGAGGATTACCTGTCCTCAGGTCCTGATACAGAAACATCTGGTTCGTCTTCTATCAGGTAGAGTCTTCTCTGAACTATTATTATGTATTATATTATTTATATATCTTTTTCTATTGCATTTCTGGCAGTGTATTTCATTAGGAAACAACATACACTGCACTAATTTTGAGCACTCACTAATGAAATTTTACCACCTACAGAAGCCATGCAAAAAACAGATAAACACATAGCTGCCTCTGTAAAACTTGTGATATTATTATTATTATTATTATTATTATTATTATTATTGAGTGGGAGTTTCGCTGTTGTTGCTGAGGCTGGAGAGCAATGGCGCAATCTCGGCTCACTGCAACTTCCACCTCACGTGTTCAAGTGATTCTGCTTTCTCAGCCCTCTGAGTAGCTGGAATTACAGGTGCCCGCAACCACGCCCAGCCAATTTTTGTATTTTTTTTTTTTAGCAGAGATGGGGTTTCACCATGTTGGCCAGGCTGGTCTTGAATTCATGACCTCTGGTGATTCGCCTGCCTCCACCTCCCAAAGTGCTGGGATTACAGGTGTGAGCCACCACTCCTGGCCTTCATGACCTTATTTTTAAAATCTGTATTTTCCAAATATTTTCAACTTATGTTTCTCTACCTGCCTAGGTTATTGAACCAGTGTCTACAACCACTAACATCCATGTATCCCCAATCCAGTTAGAAAAGGGAGCAGTGATGTGGATAGATCATTTTAAAATATGTTTAGTTTTGTTTGTGGGTCAAATTCTTATGAAATAATGGAAATGCTACATTCAGTAATCGCAGAACTCAGTTCCATGCCCATTTCTTTGACAGGCTGGCTATAACAGCTAATCTTCTCAGATTCTAACAAGTTAGAAATTTACTAAGAGTTCATATGGTGATCTCAATTAGTATAGAAATAAAATGCAGGGTAAGTCATTACACAGCATTAGAGTGATTTTGCTTTCCTTTTGGTTATCTGCATTTCCATCTGTGCATTTGAAGTCTACTATAAGCTCCTCTGCACCCAAACAGACCAGGCTTTAAGAGAGTTGTTTGTAAATCTGTTTGTTCATAAGTCCCAAATGTCACGAGTAGGGTAGTTTCAGCGTGCACTTCCCAGATATATTTCTACCAAATAAGAGTTATTCAGATTTTTTACGCTTTAAATCCAGGCATAATTTTCTTGTAGCTGAACTAGCAGACATTTTTTTTTTCCAGCAAAATAGACCTACTTCTTTACCTTGAAAATCTATTGAAGCCAATAGTGTTTTTCCTTGTCAATCCCCACAAGCTTCTTAGGGAGCTCTTCCTGAGCAGCTTTCCGCTCATCCTGTTGATGTGGAGATTCCACAACTCCTTCCAAAGCTACCATCCAAGTTTTGTTAGAACTTCTGCCATGCTTAGCTTTTATATTTTCAAATTAACTTCCAGGTGTCTCCTGAATTGGCTTCATGCTAATAGAAATCTAATGTTGATGCTGTTCCACTAGTCACACACTTAAAAGTTTTCCCTTCTTTCACTTACTTTTTTCCCTTCTTGGTCAGTTGCACAGGGCCAGAACCTTCCATATGTCACATGCGCCTGTCTTTGTTTTTAGGACCTCTTTCTGTTGAACAGTTTATCCTATTTGCATATCACTATTTTGTTTTTGTTTTTTAATTTTTTGGTATCTTTTTCATTTCAGTCATAATTTAGATATTTACTAATTCTTCCAAATGGTTTCACTGCTTTTGCACTTGTTAAACATTATGGGATTTACAATGTTTAAAACAGCTTATTGCCCAGCATAGTGACACACACTTATAATCCCAGCTTCTCAGGAGCCTGAGGGGGAGGATCCCTTAAGCCCAGGAGTTTGACACCAGTGTAGGCAGTATAGTGAGACCTTGTCTCAAAAAAAGCACCAAAGAAGGAGACTAACATTATCACAGATGGTAGAGACTAAAATGATGGTGTATAATCTCTAATTAGCAATACTGGAGGAATTTATGTAGTGTAGCTTTATGCCTATATATGAAAGTTTTTCATATGAACATTTATTAGAGGTGCATTTTTATTTGTAAGATGTTAGGGCTATCAGATATGTTCCTTGCCATTTTAATGCTTATGATTGAATTAAGCAGAACTTCTATAAAAACAAACATAAAATAGCCAAATGCCAGATATGTGCTTCACTAATACATGCTTCAAATATTGAGACAAGTGGCTGGGTGCGGCGGATCACGAGGTCAGGAGGTCGAGACCATCCTGGCTAACATGGTAAAACCCTGTCTCTACTAAAAAATACAAAAAATTAGCCAGGCGTGGTGGCGGGCGCCTGTAGTCCCAGCTACTCGGGAGGCTGAGGCAGGAGAATGGCGTGAACCCAGGAGGCAGAGCTTGCAGTGAGCTGAGATTGCCACACTGCACTCCAACATGGGCGACAGAGCGAGATTCCATCTCAAAAAAGAAAAAAAAAATTGAGGCAAGAAAGAAATCGCTTTGGGACTCTGCTGTTATCTCCTCTAACAGGGTAGGATTTGAACTGAGCCTTGAAGGGAGTACACATAATAGATAAATTGAGAGGAACAGAAGCTGCATTCCAAAAGACACAGGGCACATTTGAACAAAGATTGAGGAGGTAGGAAAGTGCGTGATGTGTTCAAGTAGATAGGTTTGATAGGAGTAGTGGCATCTATAGTTAGAAAAGCATGAAGGTTTTTTTTAATAAAATTACAGTGGCTTAAATGCCCCAGGCATAAGTTTGAACTTTATTCTTTAGGTAATCGGAATTTTTTGAAACGTTGTGGACAATAGTATTCTGAGCTTAATTTGATATTGAATAGGTTGGATTGAAGGAGGGAAAAATTAGAGGTAACATATGCATCTGAATGTGATAGCAGGAATTAGGGAAGACGTTGGGGTGGGCTGGGTCAGGGGCAAGATTTTGAACTAAAATGAATAGCAGAAAAATTGAGAGAAATAAGGAAGTCCAGAATAGGAGCTATTTTCTATGTAAAGTGATGAGTATTGTTTTAATATGTTGATTTCTGCAGTAGCAATAGGACAGGCCGGGTGTAATGGCTTACACCTGTAATCCCAGAACTTTAGGAAGCCAAGGTGAGCAGATCATTTGAGCTCAGGAGTTCGAGACCAGCCTGGGCAACATGGTGAAACCCCGTCTCCACAAAAAACTTAGCCGGGTGTGGTGGTGCACAACTGTAGTACTGGCTACTCGGGAGGCTGAGTTGGGAGTATCACTTGCACCCAGGAGGTCGTGGCTGCAGTAAGCCATGATTGTACTACTGCACTCCAGCCTGGGCAACAGAGAGAGACTTTGTCTCTAAATGGATGGATGGATGGATGGATGGATGGATGGATAGATAGATAGGACATACAATGCTCACTGCCATGTGCTATGCCTTGTCCTAGAATTTTTAAATAAAATCTAATTTCTAGTCACCATCCTTCAAGGAAATTATTCTCCCGATTTACGAGAAAACTGAGGCACAGGGAAGTTGCATGACTTGCCCATGGTAATAAAACCAATAAGAAGTAGAACTAATATTTAAACCCAGGCCTGACCATAAAGCCCATGATTTTCCCACTATATCATGTAAACTTTGCCGAGGTGTTTAATTGTGCATAAAGGGTTGGCTTAACCCATAGTTAAAATGAAAATATGCATACCAAAATTGACTTTTGATTTCAACAGAATTTTAAATATTTTTAGCAATCAGGGAAAGAAAAATCATTTTAAACTGCCTGTAAGAAAAATTTGATGACACAAAGAGTATTCTTTTGGCTGAAAAGATGATGGAAATTAGGACGAGGGATCAGGAATTATTTAAATATTTTGAGTAAGCTGTAACATTGAGAAAAAAATAAGATAGGTAGTATCATAGACATGCTAACTGAAATATCAGAAATATTACTAAAAGATAATTTGAGGAAATGGGACCTAGAAACAGCAAATGACTTGTTGAAGTCACATAGCTAGTTAATGTCAGAGCCCTATGATCACTTTAGTTTGTTTTATGTAGCCAATATTAATAACATTTATAGAGTGGTTACATATGCCAAGCTTGGATAAGTGCTTTAAATTCATATGTTGACCTGGAGCAGTGGCTCACACCTGTAATCCCAGCACTTTGAGAAGCCAGGGGAGGTGGACCTCTTGAGGCGAGGAGTTCAAGACCAGCCTGGCCAACGTGGCAAAACCCCATCTCTACTAAAAATAAAAAATAAAAAAATTAGCTGGGCATTGTGGCAGGTGCCTGTAATTTCAGCTACTTGGGAGGCTGAGGCAGGAGGATTGCTTGAACCGAGGAGGCGGAGGTTGTAGTGAGCCGAGATTGCACCACTGTACTCCAGCCTGGGGGACAGAGTGAGACTCCATCTCAAAATAAAATACATAAATAATAAATTAATTTGTTAATGAACCTCCCAACAAACTTGCATATACTGCATGTAAACTTAGAGAAGTTAAGTCGCCTGTCACTTGCCCATGACCAGTAGTCACAGCCAATACTGGAAGCCATTTTAGTCTGACTTCAAAGCCCCTGATCTTAACCTTTATGCTTTTTGTTTAGAATCTTGGAATTTGAGGTTAAGAAATTGATCTAGTTACATGGCCAGGCGTGGTGACTCATGCTTGTAATCCCAGCACTTTGGGAGGCCGAGGCAGACACATCACCTGAGGTCAGAAGTTCGAGCCTGGTCAACATTGTGAAACCCCATCTCTACTAAAAAAAAAAAAAAGAAAAAAAGAAAAAATTGGTTGGGCACAGTGGCTCATGCCTGTAATCCCAGCATTTTGGGAGGCCAAGGCAGGTGGATCACGAGGTCAAGAGATCGAGACCATCCTGGCCAACATGGTGAAACACCATCTCTACTAAAAATACAAAAATTAGCTGGGCATGGTGGCACGTGCCTGTGGTCCCAGCTACTCGGGAGGCTGAGGCAAGAGAATCGCTTGAACCCGGGAGGCAGAGATTACAGTGAGCCAAGATTGTACCACTGCACTCCAGCCTGGCAATAAAGCGAGACTCCATCTCGAAAAAAAAAAAAAAAAAAAAGCCGGGCGTGGTGGCGCGTGCCTGCAATCCCAGCTACTCAGGAGGCTGAGACACAAGAATCACTTGAACCTGGGAGGCGGAGGTTGCGGTGAGCCGACATCATGCCACTGCACTCCTGCCTGGATGAGAGAGCAAGATTCTGTCTAAAAAAAAAAAAAAAGAAAAGAAAAGAAAAGAAATTTACCTAGTCTGAAAAGAGTCTTCTCCCTCATTTTTAAAAATAACAGCTTTATTTATGTGATGTTGAATCTTCTGAGCCAGAGTTCAGAACCAATACCTAGACCTACAATAATTCCTTCATTTTTATATAAACAAAACCATTCCTCTTGTCCTGACTTATTAATTTCACTTCTTTGCCACTCTTGCTCTCACTTTTGGAATTACAGCTTTTCCTTAGGCACGGACCAGATTAGAAAGATTAAGTAGCTTTTGAGCTGTTTGCATTTCCTCCAGATGAACAATCTATATAAACCATTATCTAATTTTGTTCAGGATGATCTTCTCCATCCTCATTTTACCTACTCTGTTTTGCATGTTCTTCCCACTCACAACCCCAATTTTGTTCACATATTATGTATCACAGAACGTTTAGAAATGGAAGTCAGAAAACAAGTGATAAAGGGAACATTGTATAAAAGTAACTCTTCTCATTCATTCAACAAATGTTTCTTTAACAATCTCTATATTTCAGTTGTCCTAGTTCACGTGCCATTTCCACCTAGATTTTACCTTTTAACCCTTAAACTGTATCCAAGGCTTTCTAGCAGCCTTTTCTCAGTTCAGTTTGTCTCTCATTATGGTTTTCATATCTCAAAGGTGTGATGTATTAGTTTCTGTATTTTATAACCCTGTTATATGTTTGGTTTAGGTGTTTTTAGCTTGCATTTTATTTACCTACACTGCTATCTTACTGACTGAATTACATTAACTTTTTGTTTGTTTTAGTTGTTCTTCCTAACATAAAATCAGAAGATACACCATGCCTTCTGTCTATAGATCTGTTTCATGTTTTGGTAAGTGTTCAGTAATTTTGTTTAAGTCACTCATGTTGATAATTTCTTGTATTTTCCTCATTTAAATTCATGCCCTTTGTTCAAGATTATAAATTCTTTGTGTTTAATCTATAAAGTTTGGTCTCTCCTGTCCATTGTTTACAAATAGGTACAGATTTGATGGAGACTGTCAAAATCATTAAAAAAAAAAAAAAAAAGCACTTCAATTTGTAATAGGTCTTGTCCTGGTTGATTACATTAGTGGGTGTCTGTACAGACAAGCCTTTTCTAATTCATATTATGCTCCTCTTCTGGCCTTTTTCTTAAGTTGTATATATGATATGCAGTCAATGACTGTGTGAGCTCTCTTAAAATCATTAATTATTTGGTGATGAGGACCAGACCATGGGTGTATCTAGGCTTCCTCAAAACACCTATGGATGGATGGCAACTGCCCTTAGTTTTTTGTAGAGATTTTCCATTCCTGTGATGATCTCATTCCTTCAAACCAAGTTCCGTAGAGAAAGCAGTATTGAGATTGGGAGCATGGAGTTTATGGATGCAGGGGTAGCCAACATCCTCATCCCCCTCATTATCTAGGCCTCTACCCAGTGGTCATCAACCCTGACTGTCTTTTGGAATCTCCTGGGGAACTTTGAAAAGAATGCTATTAACTAGGCCCTACCCCAAGAGATTCTCATTTGGTTGGACTAGGGTAGGGCCTCTGTGTCAGTATTGTTTTAAGAACTCCTGTAATGTTGAATCTTTGAGCCAGAGTTCAGAACCACTACCTAGACCTACAATAAGTAGACACAGCAAAGGGATAACCTATTTGGTGGTGATCATCGTCCTCCATTTATGGTACATTATATTCTAAGATATTCTATTGAATAAATAAGAAAAATATGGTTTTTATTAAAAAACACACACACAAACACTGTGTAGCATCTGCTGCCCTTCACATTTAGTTATGACATTAATTTATGTTAGTCTTTTATCATTAGCCATATTGATGTCCATTTTTCTCTCATAGGTGGGTGCTGTGTTAGCATTCCCATCCTTGTATTGGGATGACCCTGTTGATCTGCAGCCTTCTTCAGTTAGTTCTTCCTATAACCACCTTTATCTCTTCCATTTGATCACCATGGCACACATGCTTCAGATACTACTTACAGTAGACACAGGTAAGGTTTTCATCTGGGTGTTGACTGTGAATAACATTTTGCCATGCTTTACTGGCAAAATTAATTATTCTTGTGATTATATAATGTATTTCTAGGTTCTGTGTTATGTTTTTTGTTGAATGATTATCTGTTTTTTAATGGATACTGTTTAAACAAGGAAAGGTAGAATAAGCTGTGAAAAAGATAATTAGGTGAAACTACCTAATTATCAACTGCTCTACAGATATGCAGGGAGACCACTTGGACCTGCTTTTCCCTCTTTTTCAAATTCCCCATCCTCGAGGTCTGTCCCTACATGAGTTTTTTCAACCTTTTGATAAGGAGGTCCCTAAAACCATTCTTAATTCCTTCAGCTAGAATGATAGTACTTTCTTCCCCTTGTAGCATTTATCATTAGTATCTTGTTTTATAGTTATTTCTGGTTATATCTTACTGTTGTTCTGCTCCTTTCCCTGTTTCTCCTCTCTCTCTGCTCCTTTGTCCTCAGTGTAAGTTTCTTGATGATAGGAAACAATGAAATATCAACATCTTCCCTCTAAAACTGCAAGTATCTGGTAACACTTGTTAAACCCAGTAAACACTCATTAAATGTCTTTTGAATTAATGTTCATTTGAAGATACATTAGTAATACAACATTATGGAATGATGATACAGTTTTTCTTTTGGAGTCTGGTTTTTAATAGGAAGCAAAGTCTGGGGGCTGGGTGCAGTGGTTCATGCTTGTAATCCCAGTACTTTGGGAGGCCAAGGCAGGAGGATCCCTTAAGCTCAGAAGTTCAAGAACAGCCTGCACAAGATGGTGAGACCCTATCTCTACAAAAAAATTTTTTTTTAATTAGCTGGGCATGCTGCTGCGTGCCTGTAGTCCCAGCTACTTGAGAGGCTGAGGTGGGAGGATCACTTGAGCCCAGGAGTTTGAGGCTGCAGAGTGCTGTGATTGCACCATGCAGAGTGCCTTTACGCCATGGCACTCCAGCCTGGGCAACAGAACAAGATCTCATCTCTTAAAAAAAGAAGAAAAAAAAAACCCAAAGCAAAATCTGGTCCTGGGTATCAGTGACCAATAAGGGCTTCTGAAGATTCATATAATGTAGAGAACAAACATAATTAAAGTGATGTCAGAATAAAATATGGCAAAATTACATGTGCATTTACCCTGTGGTACACCAACTCCATTTCTAGGAATTTATCCCAAAGCTTTACCAGCAAAAATATGAAATGATACAAGCACGACATTATTTATTGTGATATTACTTGGGATATCAAAAAAAACAGAAACAATTTAGCTGTCCATCGATGGGAGATTCTTTGAATAACCTATGATGTACCATATAATGAAATTCTATGCAGTTTTAAAAAGGAATGAACAAGATCTGATATGAATTGATCTCCATGATGCAATAAGTTAAAAAAGTAAGGTACAGAATAGTGGCTATAGTGTAGCATTTTTCTGTAAGGTATTTTATGCATATATGTGTTTATATACATTTTTGCTTATGTGTTTTATAAAAGAGACAATAGAGGCCGGGTGGTGGCTCACACCTGTAATCCCAGCACTTTGGGAGGCTGAGGCAGGTGGATCACCTGAGGTCAGGAGTTCGAGACCAGCCTGACCAACATTGTGAAACCCCGTCTCTACTAAAAATACAATAATTAGCCAGCGTGGTGGCAGGTGTCTGTAATCCCAGCTACTCAGGAGGCTGAGGCAGGAGAATTGCTTGAACCCAGGAGGCAGAGGTTGCAGTGAGCTGAGATCATGCCATTGCACTCCAGCCTCCCGATAAAAATCCATGCAGGTTATTATTGTGGATATCAACAAACTGATTCTAAAGTTTATGTGAGCCAAGCCCAGTGGCTCATGCCTGTAATCCCAGTCCTTTGGGAGGAATTTGAGCCTGGGCAGCATAGTGAGACTCTGTCTCTAAAAAAAAATAGGAAAATTTGCTGGGCATGGTGGCACATGCCTATAGTCCCAGCCGTTTGGGAGGCTGATGTGTAAGGATTGCTGTAGCCCAGGAAGTCAAGGCTGCAGTGAGTTGGGATTGCACCACTGCAGTCCAGGCCGGGTAACAGAGTGAGACCCTGTCAATCAACCAGAAAGTAAGTAATAAGTAAACAAACAAGTACATAAATAAATACATGAAGTATATATGGAAAGACAAAAGTCCTAGAATAGCCAGCTCAGTATTGGAGGAGAAGAAATTTGGAGGGTTGACACTACCCAACCTTAGGACTTACTATAAAGCTACAGTAATAAAGACAGTGTGGTTGGCAAAAGATTAGACAAATAGATCAATGAAATATGAAAGAGAGCCCAGATATAGATCCACATATTTGTAGTCAACTGATCTTTGACATTTGAGCAAAGGATCAAAGGTAGTCTTTTCAACAAATGGTGTTGGAACAAGTAGACACCCATGTCCAATAAAATGAATATAGACACAGACTTTACACCCTTCACAAAAATTAATTCAAAGCAGATCATAGACCTAAATGTAAAATGCAAAACTATAAAACTCCTACAAGATGGCTGGGCACGGTGGCTCACGCCTGTAATCCCTGCACTTTGGGAGGCTGAGGCGTGTAGATCACGAGGTCAGGAGATCAAGACCATCCTGGCTAACACGGTGAAACACGGTCTCTACTAAAAATACAAAAAATTAGCTGGGCGTGGTGGCGGGTGCCTGTAGTCCCAGCTACTTGGGAGGCTGAGGCAGGAGAATGGCGTGAACCCGGGAGGTGGAGCTTGCAGTGAGCCGAGATTGCTCCACTGCACTACAGACTGGGAGAGAGTGCGAGACTCCATCTCAAAAAAAAAAAAAAAAAAAAACTCCTACAAGTTAACATAGAAAACCTAGATGACCTTAGGTAT